>NC_000012.12:98066188-98369218 GCF_000001405.40 Homo sapiens | reverse complement strand
ATATATAAGATGGGAAATGAGTGTATAAAAAATCATCATTATTTTATTCAGAAACAGTGTGGCTGAGTCTGCTAATTTTCCTCCAAAATCATTCTCCTTTTTTTCTGTTGCATTAGAATCCTTCATTTTAGATGGGCCATGTCTGCTTGGAATAACAACTCCATTTCCCAGTCTTTTTTTTTGAAGCTAGATGTAGCCATAGACAATGGGCTGTAAGAGGAAATAGTGTGTGCAACTCATCAGATGTTTCTTTGAAGAAAGATTGTGTACTCTCTTCCTCCCCTTTCCTTCTCTGCTGCCCGGAGTGTTGATGTGGTGCCCGGAACTGCATGGAGCAGTCATCTGGGCCCCAAGGTGAAGGCCTTGTTTAAGGATGGAGGAGCCCGAGTTTCTGAGGACTGTGGAGCTGCCAGCACTGGACATCCAATGCTTATTGGAGGGAGAACATACATCTGTCTTTCCAAAGCCAAGTGGGCTTTAGTCACTTGCCGCAAAACGTGATCTTAATCCTTATTTCATCATTGATACAGTCATGGAAAGACATGGCTTTAAAAGGACTTCAACATTTTAAGACACAAAGTCAAGGCCCAAGAGGAATGTGGGTTCCTTACAATAACTTATTTTAAAAAATGCCATCCAATCAAAATAAGGAAGGAGAACAACCACTTCTATTCTATTGGGTTCCAGTATGAAGGCTGGCCAAGTCAAAGCTTTGATTTCACATAATTTACTTATGAAAGAGACATAGATAGTGTCAGCATGCACAGGTTTCTATATTCTAAACTTCGGCATCAATTTGGCCATTGCAGTCTGAAATTGCCAAGAATCATAAGAGGATGGTAAAATAATGGGACTTCTCTTTGGACTGGATTTTGGAATGATGTGTGGTAGTGCAAATATCATAGCTATGGATTTGATATTTGTGCTAATGCATTTTAGAAATCAGGACCGTATTCACAGCATAATCATATCACTTAGCATTTGTATCTTATTGCTGACAATTTAGTAATTTTTAATGATTTGATAACATTAAAAAGTAAGTGGTCTAGAAACTATTTTTTCCCCTCAATTTCTGAAATAATAACTTCATGTTTATCTGCTGTCCATGGTGCAGATGCTGCTGGCTCACCCTCTAGGGAAGGGGCCCATCTTAATTGTAGTAATTAGGTTTCACGAGGTATTAGTTAACCTGGAGGCTAAAGTCAGTTGGAATTATTGTTACGAGTCTTCCTTTCCTGTGTATCTCTTGGTCATCCATTAATATGGAGACCCATTAGGGGTCGTTCAAGCAACTGCTGGGGCTAGCCCTGCTTCCCACTATCAACTGCTGGGGCTAGCTCTGCTTCCCACTATCTCTGCAAAGGGTTCCCCAGTATTCCAGCTGGAAGTACTTTTGAATGGATTTCAACAGATATAGTAGGTACCACTCAACTTGCCCTTCAATTTAGCATTTTGTATTTTAAAAGTGCACTTCAATGGCTTTATTTTTCTTAATTGTAGCCAATGCAGTGTCTTGCATATAGTAGGCACTTAATAAATGCTTGTTAATTTTTCCCCAAGGGGCAGGGTTGGCTGAGAATGGATGTTGGGCAAAGTGGGCTTCACTGTGGTCATATTTTAAGTATGATGTTGGTTCTAAGTATAGGGTGAGTTTTTAAACTCTGAATGGTTAACTTATCACAAATGCCTCTTGCAGATCACTCCCAGTGAGGTAAGTGGTTAATAACAGCTTGACTAGTAAATGCTAGTGATTTAAAAAAAAATGTTGGCCAGGCGCGGTGGCTCAAGCCTGTAATCCCAGCACTTTGGGAGGCTGAGGTGGGCGGATTACCTGAGGTCAGGAGTTTGAGACCAGCCTGACCGACATGGAGAAACCTGTCTCTACTAAAAATACAAAATTAGCCAGGTGTGGTGGCGTGTGCCTGTAATCCCAGCTACTTGGGAGGCTGAGGCAGGAGAATCGCTTAAACCTGGGAGGTGGAGGTTGCGGTGAGCCGAGATTGCACCATCGCACCATTGTGCCATTGCACTCCAGCCTGGGCAACAAGAGAGAAACTCCATCTCAAAAAAAAAAAAAAAGTTAACTGAAGAGGATTAAATTTATCATACTTCTGAGTTAATGGTAAATTAGCATCACTGTTATGTGCACGGTTCCTTTTATTTGGCTGTTTATTCTTTTTTGTCCCATCCCCATTTCCTATGGCCAGTCATCTAATGTTTTTAATATGCATCTTTTCATTGTGTGGTGTTTGCAAAATATAAGAATAATAATAAACACTTATATAGAACTTACTTTGTGCCAGGCTTTGTTCTAAGTCTTTTATGTGTAATCCTTCATTTAATTCTCATAACAACCTTATGAATTACTTACCTTTATTATTCCCATTTAATTGATGAAGGAACTGAGGTATAGAAAGGTTAAGTAACTTGCCTAAAGTCACACAGCTAGTAAGCAACGGAGTTGGAATTTGAACCTAGGCAGTTGAGCCCTGAAGTCCATGCTCTTTTTTTTCCTTTTTTCTTTCTTTTCCTTTTTTTTTTTTGAGGTGGAGTTTCGCTCTTGTTGCCCAGGCTGGAGTGCAATGGCGTGATCTCGGCTCACTGCAACCTCTGCCTCCCGGGTTCAAGAGATTCTCCTGTCCCAGTCTCCCGAGTAGCTGGGATTACAGGCACATGCCACCATGCCCAGCTAATTTTTGTACTTTTAGTAGAGATGGGGTTTCATCATATTGGTCAGGCTGGTCTCAAACTCCTGTCCTCAGGTGATCCACCCACCTCGGCCTCCCAAAGTTCTGGGATTACAGGTGTGAGCCATCATGCCGGCCAAAATCCATGCTCTTAATCACCAACCACACAACTGAAATGTATCCTGTGCTTTGTGTGTATGTATTTTTAACTTCTTAAAATGGTATTGTATAAATAACATTGTCATAAATCTTGCTTTGTTTCTTACTTTTCCACTCAGAACTTTGCCTTTAAGAAGCATCCATGTCGCTACGTCCACTTGTGATCCATTCAGCTGATTGCTGTACCCCAGGGTGAACATCTATCACATTTTCCCTCTCCACTCTCCCAGGGATGGTACTCCAATTTCCTGCCTCCACAAATAATGCTGCAATGAACATCCTCCCTCAGGACTTGTGGGAGAATCTCTCTGGGATCTAAACCATGGTTTTTCTTCATGAACTAAATGTGTGCCTTTTACGAAACATGAGGCTGGTAAATGTAGAACAATTTTTTTAAAAAAGTGACTTATGCCATAGCAGTCATGTTTCAGGCACTGTTCCAGATGTAGGATCATCTCAAAGTGAAACAAAGGTATTCATTTACATGAAATCAGAATCCTGTTATTTACTAAATAATCACTTGGTTTATGTTTATTTACGCACTCATGTGCTAGTATTGGAAGGCTGACATGGCATAGCTAAGGCATACTTGCTCCCAGCATAGTAAGATGATAAGGGCTTGGATTTGGGGTGACATTGGTGCAGAGGTCAGATTTGTTGCTTGCACCTGTTTGAATAGCGTCAAGTTCCTTAAATGCTCCAAGGCTCAATTTTCTCATGTATAAAATGGCAATAATTGTTTTTTGTGAAGATTCAATGAGATAGTGTATGTAGAGAGCCTAACACAGAGCCTGGCATGAAATAAGCACTCACAAAGGTAGGATAATCCCTCCCCTTGGAAAGCTCCCAGAAGAGTGGAGGAGCTAGATGCAGACCCAGATATTCACAATGCAGTGTGTAAAGTGGTAGTGCAACATGGGCAAAGTGCATGGGAGCACAAGAGAAAGACAGTGAATATTACTAATTGCCATTGATTTCATGCCTACCTTGTTCTAGATACTGTCTATATATGATTTTATTTTTTCTGGCTCTCTAAGGTGAACTCACTATTTCTATTTAATAGAATTAGAAACCAATGCTCAGTGACAACTTCCATTCAAAATCACTTATCCAGTTGTTGTACAGAAAATTTGAATCCCTCTCTAGCTGATTGCAAAGTCTGTGTTTGTTTCAATGACACCAAAGAAAAGCTAGCATTTGGTCTGGATCATGAAGAATGAGCAGGCATTTTCTAGGTAGACAGAATATGCAAACATTTTCCTTGGCACCTTGACTTTGGGGTCTTTCCAAAGAACTGGATTTTTTTATTTATTCATTATCATCACGTGTGTTTACCCAGAACTTACTGTGGCTGGATGGTAGAAGTGCAAAGACTAAGAGATAAGGTCTCTGTCTTTCAGGGGTTTATAATCTCTTCAGAGAGATTGACTACATACACATACACCCCCCATAATCAGATGGATAATGATACAAGGTTGCATAAGTTACATGCCAGGGAAACACTACTGGTATCAAGTGAGTTCAGAGGAGGGAGAGATCACTGAGGGCTTAGTGGTCAGGGTGAGGACTGAGAAATAGGTGGGACTGCAACTGGGGATTGACATGGGGAGATTGGGTTGGACACTTGGAGCAGGCACAGTAGTGTCATAGGAAATGTAAGGGTTGCATTCAAAAGGGGAGCACATTACTTTGAATTTACGGAAAGTCAGATTTTACTCTTAAAATTCCTTGAAGTATACCACAAAGTATAAGCTCTCATATCAATTCTGTGATGTGCATGTGGCTTCTGTCTTCAAGTTCAGCACGGTCACTCTTCCCTACAGAGTTAGTATAGATTGCTACTTCTTTGGACTACATAGCCCCTTCTAGCCTTCACATTTCTATAGTTGGTCTGTGTTTGGGATGGTGTTGAACAAAAATAGCATTGCTTTAGTCACTGGAGTCAAATCAGCAGGGCAAGATGTTTGTACTACCAGATCCATGAGGCAACTGAAGGCTGGTGGAGGAGCAAGGAAGGTGGGCCTTCACGTCTGTGGACTGTACTTTGGCATCACTGAGCTCTCAGCTTTGCTGAGGACAAGCCCAAGTGAGCTTGACGCTGGAGGAGTGATCATGTCTACATTCAGATGCCCCTAGCTATGCTGGTCTCAATGCATGTCAAATATTGAAGAGCGAGGATGAGGTGCTGGTGTTGAATTAGAGGAGAACAGTCAGCAGCAGAATAAATATTATTCACAAGGAGACACCGTCTGTGTTTGTCTCATGGGCCAAACAGGGGAATGGAGGAATGATTGGAGTGGTGGGAAGATTGCATAAGGCTGAATTCTAATCGGTTTAACTTACTTAAGATGTGACATTAGTGTAAAAGTAGAGAGAGAGGAACTCATATAAGTATGTCTGGGTTTGTTAGGAGGAGAGGATTTGCAGAAACAGAGGTGCATTTGGAAGAGACATGGTGGTGGAGGATTGTGCTAAGTAGGATAGGATTTTGGGCTCAGTCTTCTAGTGTGACAGGTGTCTTTGCATATGCCTGACCAGGGGATTCTCCTTTAAAGAGAAAAGTTTTAGGGAGATTAAATATGACAATTATGTGTATGCTAGTTTGGAGGGGGGCTCAAAACTAGATCCTGGGACCCCAGTTGGAGGTTGATATGATTTGGATCTGCATCATCCCCAATGTTTGGAGGTGGAGCCTGGTAGGAGGTGATTGGATCATGGAGGCAGAGTCTTCATGAATGGTTTAGCACCATCCCCTCAGTGCTCTTCTCATGATAGTGAGTGAGTTCTCACAAGATCTGGTTGTTTCAAAGTGTGTGGCGCCTCTCCCTACCCTCTCTCTTCCTCCTGCTCTGGCCATGTAAATTACTGGCTCTTTCTTTGCCTTCTGCTGTAATTGGAAGCTTCCTGAGGCCTCTCCCAAAGCAGATGCTGCCATGCTTCCTCTACAGTCTGTGGAACTGTGAGCCAATTAAACTTCTTTTCTTATAAATTACATAGTCTCAGGTATTTCTTTATAGCAATGCGACTAATACAGAGGTGGTGGCAAAAGTCTGTTGAGAGGCAATAAAAGCCTGGAAATGATGATGAAAATGAAGGGGAATGAGCACAAAGAGAGGTGTTATGAAGAATCGGTGGGCTTCACAAGCCTGAAAGCCACTGGGAAAAATGATATCAACATCACACCAACTCCAAAAGAAATGCAGACTCCCCTCTCTCTCTTTCCCTAGTCTATGTAACTGGCATCTTTTATCGGGGTTGAAGGAAATCATTAATATCCTACTTCTGATTCTTCTCCTAGTTAAAAATCAATTGAGGAAAAAAAATGTAGAATTTAGATGAAGGCAAAATATTGGATTTTCTGCTGCTAGCAGTGGACTGGAGGACACAGTTTTGAACCATTGCCACACAGGGTTTCTATCCTTTTTTCTTAAGCTGAGATGTTGGGACAACCCACCATGGGGAGAGTCTGGGTCAGTGATTGCTCTGGCCAACTGTGGGGTCCCCGATGGTGTGGACGGAGAGGCTACATGTGAAGGAGGCATGTGATGTAACCCATCTGGGGAGTAAATGTGGATTCCTCCCACTCATCCAAGCAGATGTCTGGATTCTCCACGTTTGGGAAGTAAGAAAGGGGTGGGAGGGGTCAGGAGTTGTACTCTGTGGGAAGGACACAGTAACATGCAGAAATGCAAGGAGAAGGAAACGAACTTACCTTCACATTGCTGGACATGATTAAAGGTGAGAATAGAATTGGAAATAAAATTTGTGGGCTCATTAAATAAATAACCCTGTGGGTTATTTAATGAACAGGTTTTGTTCCTTTGGAGGGCAGAAGTGAAATTGCTTACCAGCAATCCTGGGAGGAAACAGAGGATTGGTGACTGGTGTTGAAGAAGTGGCCTCATGAGGGTGTCTGGGTTAACCACCGGCGACTCCACCATGGGGACTCCACACCCTGCATTCAGTCTTAGTTGGCCACAGCCTGGATGCTTCAGCCTGTTGAACTGAGAAAACAATATCTTTGGAGTCATAAAAAAATCATTTTCTTTCTCTTTTGTTTTGTTTTGTTTTTTCTGCCTTGATCCATGAAGTAGGAATTTCCACCTTATGAAGAATGGAAGACTTGGGAGGAAAGCCCCTGTCCTTTTACCCTGTCCCTACCCTGGCTGGGAAGAAGGTCATGGGGTGTGGAGTTCAGCCCCTCTGGGTCTCTCTTTCCCAGCAACCTGTCCTCAGCACTTGTCCCCTCCTTGCCCCTCTGTCTCTTAGATTCAGTAGGGCTGCTCTGCTCTTTGGAGCTAGGGGAGGCCTGGCCTCCTTGTTGGCAAATCAGTTCTGGTCATGGGTCAAGGCAAATTCTCCAAGGCAGCCTTTTTGGAAACATAGCTGATCATTTCAGCTCTGTAGATCTGAGTCTGTCTCCTCAATGGGTTCAGAACCCGTAAGGGAAGAGGTGTGACTAATTAGCATTATCCCTTAAATTCTAACATTCTTTTTGAGGAAAAATCCTAATTTTGAGATTCTTTGGAATCATCTTTCCTTCTCCCGACCTTTCTTTTTCAAATACATTTACCAAATGGAATGACCACTGTGTGTTTGGCACTTAGGTTAAGTGTTTTGTCTTTTCTCTTAAATAGCTATGATTGGCTCTAATGCAGTGTCTAGGCAGTGTCTTGCCACAGGCAGCTCAAATGGACACATGTGCCACAGATATATAAGACACTTGTAGAACACACTTGAATTCCAGGGTGTATGAAGAACTCTGTAGGTCGTAGCAGTATATGGTCATATGAGTGTGTGTTCATGCATATACACACCTACCACATGCACACACTACCACATGCATGCACACCTACCACACATACAAACCATGCATACCCCCCACCACATGCATGAACACACACCCTATATACTTATACACCACACACAGACAACACACAACCACACACACACACACACACACACACTACCATATGCATGTACACCTACAAAGCCATACATGCATGTATGCATGTGCACATACAAACCACGCATACCTCCCCACCACATGTGTGAACACACACCATACTCATACACTGCATACAGACAACACACAGAAACACCATGTGCACACACTACCATATGCATGCACACCTACCACACATACAAACCATGCACACCCCCACATGCACATAAACACACCATATATACTCATACACTACACACAGACAACACACACAAACACAGACACACATGTATCATACATGCACCGCTGCATCACACACCCTCCAACACACCTAGACACCATGCATACACACATACCACACACAAACTACACACGTACAGACCATTCACACAAACACTCCCTACTCCATCTTACACACATGTGCATATGCACATACCACAAGCATATGGATGTAACCCCAGGGCCTCTGCAGAGAGAGCTGTGGAAAGCTCCAAGACACATTCTGTCTCCCACTCTTAATCTCTCTCTCCATCCCTCTCCTTTTCTCTCTTAATCCTGGGGTGTATATATAAAAGACTACACAAAGCACACACACAGAAACAGAGCAAACCTCTGGACTCATGGAAAAACAACTGCCAACAATCTGGGCAGCTAAGGCTTTGTGCATAACACCCTACTCCTGAGGGCCCCCTCCCCTCCCACAGGAACACACTCTGACAAAAAAGCACCTGCCCCTAAGCCAGGCGTCTTTCTTTCCTTTTGCCTTTGATTAAGTCTCACAATAAATGGCACACCAAGGGGTGCAGCATTACGGTGTCATTAAAGTGAATATTTCACAAGTGAGTATTGCCTGAACGAGATGCTTCTGATGTTTTTATTTTCATCAAATCTTTGAGGCCAGCAGATGGAAAAAAATTTTTGTAGCCAGAGCTTAAGGAGGTAGGCTTCACCAGAGAAGCAGGGTGGTCAGGCTACAGTGAGCCCTGACCCAATTTCCTTAAGAAAAGGGAAAAGAGTCAAAGTGCTCGATGTGTAATCAATAAGCAGGGCACATAGGATGAAACACACACACTCCCCCACACACACACACATGCACAGAAGGATATTTCTACCTCAGTTCTTTTTAAAGTAAAAAAATGGTGGGAATACAGTTTACTCTAAAGGAACCCTTTGAATGTGTATCATTTAGTGAATTTGGAGCTTTCCACACCAAGTGCATTTGCTAAAAATGGTCACTGCCCATAGATGAGACATCATCCCATTGCTAATGTCATTAGCAAGCAGAACAGCGGTGCCTACAAAGCTCAGAGCAGAGAAGTGATACCCGGGGGAACCACACAATGCCAAATAAATGTGAGATGATTGACTGTTTTCATCACTACCTCCGCAGCAGGGTGGGAGCCCATTTGTAAGGGGCTGCCTTGTGCCTATGGGGAGGAGGACCATCAGACAATCCTGTTGCGGTTTCTATTGTCCTCAAAGACACGTCTTCTCCAGGAACAAAGCCCTGGGTCACACCGTTTGTCCTGTAGAAACTCCTGATAAATTTTGCTTTTTAGAAAAGCCTCTTTTCTTTGATTAGCAGTAATAAAAGCTTTCCCTTCGAAATATATGCCCTTACACATTAAAAGCCTGAGATGAAAAATTCTTTGTCATTTGCAAAGAATAGTGTCTCTTTGTGACTTGTTATCTGTTGAACTGGATGTTATAAAGTCTGTCTGAGGGCTCTGATAGCAGCTAGAATATTCTGCCTTGTGTGGCAGACATGTTTGAAGGCATAATTATGGGGTGTGGGTTGGGGTGACCAGCACATTCTCCCAGCCCTACCAGATAGTCGATGGGTTTTGTGTATTCAGGAAACTTCCCCTTCTTTATACTGTTTGAATGGAAATGGGACTGACATCAGGCGATAAGCCGTTCCTGTAATGGATTCCAGAAACTTCTGTTCTTGTCATCTGGTCTGGATTTACAGACAACTCTCTTCTCTTGTTCAACTTTCTAAAATAGAAATTATGGTTGGTTGCAGCCATAAAAATGATGGCATAGTCTTAGACAGGGATCAGTCTCCAAATGCTTTGAAGTGAATAAGGATGCCTTTCTGATTAGGATAAACTGCATCATATTGGAATTCTCAAAAAGCTTTTAAATCGTAGTAAATGTTGTTTTAACAAACAAAAACTAAGTAGTTGAAAGAAAATGATCTTGATTCAAAAACTTACTTGATTTAAGAATTGTAATTCTGAGGGAGGAATTGAGGAGCTATTGTTTAATGGGGACAAAGTTTCAGTTTTGCAAGAAGAAAAGAGTTCTGGAAATGGACAGTGGTGATGGTTGCACAATAAGAGGATGTCTTCAATGCTGTTGGGCTGCACACTTAAAATGGTTAAGATGGTAAATTTGATGTTATGGATATTTCACCAGAATTGAAAAAATAAAGAAAAAATGATAATTCCTATGTAAGTACTGGTGATAGAAATAGAAAATGCAGTTCTGTGTGTGTACTGCATTCAAAGTTTTGCCCTCTAAATGTCTGCTTCTTTTATCTTACAGGAACAGTTTGATTAGACTCTCTAAAACTGACTTATTAATGTTGTTGTGTGGATAAGGCACTGCATATAAGCTTGTGCGATTGCTAATGTGATCTTTTGTTTTAACCTGATGTAAACAATGATGCTCTAACCAAATCTTTAGAGATTTAATTATGCAGGAAAATATTCTTAACCTCTCTCATTCTAAGCCAGTTTGTTTGCTACTCATTTATCTTTAAAAACAAAACCTTTGGCTTCTCTTCTCTTTCTTTTGCTACTTTACTCAGTTCCAGTTACGTGTCATGACACCCTCTCTCCTCATGAAACACTTTAGCCTACACTCTTTATGTGTTGACTTTTTCAAAGATAACATCATTTTGTCAATTGAGAGGCCATTGGTGGTAGAGAAAGAACAATACGTGGGGAGCTGGGAGACCTGGATTTGGTCTGATCTTTTTCACTAGTTTATTCCTTGGAGTCTGAGTTTTCTCATCCATAAAATGAAGACAATAATTATTAGGTTGGTGCAAAAGTAATTGCTGTTTTGGCCATTACTTTCAATGGCAAAAACCGCAACTACATTTGCACCAGCCTAATACCTTACCTTTCTCTGTGTAGAGAAGTTCAAAAGAGAAAATAATGAGAGCTACTATTTACTGAGCACCTACTAGGTGTTAAGCACTGTTCTAAGTAGTTTAGGGGTATCAGTTAATTTAACCTTCCCAATAACATGGTGGAGCTATTATTTCTATTTTTCAGATGAGGAAACTGAAGCACACAGAAGTATAGAAACTGACTAAGGTCACAGAGCTGGTCAGTGGTAGAGCCTGAGTTTGAACCCAGGCAGTCTGATAGATGAGGCTATTCTTGGTCACAACATCATCCTGCCTCTGTACAGATGTGAAAATGAAATGCAAACTACTTTAAAGCATTATGTAAAATGGAATGAGTAAAGAGTTGAATTTTCTAGATTTATTTCCATGGAAAATGTTACAAATGTTGGTTCTGTATCATTAGATCACCTCAGCAATACTCCCTTCCACTTAGAAGCCATAGTTTACCAAGGATGTGAACGATCTGGAACATCTCCTTCATAGCATTAAGCATTCTTGCTGTATGAATAATTATCTGTGTAATTATGTGTTTAATATTTGTGCTTCTATACTGTATACTCCTTGAGGACACGGACAATGGATAGCCTGTGTACCATGATCTTTCCAACAAGTAGCACAATGCCTAGCACATAATAACTGTTTAGTAATAACGAGATCTAACATTTACAAAGAGATTATCACATTCCTGGCACCAAGTGCTTTACATCAACTCATTTAAAACTCACAACAACCTTATAAGGAGGGTTTCCATTTTACAGATGAATAAACTGAGGCTCAGAGCACTTAATTAATATGTCTAAGGTCATGCGGTAGTAAATGGTGGAGTCTGGATGAAACCCAACTATCTGACTCCAGAGCCTTTATCCTATTTCAGTTTCTGATATGTGACAACAGTGGAAACCTGAATCCTTTCTAATGTGGACTTGGAAGCAGAAATGAAACACTGTTGTAACATCCCCCACCACTGGCCCCCAAATGTGTGTTCTTGGCTTTCCAGGCAGGTGTTGAGTGTTGGACAATGGGGATGAAGAGATTGCAGGCTGGGAAGTTGGTGGCCTTTCTTCTGACGTGGTGAAACATTTGTAAACTGTTGCCTGCAACAACCTTGGATGTGAGACCATGGGTCTCCTGAGCCTATACCTCTAGGGGAAGTGGTTGAAAAAAATCAGAACAATGATGTGTGTTGGCTGCTTCTTGATGTTTTTAGCACACTTCTATGATAAGGAAATCTGGCTAGTTTGTAAGCAAAGATGAAAGGTGATTGAGCTGTGCTAAGGCAAGCTCTACTTCCTCCAGCCTAAACTGACGAGGTTCTGATAATGTGGGGTCTTTTTGGACTAAAAACCCAATTTCTTCTATGCTCCACCAAGCAGGAGGAAAGATGCCATCCCAGATCTTCCCAGGAACCTCCACTTCTTTCACTGTTCTTGGGCAATTGGTATGTGGAATGGTCCAGATATATTAGTGCTGAGGGTTGGAAAATTATAATCGTAGCTCCTATGTGCCTGCTACTGGCAGAAGTGCTTGACCTACTTTATCTCATTTATTCTTTCACAATGACCTCTGAAATATTCTTTTAAAATATTTATTTATTTAAATTTTTTAAATTGACAATAACTACATATTCATGGGGGTACATAATGATGTTTTGATACATATAATATATGATAATCAGATCAGGGTAATTAGCAGATCCATCATCTCAAACACTGATCATTTCTTCATTCTGGGGGCATTCAATATCCTCTAGCTACTTGAAATTGTATTGCTAACTATAGTCATTGAGGTAAGTATTCTCACCCCTCCATATGAGATGTTGAGGTAAGTCCAGAGGGGGTAAATAACCAGCCCTGAGTCATGCTACTCTAAGCGGTGGAGCTGGGATTTGAACCCAGGCCCTACTGGTTCCCAAATCTGGGCTTCTCCCCACATCCTGGAATTGAGTTGTCCCACCCACAGCAAGGCAGTGGTAAGGTGGAGATGTGTTGCCATCAAAGCAATGTCTTGGCGGCTCTGCCCTAAGAGGCTGTCCCTGCTGGCACTCATTTTGTAAGGACTCTGAGGTGAGATACTGGTCCATGTTGGAATATTGATGGCTGTTGTTGCAGAGGCCCCTCGCTGCACTGAGAGCCACGGAGGCACATGCATGTTGAGCTTCTTAGCAAGTGACAAGCCCTCATGCTGAGCACAGCAAGACTCTGAAAGCTGAGATTTGCCAGGAGGGCTAAAGAATATTTTATTTCCTCAGGAAAAAAATAATCATTTTTATTGACACCTAGGAGAGAAACATTCCATTTTTATTCATAATTAAGGCATTTATCTTCCATTTGGATGACTGCGGTGGAAGAAAAATTAGATGGGAAGGGTGCTGGCCAGGTTGGGACAGGTGAAATGCAACAAAGGAAATCAGCCTATTTTCACACTGTCAGGTCATCACCATGCATCACTGGTCATCCTGGGGTAAATCCACACCTGTTTGCAGCTAACATTTATTATTCCCTCAGCAACTATGTGTCAGGGTCTGTTCTAAGCAGATCTCTTGGATTATCTCCTTCGTCTTCACAACACCATAAAACTGTTGCTATTGCTACCCATTTTAGAGACACAGAAGCTGAGACACAGAAGGTATAAGTGACTTACTCAAAGCTGCACAGCTAGTAACTGGTAAAGTCAGAACATACACCTAGGTAATACTGCCCCAGGACTTAAACTCTTAGCCATATGCTGTAAGCTCTTTATGCAGTTCCTCATCATGCAGAATTCCTTAGCTCTCAGTCATCACTTAGCAATCCTTGTGCATTATTACTGTCAGATCTTTTGATGAAATATTCTATGTAACCTCATAACAATACTAATAGATAGATAGTGTTATAACTTCCCGTTTTGGAGATGAGCAAACTGAGGCCCAGAGAAGTTAAAGGCATTGTCTAAATGCCAGAGCACACATCTTTTGAACTTCCAGTCTGCTTTTAAAGCATAGCACCTGCCTCAGTTTTTTCATGCGTAGACCTGTGCCTGAAAAATATTTTGAGATACTGATAGTAACTGAAATAACACAACATTTTAAATATATGCATTGATTCATACAGAATCAAGAACTCCTAATTTTAGTTTGCTGAATAAATTTGCTGCCTCAGAATATTTACATTTGTGACTTTACTTCTCTAGAAACAATAAAATAACTTCTTTATTTTTTATTTTATTTTATCTTTAGCTTATTTTGTAGGCTAGCAAGAATAACCTCTTGATGAAGGTAATTAACAGAACCATAAAACATTCACACAAATGGCATTCACAGAAACAAGGTAAAATGAAGAGCTGTCATTTGTGCCAACCCCATTTGAAAGTCATTTCCAAATGTTTAACCAAAGGGAGATAAGGGAGAGATGTGTGGCTGTTGGTTGCAGGATCATTTAGCTAACAGCGGTGTGCTTCCAAATTAAACCTTCCAGTTAGAAATGTTGAATGTGCATGTCTGTGTGTGTGCTCACACATGTGTGTGCCTGAGTAACTCTCTGGTTATATGAGCAATTTGCATTAATTATCTGGAAGCGTTTCCAACTCTTTTAAAAGAAGGCAGCCTGCCCTCAGGCTATAAGAACATCACCCATCAGAGACTTCTGTGTGTAAAGAATACTTACAGACTTGTGACATTGGGCATTGGCCCAGTCTCTCTGGGCCTTAGTTTCTTAGGTTGTAGAATGGATGCCTGAAAACTTGTGATGGAGATATCCAAGTAAAAAGATAAAGGATGACAGTGTAATTTTAGTTGTGTTCCCAGAACACTGACCAGAATGACTAAAACGAAACAGACAATACCAGTGTTGAGGATGTGAAGTGAAAGTCTCTTAGTCTGTTTGTGGGACTATAACAAAGTATCAGAGACTGAGTGGCTTACAGAAGTTTATTTCTCACTGTTCTGAAGGCTGGAAGTCCAAGAGGACTTTCTTGTTTTTTTTTTGTTTTTTGTTTTTGTTTTTGAGATGGAGTTTTGCTCTTGTTGCCCAGGCTGGAGTGCAGTGGCACCATCTCGGCTCACTGCAACCTCTGCCTCCTGGGTTCAAGAGATTCTCCTGCCTCAGCCTCTGAGTAGCTGGGATTACAGGCACCTGCCACCACACCGGGCTAATTTTTTGAATTTTTAGTAGAGTCATGGTTTCATCATGTTGACCAGGCTGGTCTCAAACTCCTGACTTCAGATGATTCACCTGCCTCGGCCTCCCAAAGTGCTGGTATTACAGGCATGAGCCACTGCACCCAGCCTCAAATTGGAATTTTGATTGAGAATTATGTAAAAAATAGAAATGAAACTAATTAGGTTGGAAATGGATACTTTGACAATATTTAGTTTTATCAACCAGAAACAAAATGGGCATCCTTGCTTCTCATCCCATTTAAATTGCATTCTCTCTTCTAAAGCAAATTTTTGATAAATGCTATTTTATCCCTGGGCCTATCTCAGACTGACCCATTGCCTCTCACCACTGTGAAGGCACAACACCATGGCAGAAAATAAATTAAAAGTTTTTTTGAGCACTGATATAATCAGGAGAAATGGAAAAATCAAGACATGAGACATCTTGAGGAGAAAAATTTTCCTAGGGGAAAAATGGTCACTCTCAGGGAAAGTCAGCCCCCAAGAGAACGATGGGGTGCACCATCTTCCTGCGTATTTCCAGGGGAAATAGACAGGAGGGAGTTCAGAATGGGGGGAAAGTATCTTCCTTCTTGAGCCTGTACCATCTGCCTGCCTGTCTTTCTATCTCTAGATTTATTCAGTCATTTCTGCTCTAAGTTCTGAAGATAGGAAATGGTGTAGGAGGACTGAGCTCCAATATATCTCAGTCTCAATATGTGGTCATCAGGATGCTCCTCAAGGAACTTAATCCATGAGATCAGACAGATTTTAGACAGGTAAATCTACTTTGAGGATCACATCAGAGGCACAAATGGATGCAGTGTAAGTAGGGGACAGTGATTAATCAGTGCTCTTGTGTCTAGTGGCCAGTTCCAGTCTTAAAAATTATAATTCTTTCCTATGTGAGGAGCACTGTACAATGGACAAAGTGATTCCTTAACTGTGATCTCATTACATAGCCTTCTGCTCTCAACCCCCTAATTCATGGCCAACAACCCTGTGAAGTAGAGAGACAGTCAGGGCAGGGCTTATTGCATTATTCTGCCAACAGGGAAACAAACTCAGAGATGTTGAAAGACTCGTCCAGGTTCCATGGGTAGTAAACGGCCCAGCAGGCATCAGAACCCAAGTGTGTCTGAGTCGAAAGTCCCTGCCCTGTCTTCTACATTGCACAGCATATCTGGGCAAATCTCTTAATTCAAGACTTCAGACAGTGTTCTGCTGTGGAGAACAACATGAATTGAAAGTGATCATTCTTGTTTGTGTTAGTACCAAAGACAGCATTAAAAACCATTTGATATATAGTCATTTTAGTTCAAAGTCTGAAATTAAAACTGCAAAGTAATTTCCTCTCCCAGTTTTAGGGGCAGCTTCTTGCTGTGACTAATATTAGTGGGCTTTCAATATTATCAGTGAAGTGGGGAGTCTTGCAAATCAAGCAGTGACTCATTGTAAATGAGCGAGAGACTAAATAATGCTGTGATGTGTCATAGTTGTTAGAGGGCTCGGGAAGTCTAGACTTTCAAAATGGGTTGTTTTTCCCTATAGGCTGAGCTCATCTTCTCTGGGTGATATAGCTTGTGTCAGGTGCCAGGAAGTTTGGACCCTGGGGAGGGAAAGCCACTGGCTTACTCTGTGTCACACTCTCTGTTACCTTATCCTCAAGAGCAGGGATCAGGAAGCTGCAGCCCCTGTGCCAAATATGGCCCACCATCTGTGTTTATAAAGTTTTATTAGAATACAGCCACGCTCATTTATTTACTATTGTCTGTGGCTGCTTCTCCCCACAATGGCCAAGTTGACAGTTGCTGAAAAGACTATATGGCCGGCAAAGCTGAAAATATTGATTATCTGACCCTTTACAGCCCAAAATTGCCAACCACAGCTCAAGACTGGCAAACACAGCCACTAAAATGCCTGCATTAAGAAAGGATAATATGTACATCAACTTTTGAGAAGAATTGACATGCAGCAAATGATCATAAAAGCGTGCAGCATAGAAGAAGTCAGGCAGATTAAAACCTCAGTACAGACTCAGGGGTTTTGATTTCTCCAGGTTTTTTTTTTTTTTTTTTTTTTTTCCTTGTGGGAGATTCTGTTCTTGGCAGGGCTGTCTCTAAGGATCTGTCTGGGCTTCAAGCTGCTCAATATGATTATTCTCAATATGTTTGGGAACAATCTATCCTACACTCTGGAAAGGGTTATTAGTAGTTTACCTTAATTACCAGAGTCATCTGCCAAGAAAGAAAATGAATATTTGCTAGTTACAGCTTTTACGCATATGGAAATTTCCAGAGTCATTAAAATTGTCTCCCCTTCCTTTCTTACGTGGCTGAAGTGACAGAATGAGATTTGAATTTTGTAATTGATTTATAAAGCTGGTCTCAGAATGAGACAAACACCCTTTCATATGGGAAGCTGGTCTCCAGAGGTGGACACCCCTGTCTAAAAGTGGCCATATGGGGTTCTTGAAGTAGGCAGCAACCATATTATGTTTATTTTTTCTGCTTTGTGGAAATGTGCTCATCAACCAAAAAGCCTCTGGCTGGATGTATCCAAACATTTAAGCAATGAAGAAAGAGCTGATAACTGAATACAAGAAAGCGAATAATGGTCTGAAGGTCCATACAGGGCTGTTGGAATTTAAATTTGAGCTCTGGCATGAATGCCCCCTCATCTAGGCAGGAGAATTATCTTCCTTTACTTGAAGGGTAATTTAGCTGTCAGCATTTCCTTCTCGCACTTCACTGTCCCTTTTCTATTTGACTTTTTAATTTCTTGCTATGAGTAAATCATAGTTCTTTTTTCATAATTCATCTTTGTAGGGTTTAACTGTTTGGCTTTGCTTATGTCTCATGGACACTTTGTGGCTTTGATTGCTGTTTTTCCCAAGCTCAACGAAACCATTTAAGACAAACACGGAGACTCAAATGAGAAATCAGAAACACAGGCGATTTACCTCCCCAACCCCGTCTTGCATAGACAGTTACAAAACACTTCACAAATCTGAGTCGTGGAAGAGGAAGCAGAAAAAAACATGCAGTAAGTGAAATACATTTGAGATGCAAGTTCCGAATGACCAGAGCACAGTGTGATAAGCCCTGAACCCTATCTTCGAAAGCTTTGTTGAAGGAAGAAACTTTTTTTAAAAAAAGGCAGAGCCCAAACCTATAGATAAATGATGCTGCTAAATGACCTGACAGCAGAAGTACTTTTTTTTTTTTTTTTTTTTTTTTTTTTTTTGAGACAGAGTCTCGCTCTGTTGCCCAGGCTGGAGTGCAGTGGCGCGATCTCGGCTCACTGCAAGCTCCGCCTCCCGGGTTCACGCCATTCTCCTGCCTCAGCCTCCCGAGTAGCTGGGACTACGGGCGCCCGCCACCACGCCCGGCTAATTTTTTGTATTTTTAGTAGAGACGGGGTTTGACCGTATTAGCCAGGATGGTCTTGTGAGCCACCGCGCCCGGCCCAGCAGAAGTACTTTTAAAAAGGAAAGCCTGAACCCAATGTTCAAATACAGGAGGAAGAACCGTCACTCCATTGGCAGTTGGGGAACGAGTAAAGGGGCGGAGAAGCAGCCTGATAATCAAATTCTGCAAACATTAGCAACTTATAAAACACCCACAGCATGTGAGTGCATAACAAATAAAAACAGAGGAGTGAATGACTGAACATCCTGTCTGGGTATGCAGGGGAAAAAAACATGTTTCCTTACACTTATAGACTCAGGCAAAACGAGCCTGCAGGGGAATATCAAATAGGGCTGGAAGGAAATTTAGTAAAAAAGTTTGGAATTTGTAGAGCCTCCTGAGTATACGGAGGCTTAGAAGAATGTTCTCTTCGGACCAGGCCTAATTTAGCATTGCCTGAAATAATCCTAGGCTCTGCCTTTGGTAAGCCCCGTGGTGTGACGAGGCTCATCCACCCTCATCACTGCTCTGGGGAATAATCGTTTGGGTCTCAAGTGTCTGCCCTTTACTGCTGCCCCTGGTTCTTTCATCTCTGTACTCCCTGTTCTTCCAGGACTACACCTGGCATATATTTGATGGTTGACATGTGTGTTTTGAATGAATGAATGGCCAAATTCTTTAGTAGGAAATAACAGGCAGTAAGCATAGTGGTTAAGAGCACCAGACAGAGGTAGGTTCAAATTCTGGTTGTTACCACTTACAAATTCTGGTTGCTGAAGGTTGTGCAACCTTAGGCAAGTTAATTATGTTCTCTGGACCTTGGTTTTCCAATCTGTATAATGACACCAGTCTCAGAGTGTTGTGAGGATTAAGTGGAAGAGTGTTTGTGATATGACTGATATAGTGTCTGGGGCATAAGTAGTATTCAATAAATGGTAGATATTGTTGGATAATAAGGCACTTTCACCTCCCAGCATATTTGCAATTTAGCAGAGTAACTTAAAGGAAAACAGACCTGCTGTTAGAGTTGAAGGTAGGGAGATAAGAGGACAGGGCAATGGGTTGAAAGAGAGTTGGATTGTGGCACTCAAATAGTGTCAAGGCAAGCAGTTTGGGAACAAGTCTAAGAAGAGTTTGGAGACCTGCCATGTAGCATTGGATGGGTCTGAACTTGGAATAAGCTATATAGAATCAAGGAGGATGACTCTGGCCTGGTCCTTTAAGCTAAGGAGGCCTTGGTTTCTTCACCTAAAAATGAAGGTGTTAGACTACTAGGTGGTCTCTAACATTTCGTGGTTCTAGGACAAACTGAAATTGAGATAAATTTTAAAGGGCATGTAAGTAAATCCAGAAGATCAATGACAGGACTAGAATTGGAGTTCTGAACAGTGCTATCGTGCTGGAGGCTAAGGGCATTTAATTCCTCATGCATTCTTCATGTAATTAACTTTAGTGTTTGAGGGAAGATGAGGAATGAGGGAAGAATATTTTTCTCTTAACTGACTTGCTGCTTTTGAAGACATGCGTTACTATGAGATTGATGGGAAACGTATTGCCTCTGTCCTTATGGTGCTCAGGCTCAGAAATTCACTAGAATTCTGTCTTGAGAAAGACAATGCTCCGTGCTTTGTATACTATCACACACAGGAAGTAATATTATCATTAAAAAATTATCATCTTGAGTTTTTGATGGTGCTCTGCTTGTTTGCAATTTTATTATTCATAGGTGTTAGCTCTGTAATTACAAATCATGTTGTTAGGATTTTGGAGCGGATTCTGACATCAAATTTGGTTTGTCAATAGATGGGATGAGCATGTCAAGGAAATAGAGGATGATGACAATGGATAAAATCCCATTTGGTTTCTACAGCTAATAATCTTGTTCAGAGTACAAGATTATTTGAACACTGTAATACGATTTCCACATTAAAAGCACGTTCCAGTCCATTCAAAAATTAAGTAAACAGAGCAGAGGCATACAGTTCCACTAATCCATGAATGTCATAAATCTAATGATTTTAGCAGCTCAAGGAAAACAGAGATTGTTGTAAAACTTCACATCTGAATGTGTTATTGCCTCTAACAATGATTATTTGTCATTTATCTGACACTAAAGGTGTAAACTCCACATTACAGGAGTCAAAGGTTTTGCATAAAACAAAACAAAGCCTCTTTCTCCAAGGCTTATACTCTGAAGGTGTGCAAGGAACTCATGAGAATGTGTTAAAGAAATCAGTGAGAGATGTGGGACTAATATACCTGGAGTTGGCCTTGGAAAGGACATATTTTTTAGAAAGGAAAACCAGGAATATATACATACAAACTGTGGAAACTTTTCTAAGATGAAGTATGTTTAAGAAAAATCTGGAATCTTCTTTGGCCATCAATCATTCATGGTACAAAATGGTCCCGGACATCTATACATTCCTGTATCTTTCCTTCCAGCATTTAGAAAGCTTTGGAAGAATAATAGAAAGCACACATTTAAATCTCTGATTTATCTATGGAAACATTAGACTTTCAAGCATATCACTTAGTAAGTTAGTGATAGTTTCCTGAAATCTTACTTTTAGCACTGTAGGTTTAAAAATACTGCTTATTTTATATGTAATAGAACTTGTTCAGAAGGTCAAACAGAAATGAAACTTGGTCAGGAAGAGTTCATGCTGTTTACATGATCTCTCTCCTCTAGGCATCAAAATTTTTCAGCGCAATTGTAAATTGGATCTGACCAGTCTTAGCAACAGCAGTAGAAATGGCAGCCTTGTTTATGGAATTCCTCTCTTATTTGGAGTATTTGAACTCTTTGAATTCTTCTTATTATATCTTCTTATTTGAATTCTTTTAATGTGGAATTCTAGGAGATCACCAGACCTCCGTGTCACATGATATACCCGTGTAACAAACCTGCACATGGACCCCGTGAATCAAAAATAAAATTTGAAATTATAAAAAATAAAATAAAAGATCATCAGTGTTTATTTGAGAATGGCTGCATCTACACCAAGGAAAGAATGGCATCATTTACATAACATTAAGCCGCAAACAAATTATACTGATCAAAGCGTAGCACCAGAGTCTAAAGCTAATATTTCCTGCCAATCTGCTAGACTAAGATATTAATATAATATAATATAATATAATATAATATAATATAATATAACATATCTACCTAAGGGAAACATCCTGGCCCTGTTTGGATCCTTTCCTTCTGTTGGCATCTTGGTTCTGTGTTTTCAGTTTTCGGGCCCCATGCTGGCCTGTGTTGCACATATCCAAGGCTGCTGTACCATGTGCAGACTGGTCAGACTTCAGCCTATACATTTTTAATAATTATATTTAAAGCATGGGGTCATGATCAACTGTCTTTCTGTAACACTAGCTATAGTCCTATTTTTATTAGGTACTGCATTAATATATGTAGTGCTGGAACTTTAGATACAGGTAATTCAAATTCTGCAAGTATGTCTACCTTCTGTGGCTGTCTGAGGATGGGAGAAGATAACGTCCACGCTGAGACCTATCTCATACTCTCTTGTCTCTTGTACTGAAGTCATTGGCTCTGTATGTCTTGATATCAAACATCCATAGTATTCATATTTGCTTTTTTTTTTTTTTGAGACAGAGCGTCACTCTATCGCCCAGGCTGGAGTGCAGTGGCATGATCTTGGCTCAGTGCAACCTCTGCCTCCCAGGTTCAAGCAATTCTCCTGCCTCAGCCTCCAGAGTAGCTGGGATTACAGGCACCCGCCACCACACCAGATTAATTTTGTATTTTTAGTAGAGACGGGGTTTCACCATGTTGGCCAGGCTGGTCTCCAACTCCTGACCTCAGGTGATCTGTCTGCCTTGGCCTCCCAAAGTGTTGGGATTACAGGCGTGAGCCACCGCACCAGGGCTACATATTTGCTTTTTGATTGTTCCAGTAAAGCAGCGTGGTGGCAGAAAGTCCGTCAATCCTATATGTTACTCACTGCAATAGAACTTAAGTTTCTTCAGCTCCTTCCTCTTTAAAATGGGATGACTACCAATTCAGAAGCTTTCGTTTTTCAAGTTCTATTTCAAATGAGATAATGAGGGTGAAAATATCTTGTTTAGAACTTAGCATTTAGGCTGCACTGCCTGTGGAGTAACCATTCTTTTATTCCTTTACTTTCTTAATAAACTGCTTTCACTTTATTCTATGGACTTGCCTCGAATTATTGCTTGTGCAAGATCTAAAAACTCTCTCTTGGGGTCTGGATCGGGACCGCTTTCCAGTAACATCTTTCTGGCAAACCATGAAAAGGAGGACAACTGAGGAAACCCCCGACCCAAAGGAAATAACTGCATCACTGATTGGCTGACTTTGGATATCACCTTTTGTCAGAACTCAGAGTTATTAATGGCCCTTGCCATACCAACACTTTCTGACTGAGCTCCGCTCTACCCTGAATGCAAGAGACCTAATAGGCAGGCATATCATCGCCCCTTATTCAGCCTGAAGAAGTTGCAGAAGATGGTTCTTCATCGCTCTACAAGCGTTAGGATTAAGGATTCTCTTATAAAAGGGAGGGGGGAAATGTCAGAGGTGTTTAAACAAGAGCAACTCCATCTTGAATAGGGGCTGGGTAAAATAAGGCTAAGACCTGCTCAGCTGAATTCCCAGTTAAGTTAAGGCATTCTTAGTCACAGGATGAGATAGAAGGTCGACACAAGTTACAGGTCCTAAAGACCTTGCTGATAAAACAGTTTGCAGAGGAACCAATAGGCTATACATAGATATATAGAAAGAGATTTGCTATTGTTACAGCCTCACCAATGCACCACAATGTAGCAGTCTCATTGCCTGAGGTAGTACCTGGAGTCCTTTGTCTCATGACCAAGGAAGTTAAGGAGCACAGACACCAAGGGTGAGGTTGTAGTGAAAGTTTAATAATCGAAAGAAGAACGCTCTTTGCTGTGGAGAGGGGACCCAGAAGAGAGCCGCCATTTTTACAGTTGAATGCAAAGCTTCTATAAGAAACCTTTGAGGGCTGGGCATCTCATTTGCATAAGGCGTACCATTCTGGTAGCTCCACCCCATCCTTCTAGTGTGCATGTGGGCCTTTAGCTTGAGTTCCTCCCTATTGCTTTGTTTCCCTTACAGCAAATGTGTCAGGGGATGAAATTTTCCATTGTGGGCATGTCTTTGCAAGTCACCTGTGTAGCCTTTCTTATCTGTGCAGCTGTGGGCATGTCTTCGGCAAGCCCCTCTGTGCAATTTCCCTTATCTGTGCCTGCAGGCTGTTCTTTGGTTTGAAAGGATTCAACCGAGGACCCACCCTGCCTGCCTGATGGGTTTTTTTCCTTTCTCCTCTCTCACTATGAGGGATTGGCACATGCAGATATGGTGGCTGAGAAGTTCCACAATCAGTTGTCTGCAACAGCAGGTGATATTGTTTGGCTGTGTCCCCATCCAAATCTTAACTTGAATTGTATCTCCCAGAATTCCCACAAGCTGTGGGAGGGACACAGGGGGAGGTAATTGATTCATGGGGGCTGGTCTTTCCTGTGCTATTCTCTTGATAGTGAAAGGTCTAACGAGATCTGATGGGTTTACCAGGTGTTTCCGTTTTTGCTTCTTCCTCATTTTTCTCTTGCCACCGCCATGTTAGAAGTGCCTTTCGCCTCCTGCCATGATTCTGAGGCCTCCCCTGCCATGTGGAACTGTAAGTCCAATTAAACCTCTTTTTCTTCCCAGTCTCAGGTATGTCTTTATCAGCAGTGTGAAAACATACTAATATAGCAGGAAAGCCAGCCCAGGTGGAGATCCAGCCCAAACCTGAAGGCCAGAGACCCAGGGGAGCCAATGGCGACAATCTCCATCTGAGCCAGAAGGCCTAACAATAGGGAGTACCAGTGTCTGAGGACAGGAGGAGATGGATGTCCTGGCTCCAGCGGAGAGTAAGTTCGCCTTTCCTCTGCTTTTTTTGTTCTATCCAGGCCCTGAATGGATTGAATAATGCCCACCTGAATTAGTGAGGGAGCCTTTCTTCACTCAGTTACTGATTCAAATGTTAATCTCTTCTGGGAACACTCTCACAGACACACCCAGAAATAATGTTTTACCAGCTGTCTGGGCATTTCTTAGCTCAATTAAGTTGATTCATAAAATTAGCCATCACAGCCATCTATTATTAAACAAACAAACAAAAAAAGGATTACACTACGTACTTGTGGCCAAATTATAGATTTTTGCAGGTCAGTGCCTTTCTTCTGCCTTCCAGAAATGACATGTTTGGTTCTGCTCTTGGCTAGCGGCCTTGGAAACAAGATGAGATAATATCTGAACCCAATTACGTTGTTCAGAAAAACAAGGTTAATCCTAAATTGTTAGAAGGGCGACTCAGGTATCTCCATCAAAGATCTGGTTGCAAGGAAGGACTTAGATTCATCCCACAGACCACTCTGAGAATCATTTGCATAGGGCAAGAATATTGAAAACTTCCTTTCACCTCGACTGGCTCTCAGGGAAAGGTTTCTGGTTCACTTTGAAATGTACATATTTAAACATTCCATCTCAGACTTGCAGTTGTGATGAACTGTGATCTCCCATCAGCTAGTCTTTTGAACTTGAAAGTACTGCCTGCTTTTTTTTTTTTCTTCTTTTGCTTATTAGGCCCTTTTCATGGTTGAACTAATAAATAGAAATTAAATAGCAAGTGAACAAACAACCAAAGAGGGGGGAGATGAAGTAATAAAGAAAATGGTACCTGTTCAGTTATGGTAAACAGATTATGATTAATCTAAAACATCACAAGCTCCTGAGGGCAAGGAGAATTTTTGCAGCACTCTGCGTTTAATTCTTTTTTAATGACAATTTTAAGAGAATTTGGCATGAAAATAAAGGCAGAGTTTGAAGTCCAACTATCATTGATTGAAGCTTCTGCAGCCACCTTAGCAAAAATGAAGAATCTGCACAGACAGCTTTGCTTCAAAACACAATAGGGTTGAGTGTGGTGGCTCATGCCTGTAATTCCAGCACTTTGGGAGGCCAAGGTGGAGGGATCGCTTGAGCCCAGGAATTTGAGACCACCCTAGGCAATATAGCAAGACCCCATTGCTTAAAAAAAATTAAAGAACAAAGGTAAAAAAGGCACCAAGGTTTAGACCTCACATATGTTTAAGTGAATAAATCCTACATGAATTTATACCTCTTGAATTCTGCACATATAATACCTGAGAGGTAGACTTTAGATTTGGTGTCTAAAATCAAAGCAGAGGCTAAAACATGAAGAAAAAATCTTGGCATTTGTTTTTCAGGGATCTTGACACACAGGATTATGAGTAGACATGAAAATATTGACCCAGCTGTAGACAGCAACTGTCAGCAGCTGAGAAATAACCTGGCAGAAGAAGTTTCATCAGTGAGTAGGGGGAGCGACACAGTCAAAGTCTCAGTTTCGATTTTGGGATAATGAAAACTGACCTGTGTACTTTCGGGTTCCCTAAAATATAAGTGGAAAATCAACATTTGCATCTTCCCCACCCACACCCCACTCCCAACTCCCCCAGTCCAATATGCATGCTCTTGGACTCCCACAGCAGGGGAGCCCGGGACAGCACTTGAGAGCTGCTAGCCAACTGGTTAAGAGCAAGAGTTCTGGAGCAAAAAGATCTGACTGGGTTTAAATCCTGGCTCAACCACCTGTTAGCTCTGGCAAAGTTATTTAACCTTTTTTGGTACCTTATTTTCCTCATGTAAAAAATGGGCTTAAAAATCCCTCCAAAACTAGCTCATAGGGCTGTTGTCAGGGTTAAATGAGCCAAAATACAAATAAAGTGCTTAGGATAGTGTGTGGCATACGTTAGGTGCTACATAAATGTTAGCATTGCATGTATTGGGAGGCTGTGATCCAAGTTTTGTGCTAGAAGGCGCCAGAGAGAAAAAGGACCAGCTTGGACACTTTTGGTTGCAATGAACAAAAACCTGACCAGATTTGCCTACACAATAGAGGGAATGTATTAGCTCATGTATCTGAAAAGTGGGAGGGAGAGTGTGTTTGGGGTAAGACTTGATCCAGTGCATCAGTGAATAAATCAGGCTTTTTTTGTTGTTGATGTTTTCTCTCTATCTTCCATGCATTGTGATGCCAGTTTCATCCTAAGGCTGGCTTCCCTCTGGATCCCAGGGTATCTGTTAGTGGCCACCAGGATGCTACGCTTCCTCGTTCACATCTAGTGAGATATTATCTTTGTATTAGCAGTTCTAGGAAAAATGCTGAGAGTGCCAAAGAGACACTGCAGTAGGGTAGAGAGATTGAATTCAACTCCATTGAAAGAAAAAGTGGGAGAATTTTTAAGCTAAGGGGCTCTGCGGAAGGAGGAAGGGAGGAATAGAGGCTAGGAAGACAACAGTGTCTGTTACAGAAGATTTTTGTGTGTGACCTTTGGTAGCACTTGCTGAGGATTTTGACTTAGTTCTGAGAGAGAAGGAAGGATCACGACAGTGATAACATAAGCAAATTCCTGAAAAATGTTTTCTCTTGTCCAAATCCACGAAGACCAAGGCTTCACTTCAGGTGAGGCTTCACATCTGCAGAGTAACTTACGGAGCAGGTTACCCTGCTGGGAAAATGTCTGTTGACTTGCCTTCTTTCTTCTTTGAATGTTCTTTTAATGTCGACTAAAAGACCACATAACAGAGGTAGGAAACTGGATGGAAAGATCTGGAAGTGAAGCTCTCAGCAAAGACCCTGGGAGAGATTTGAGAAACAGGATTATGAGCAGTAAGAGACCCAGGTTGGAATCTCAGCCCTTTCATGTAGCAGCTGGATTCTGGACGAGTCACTAACTCATTCTGAGTCTCATTTCCTCATTTGTAAAGTGGGACTAGTAACTGTATCTCCTCAAAAGGATTGTTATAAAGATTAAATGAGATAATGTATGAATACTTCGTTGCACAGAAAAGATGCTTAAACATCTTAACTATTGTTATTACTATTGTTGTTACTGTTATTCTACAGGCAGCAAATATAATAGAGGCCTTGAGATCTGAAAGGGCAAAAAGACGTTCTGACCTTCCCAAGATGGTAAAACAGGATACAATGAGCCTGGGGTTAGAACTCAGAGATTATTTAGAATTTCCATATTTTCCTCTACTGAATTAGAATTTGTTATGTTGTATTTTATGAGACAAATCTGTTTTTTCCCCATATTCTGAGTTGAGTAATTCCACTTAAGTAGGAATTATTTAGGAATCTATACTATTAAAATAATCATAGATTTGCACAGAGACTGAGTAACAAGGATATTCCATGGAGCATTTTGTTTGAAGGAAATAAAAGAAAATTGGAAATTGCTTAAAAATCCAACAGTCCAGGATTGATGAAATCCGACATTATTATAAAACATATCAGTCAGCATGCTTTTTGCTTTAAATAAGATAATCCTTCCTTCCTCCTTATCCCTTTAAATTAGGTAATTAGGTGATAACAACATTTATTACCTAAACAACAAATACAGAAGTAGAACTCGTTCCAGATATGGAATTTCAAAGTCCATCTCAGTTTCTTGGTGCTTCTTGTTTGGACCTTGATATGTTGGCATTATCGTCAGGCTGGTAGCAAGATGGCTGCTGCATTTCTAGCATCGTGTTTAGACAAAACAACCTCCAGGGGAAAAGAGCCGCTCCTCCTCCTTAGAAGCTCCAACTGCTCCTCTCCTGTGAATAATACACGAAGTGAAAAAAAGCAGATTATAAAACTACAGGGCAAATTTCCCCACTTTTTTTTCCCAAGAAATATTTGCCAATTTTGTTTGTTTTTGCCTCCAGATGAACTTCAGAATTAGCTTATCAATTTTTATAAAATATCCTATTAAGCTTTGATTAGGTTATTTGGGATTTATCAATTCATCTGAGGAGAAATGGACCTAACAGTTATTCTAATTTAGAAAACAGCAAAGTGGTAGCATTGTTTATACTATTGGAAAATAGGAAAGAACTTCCTATCAATAGGAAAATGGATGAATAAAATATAATATAGTCATACAACAGAATATCATACAGCAGTTAAAAAGAATGAGCTGGCAGCATAGGGTAGTGCTAAAACGTATGATACCATTGATGTAAATTACAAAAAAAAAGAGCACACAGTGCAATACTCTCTACTGTTCACAAGTACATGCATATGTATGCAAAAACTATAAAAAGACATTGGAAAGATTCATCAAATTTATGATAATGGCTGCCTCTAGGGAGCATGGAAAAAGAATGAGGAAAAGGAGACATTAACTGTATCTACAGTGTTTAATTTCTTTCATTTTAAAAATATTTGAAACATGGTAGGCTCTGGGGGCAGAGAGCTGGATGTTGGGGCAACAGCAGTGAAGGGGGAGAATTTCACTCTAAGTCCTTTCATACTTTTTATAATCTGAATCATGCGAATTGTCTCACTGACTCAACATAAATAAAACCATAAAAAGACTAAAATGCATAACAGTATGTTAACAATAATCTGTTTTCACTGGTACTTTTATTCTCTATATATTTCATATTAAAAAATTAACTTTAGGCTGAGTGCAGTGGCTCATGCCTGTAATCCTAGCACTTTGGGAGGCCCAGGCAGGCGGATCACAAGGTCAAGAGATCAAGATCATCCTGGCCAACATGGTGAAACCCCGTCTCTATTAAAAATACAAAAATTAGCCGGGCATGGTACGTGCCTGTAGTCCTGGCTACTAGGGAGGCTGAGGCAGGAGAATCGCTTGAACCTGGGAGGTGGACGTTGCAGTGAGCCGAGATCACGCCAATGCACACCAGTGTGGCGACACAGCAAGACTCAGTTAAAAAAAAATTATCTTTGAGAAAAGAAAAATCTAGGTTTGGTGTGGTGGCTCACGCCTGTAATCCCAGCACTTTGGGAGGCCGAGGCGGACGGATCACTTGAGGTCAGGAGTTCGAGACCAGTCTGGCCAACATGGTGAAACCCCACCTCTATTAAAAATACAAAAATTAGCTGGGTGTGGTGGTGCATGACTGTAGTCCCAGCTACTTGGGAGCCTGAGGGCAGGAGAATGGCTTGAACCAGGGAGGCAGAGGTTGCAGCAAGCCGAGACGTTGCCATTGCCAGCCTGGGTGATAGAGCGAGACTCCGTCTCAAAACAAAACAAAACAAAAAAAACAACAACAAAAACTAGTAATGTGCACACTGTTAGTGGTGCAGGTGGTGTCATTGGTGGCAGCTGGAGGTAGCTGAAGAAGAGGTGGAGGTGTGCAGGGTTGGTGGAGGTTGTTAGTGCTACATCTCCAGTGTGATATATGCTTTTGTTACTCTCTGTGTGAACTTTGCACATGAATGTCCCCCAATGTCAGATTCTGATAAGAGAAATCAAAGAAATATAATTAAAGATAAACGCGTAAGTCAAATACTGGTGGACAGGAATGGAATGAGTTGCTCTTACCTTTTTTCTTCATGCCAGCTCCTACACAGGCTTGCCTACCAATGTCCCCCAATCTAGACTTGTTTCCCAGTGTCCCCAATCCAGACTTGTGTGCAAGAGTTTTGGAACTTGAGAAGGATGGACAAGCCTCACAAGAATGCTTTGCACTCCACAGTGTTCCTTGAGTAGTGATGCTTTGTGCTCTGATCTCATGAGTTTCCTCCCCATACACCATCAACATCTCATTTTTCCAAGACCACTTTCATACTGTATGATGGGATGGAAACCACATTTTTCTTTCACCTGCCCTTTGTTCTCTTAGCTTCCCACCCCTTCCTCTTTCCAAGAGAAAACCAGACACACTAGGGGGCTTCTCAGGAGAAAACAAGCCAGAAGCCTAGAAGAACATCAATTTCTCTGAGGTCAAGTGGCAGACAAGAGTGTCAACAGCTTGTTCCTAGAGGCCTAGGAAGAAAGAGACCATTGAGGCACCAGGCTGGTAGGGATGGGAGGTATAAATGAAAGAGAGACAAAGGGATCTTATGGGGAAATAGAAAGAGGCAGTCCTGGGAGTTTTAATGAGCTGCTGTGGATACTCTTTAATATTTGAAAGAGACCAGAAGGAAGATTAAAAACTCCTGGGCTCTGCTTCTTTAAACACAAGACTGCTCTGAAGCTGTAGTATAGGGACTTTATATGCATTATGATTATAATGGGCTGACTCTACAGGGCATGCAGTAATCCTGGGGCTTTCTTTGGGATTCATTTAATCACAAATGTAATTCCAGAGCTCTGGAACTCGGAAGACTCTTGTGTCAGGGTTTCAACTGTACCTCTGTGTAGGTCCACCATGGGAGCCACTGCCTCCTCCTTCTGTCTTCCTTTCTTCAGGAGATGCCATTCCAAGAAAACCATGGAAGCAGAAAAGAGGAAAGCAGAAACACAGATGAAGCAAGAGGCTATGTCCTCTGTGCATGGAGACAGCAGATCTATTAGTAGACAGGATGAAGAGAAAAGGTGTGAAGAAAAGCCACATGGCTGATGTGACAAGGAAGAAAGTGGGTCTCTCAGCTCTTCCCTTCTTGTTTTTGCCCTTTTCCCAGTACCAAGAAATGTATTTTTGGGGGCCACATTCTTCCCACCATAATTTAGAAGGATGCTGTTGCCAGGTTTGAAGACCACTTGAAACAATAATTGTTGTTATTCTGCTATACTCACCAAGAATGACAAAACTATTTACATACTGGGGATAGCGTGCTAGAAAAATTGCTAAACAAATAGTATTTTTTCCTTCCATAAAATCAGAGTTGTAAAGAGCAATATATTAGGCATTTTCTTTGCCAGAGAACTTTAGCTATGATTTTCTGCTTCTTTAAAATTCATATTAATGATCGTAGATACCAGGTATCTAAGGGAAAGACTCTTTGCAACATCTTCTATATATACCCTGGGTGTTTCTGTATTGAATTTACTTAAGATTTAGGCTCTACAGTTTGATCTCAATCATGTAAAAATATATAGCAAGAAGGCTCCTGGGACAAAAACTGAAATGTTTATTATTAATTTTCTCTGGGCATTGAAATTCTGGATGATTTTATTTTTTCATACTTCTTTCTATTTTCCATATATTTTACAATCTGTATTCATAGCTTCAAAAATAAAATAGTTGCTGTGAATAATCACTCTATGTAAGTATTTTATATATCATGATCACAAGGGTATAAAAAATTTATGAAGCAAAGAGACTGCAAGTAGAGAATACCAAAATATTAACAGTGATTCTTATTGAGTTAGAATTCTTTATTTTATAATTATTCTAAATTAACATGAACTACTTTCATAATAGGAAAACAATATTTTAAGAAGGAATTTATTAAACTTGAACCAAAGAAATGCCAAAATGGTCAAGCCACTTAGCATTTTCTCTCTCACAGTGGCATTCTAGAATTTTTTTTTTAAAGAGCATGTTTTCCCCTGATATCAATCTCAGGAGGTTGAAGGACATACCCTACACACCTCTAGCTTCCTTTAATAACTGATTTGAATGTGTTATCCTCCTATATTTAGAAATTCTCTTCAATCTCACTATGATTCAACTTAAAGGCAAAAATGCACTTGTGCCTAACTTTTAATAAGTCTTATGGAAAGTGTAGCCGAATTAATGTCTAATTCCCTGTTACTGGGGAAATCCAGCAGGAATGCTGGTCGTATGCATGTACCCTGGAATAGAGCCAAGGGAGCTAGTCTTGACTGGACTGGGGAGGGGACAGTGTTCTCAGGGGTCTAGAGGCTGACCACAATTAGAGGAAGGGAAGAGTGAAACTGCAGACTGTAACTGAGAAGGGAGCCAAGTTTAATATCTGAAAAGCAGTGTTAATGTCAGCTCCAAGGGAGAGGCAGAAATCAGGAAAGATGGGAGAAGGAAGAGATAAATTAGAATTAGGGGTGATAAAAAAAAATGCAGAAATTTAGTCAGGTAGACCTTGGCTGAAATTCCAGTTCGGCCACTTACCTAGCTCGGGCAGGTCACTTAACCTCTTTGATCCTCTGTTTCTTCATCTTTAAAATAGGTGTGACCCAGATATCATCTGAGGTCATCTTCTTTGACCTTAACTGAGACTGGCTTCTGGGTAAAGTTTGTGCCCTCTCCCACCAGTCAGGAGTAGGACTGATTGTGATTAACAGAGACTCAATAATATTAGCTTGATAGGGAGTTTTATTCTCTCCCCAGCAAAGTCTAGTGGTGGGCAGTCCAGGGCTTGCATGGTGGCTGTAGCTGTCTGGGATTTAGGATGCTCCCAGCTTTTCTTCCACCATCTCTAGGGTGCAGCTCCTGACTTCATCACTGCAAATGGAGTCCCAGCCATCACCCCATGCTTCAAGCAGCAGAAAGGAGGAGACGAGGAAGATGAAAAGAGGAAAAGGGTGTATCCTATTCATCTTTTATGGAAGTGGCCTTAAACAAGGCAGTCCCCTCCATGAGAGGCCTGGCTGTTAAAGAGAATCCTATATTCATCTGCAGTGGAATGAAAATATCCATCTTAGAGTGTGATTGCAGTATATAGGTCTGGCACGAAAGGAATTAGCAGGTAATCAAGATTTTAAAAATAACTAGTAGTAAGTATATTATTGTTAAACTTACATTAATGTATTAATGAGAAATTATAACTCATTGTTGTGAAGTTCAAAACAGGTTGAGAGTCACCATCGAATTGCCATGGATGTGCTCTGTTGGGTGCTAGTTGGGTGATATGACAGGTGGGTTAGCAAGATCAAAAGTACAAGGTCACACCTGGCAAATGTGACTGTTAGTAACTCCCTGTTCTTAGTCTTATTTAGTCCTTTAAAGGACTCTAAAATGTCATTCTTGTGTGAATTTCTTTTATAGACAAATAATAATTGCTAAGATCTACTGAGGGCTAAATCCAGGTTGGGCACAAGGCTAAGCATGTTGTCTCATTGAATTCTCAAAGTCTTATGGGCTTAGCATAGTGAGCCTGTGGAAGACCAGAATATGTCACTTCAAAATATGAAGAATAGTTGCACCGAAGACAAGAAGAAGCAGATGCAGGAATGCCTTCTGTTTCCCTTTACTTGCCTAGAAGCAGGACTTAGATTTACAAAGACAAAAGGTATTTTGCCTTCCTCTCTACCAGGAAGAACAAAGCTTAACCACTGAAGACAGCTTTAGCCCCTCATCAGCCTAAAGATGGCACCAGAATAATCTATTTCAACAAGCTTTATTAACTAACATTTATCTGCCTGTTATTTGCCTTCCCCCAAGTTGTTGCCCCTAGAGACTCAAAGTCCTTTTCCTTTGTCTTGTCCCTTCTCTAAAACTTTACTGTTCTTTGCTGAAGATGCTATATAAGTTGGAATTCAAAACCAACACCTCTTTGAGAACTACTCATTTTCTGGTTTCTCCTATGTCTATATGAAATATACCAGTTAATTGGTTTTCATCTTGCTGATCTGTCTTTGGTATTATGGGTCCATTCAAACTAAGAACTCATGGGGGTCATTATTTTTCTCCTACAGTCTGTTCATGTTCCATTCATGGAATTGAGGGTTAGAGAGAGGAAGTCAATTTTTTAAGATCACACAACTAGTAGGACATAGAGATCAAAACCAAATCTTCATGCCTTTAGCATGAATATGACACTATATGGCCCCAAAGGATCCTTGTCATTGTTCTCAATAAAGGTTATACCTGTTTGGGTCCAAGGACACCCCTCAATACTGGTGTTCCCAAATGTGAATGTGAGCTTAACTTTGTAAGGTTTAGCCTCTCCCGAGCATTGGATGCTCTGAGTCCCACAGGCAGGTTATTGCTGCAGATACCTAGTTCAACAATGGCTTTTACACTTTGCCCACTAGCTCCACTTTCACTTTTGAGTGGCTTAAAACACTCTTGTGCTGCTGTTATCTACTTCGTATACATTGTTTCTTTCTAGCTTGTCAATTCTGTCTAGCATATTCTATGCATTTAACACAATTTCGCCCTAATACCTCAACCTGAATTTTTCAAAGGACATTTTGGAGGTGAGAATCTCTTCAATGTATTTATCTGTATGGACAATTCTTTAAAATCTCCTCTTTATTTTTCAAGGTCTTTTTCTTCCCCTTAGCAAATCACTGATTCCTTAGCTGATATCATTTCTTCACTATATATAAAACCAGCCCACCACCCCCGCCAAAAAAACCATGAAAAGGTGACTAGCAAACAAATGTAATATAAAACTAGTAAATAAACATGCAAAAATATTCAATTTGGCTTGTAATTAGATAAATGCTAGTTTTAAAAATATAGGGAGATACTTTACTTGTCTATTGTATCAATAAAAATTATTTATAATTGATAATATCAAATATTTACAAAATTATGGTGAAATTGGTATTCTTTACTCCAATGAAAATGATCTAAGCTTCTGGAAAACAATATCTCACTATGTAGAAAGTGTCACAGAAATGTTCGTGAGTGTTGATCTAATAGTCCTGCAGCTAGCAATCTTTCACAAGTAACTAATATGAAAGGGAAAACTCATATACACAGACATGTTTCTTTTAGCATTATTTATTTTAAAAAGCCAAAAACTAAATATCTGCTTGTAAGAGAATGTCTAAATAAATGTGATGTCTTTAATTCTGGAATATTATACAGTCATTAAATATATGTAGTTTTATGCTTATGATCAAATATTTAAAGAAAGGAAATTAGTGTGTAGGCGTACCATAATTATAACGATATGCAAAATTAGAATAAAGTTTTAAAGAAATTGATTTAGAAAATATTCATTACAAAGGCTTATCACAAGCATATTTCCATTAGTAGCTGTTAAACTGGGTGTTAAATGAAGTAATTTTGTGAAATATAACTTGTTGTTTTTGTTAATTATGACCCCTCTTTAGGCATTAGTATCACTCCTTGGAATTAGAGCTAAAGAATTGGAGACTATCTGCATAGAAATACGGCCATGGTCTGGAAGACACCAAATCTGAGGGACACTAAATATGTGGCTGTGGCAGATCTTAGACCCCATCCAAGTTCTAAATTTTCACTGTCATCAAAAGTTTGCACGAGTGGAATATTGTTGCATTGAAGGAATGTGATGCTTTTGCTAGACCAAAGCTTCAGAGTCAGGCAGGAGGGGTAAAAGCTCCATGTCCACGCACACTCTTCAGAGCTTAGTGTAGCTTTCATGGAATAATCATGTAGAATTGGCTTAAAGGAGAGAATCCTCTCCCTCAAAGTCTCGTCAGACACACACCATCCCTTTGTGTCTCGAGATCTAGCAGAGCCACCCATTGAGGCTCTTGGCTTTTACACTTCTGGATGATACATTTCTTTCTTTCTTTTTTTTTGAGACTCTTGCTCTGTTGTCCAGGCTGGGTTGCGGTGGTGCGATCTTGGCTCACCGCAACCTTCGTCTCTGGGTTCAAGTGATTCTCCTGCCTCAGCCTCCTGAGTAGCTGGGATTACAGGTGCGTGCCACCACCCCTGGCTAATTTTTTTTTGTATTTTTAGTAGAGATGGGGTTTCACCATGTTGGTCAGGCTGGTCTCGAACTCCTGACCTCATGATCCACCTGCCTCGGCCTCCCAAACTGCCAGGATTACAGGCATGAGCCACCGTGCCCGGCCTGGATGATATTTGCAAATTCCAATTCTCCTAATTCAAAAATTTTTCTGCCATTTTCTCTGACTCTGGAATTTATTTCAAAGTGTTGACCTAAAGGAAGAGGCTGAGGCACAAAATATTAAATACTTTACTTGAGTCAGAATGAGGACAGCCGCCTGGGAAATACTTCCAAGTTGCCTTGGGACATGCTCCATTCGGCTTTTGTTACAAGCAGGGTTTTAAAGGCAAAAGGGAGCAAGGATGGGTAGAGACAAAGTTGTTTGACAGGCATTCCCATTGGTTTACAGAAATAACACTGACTAGTGATTGGCTATACATTGTTGAACTGTAGGGTATGAGTTATGGTGTCCAGTGGATGGCATTGTTGGGTTAATTTATGACTACTTGGTGTCAGTCTGTCTAGAGCCCACATAGCAAGTAGCTTCAGAAGGTGATTACTTAGGGGGAAGTGAGATGTGCCTGAAGTCACATTTCAATTCCTCCCTGGGCCTGATCATTTCAGAGGGGTCTCACATTCCTCAGATAAAGCATTTCTTTTTTTTTTTTTTTTTCTCAAGAGGGAGCATAGAGATACTTGAATGACAATTTGATTGGCACACATTCTGGATACTGTAATTGGCCTAAATCAAATAAAATATACACAAAAAGCACATGGCCAGGGGTGTTTTAAAAATGATTCAAATTGATACCAAACATTTATTTTCCAATTAAGTTTCAATTTGCAAAAGTGTGATAAGGAACCTATCCATTTAAGGGAAAAAATTTTTGAGAATCTTAGTAAAACATATGCATTAAAGAAAAAAATTGAATATGCTAAAGCAATTGAGTTATAGTTGTGAGTTTGAAACATTTTATTTTAATTTTTAAAACTTTCTGAACTATATATTTCTTTCTTTCTTTTTTTTTTTTTTTGACAGTATCACTCTGTCACCCAGGCTGGAGTACAGTGGCACTATCTTAGCTCACTGCAACTTCTACCTCCTGGGTTCAAGGGATTTTCGTACCTCAGCCTCCCAAGTAGCTGGGATTACAGGTACATGCCACCACACCTGGCTAATTTTTCGTATTTCTGTAGAGATGAGGTTTTGCCATGTTGGCCAGGCTGGTCTTGAACTCCTGGCCTCAAGCGGTCTGCCGGCCTCAGCCTCCCAAAGTGCTGGGATTACAGGTGTGAGCCACGACACCTAGCCTGAACTATATATTATTTCTACTGAATAAAAATGAAAATAATTCCAGTTGATCCTTAAGAAAACCAAATACCTCCTAGTGTTTTTAGTTTTTTTAAAAAATCAAGGATTTTTCAAAGTATGAAGATTTTTTATTACTGAGGATAATACAAAATTGGTGCTATACATTTAGAAAACGAAGCTTAAAAGCATTTCTCAAAACTATTTTGGAAGAAGGCAGTATCAAAAGAGTAAATGTATAGGCTTTAATGGGGACAAATTCATGGATTTAACCATATTCTGTGCATTTGTTTCAAAAGCAATTGTATTTTCTATAGGCTCATCTTATGCACTGAATTATCTAATTTTCTTTTAAAAGAAAGAGTGTTTTGGTTAACTACTGTTAGAACAATGCTGCATGAGATCTCACCAGTATACATCAGTAAGCATCTAATTAGCTGATGGATGTGTAGGTTGGGCATCTGTTGGCTCATCTGGGCTGGGCTCAGCCGGGTATCTATGCTTCTAGTTGCAGCAACTGGGGTGGCTCTGCTTCTGTAGGTCTAGGCTAAATCAGCTCCACATATCTCTCATTCTCCCTGGTGTAGCCATCGAGCGGGGCAAGTTCTTCTCATGGTGATACAACAGAGCAAGAAGGCAAACAGAAATATTCAAGTTTAGGCTTTGGACTGTTGGTTCTTTTCTCCTGCCACTGAAGAAAACAAGCCACATTGTAGAGCCCAACATTAAGGGCAGGAAATACATTCTGCTCATGATGAGGTCATGGCAAAGAAGGGGTAAAGAACTGGAACTGATCATTTAATTCACCTCAAGAGGGTGAAAAGATGTCATAAACCTAGAAAATGGTCCAATGGTAAATTAGCTACCCAAATTGCAGAGGGTGATTGTGGTATTGTGATATAATAAGAAATACATGGCCGGGCGCAGTGGCACATGCCTGTAATCCTAGCACTTTGGGAGGCCAAGGCAGGTGGATCATGAGGTTGGGAGATTGAGACCATCCTGGCCAACATGGTGAAACCTTGTCTCTACTAAAAGTACAAAAAATTAGTCGGGCGTGGTGGTGTGTGCCTGTAGTCCCAGCTACTTGGGAGGCTGACACAGGAGAACGGCTTGAACCTGGGAGGCAGAGGTTGCAGTGAGCCGAGATTGTGCCACTGCACTCCAGCCTGGCAACAGAGCTAGACTCCATCTCAAAAAAAAAAAAAAAAAAAAAAGAAATACATATTTATTTGGTCTCTGCTCCTGGTTCCTGGCACACAGCTTCTAAAACCCTTGAAATTTCTGCAGTGATGAGCATCTTTTGTACACTAATGAGATGACTGGTGGCTGGGGTCCTCCAGATAGCTTTGGGATGGGTCAGGTCACCAGAAAGACACAGCATGAGTAGGGGGTTGGAAGTTTCAACCCAGCCCTCTCCACCCCGTGGGAGAAGAAAGGGGCAAGCCTCAATGGCCAATGATATAATCAACCATACCTGTGTAATGAAGCCTCCATAAAACCCAAAGGACAGGGTTCAGGGAGCTTTCGGGTTGCTGAACACTTGGAGGTGTCTGGTGGGGGCTGTGCCCAGGGAGGCATGGAAGCTCCGTGCCCCTTTCCTCATACCTTTTCCTGTGCATCTCTTCCGTCTGGCTGTTCATCTGTATCCATTGTAATATCCTTTATAATACATGGGTAACACAAGTAAAGTGTTTCCTCGAGTTCTGTAAGCCTCTCTAGCAAATTAATTGAACATGAGGAGGGGGATATGGGAACCCAGGTTTTTAGCTGGTCAGTCAGAAGCACAGATCACAACCTGGGGCTTGCCATTGGCATCTGAAGTGGGAGGCAGTCTTGTGGGACTGTGACCTTAGCCTGCAGAGTCTGATGCTATCCCCAGGTAGATAGCAGAAGAATTGAATGAAGTTATAGGATACCCAGTTGGTGTCTGCTGGAGAATTGCTTGGTATGTGGTAAACCCAACACATGCCTGGTCACAGAAGCCTTCTGATATGGTTTGGTTCTGTGTCCCCACCCAAATCTCATCTCCAATTGTAATCCCCATGTGTTGAGGGAGGGAGGTGATTAGATCATGGGGGCGGTTCCCCCATGCTGTTCTTGGGATAGTGAGTAAATTCTCATGAGTTCTGATAGTTTTAAAAGTGAAAGTTTTTTTTCCCTGCACTCTCACACTCCCTTCTCTCACCTTGTGAAGAAGGTGCCTGCTTCCCCTTTGCCTTCTGCCGTGATTGTGTTTCCTGAGGCCTCCTAGCCATCCATGCTTCCTGTCAAGCCTGCGGAGCTGTGAGTCGATTAAACTTCTTTCCTTGTTAATTACCCAGTCTCAGGTAGTATTTTTTCATAGCAATGTGAGAACATACTAATACACCTTCTGTGCTGCACTGAGTGAGCACGTGAGAGTAGGAAAAACCAAACTCTTGCAGTGATAATTGGAGCAGTGGTCATTCAGCTGGCCTTTTCTTCAGCTGATTGATTGTCCTGACTCTTTTCCACTCCTTGGTCAACTTGGGAATTTATAGGCAGCAACTTAGAGAAAATAGAGTGGATGTCTTACACTGAGTCTTTCAATTTGACCAAAGCAGTACAAGTCTTTTGAATACTGTTCCAAGTAAAAGTTTTAGAAAGAGATATATAGATTTTCTTTTTCTAGTCCAAAGGAAGACCAGCCTATGCCAGGCTAAGAGTGCTTGAAGGATCTTGGTTGCCCAAAGCAGAAACACACAGAGTTGTCTGCTATCAGATCAATACTAGCGAAGAGAACAGTGTTTGTGCCCCACAGCAAGGGAATATGAACAAAAGAACTTCATTGGCTTTCTCCATCACCTGATTTGATATTGATTTCCAATTTTAAAAAAGGAGCCCAAAGTTAGTCCCTATGGAGTCAAATATGATAATAGAACAGCTGCTACCTCAGCACAGACAGCATTTTTTTTTAGAGAACTTATGAAGAAAGTTGGGGATCTTTTCTCTCCAAATAAAAGCTGCTCGTTTAAGATCTTTTCTCCTCAACTTCTTCTACTCTACTCAAGAAGCTGCTAGCATCTCAATTGTTGAAAACTCTAGGTTAAAAGCAAATTAAATGAATACAAAAAGAAAGTACACTTCCCTAGATGGTAAGACAGTTGTACCTTAGCCAGATATAATAAATCTTCTTACTCTAAGAGAATAAAATTTCAAGTTCTGGTCATGGTGCTGACTGACTCAGTGGCTTTGGGAAGTATTTTAGATTCTTTTAGCTGCAGTTTACTTTTCTGTAAAGTGAGAGAGAGAGAGGCAAGCTGCTGATGTTACTTAAGGTGGTTGGCTTCCTTTGTGGGAGAGCAGGTGCTCATCATAGACCAGGGGCTGGTCTTCCATTTTGCAAGTAGAGAAATGTTGAAAACACAAACAAACCAAAACAAATGCATGTGGTAGCGTGGTTTCGAAGGTAATCTTCAGAGTCAGACTGTTTGATGGGAATCCAGGCTCCATCACTAGTTAGTTGTGTGACCTTCAACCAGTTACATAAACCTTCTGTGCTTCCATTTCTACATGTATTATATGTATAAAAATACTACCTACCTTGTAGAGTTGTTACATAATGTATGTAAAATGGTTAACCCAAGGTTGGTTTATAATAGGTGCTTAAGGAATTTTTTTTTTTTTTTTTTGGAGGTGGAATCTGTCACCCAGGCTGGAGTGCAGTAGCACGATCTCAGCTCACCACAACCTCCGCCTCCTGGGTTCAAGTGATTGTCCTGCCTCAGCCTCCCAAGTAGCTGGGATTGCAGGTACCCACCACCACACCCAGCTAATTTTTGTATTTTTAGTAGAGACGGGGTTGTGCCATGTTGGCCAGGCTGGTCTTGAACTCCTGACCTCAGGTGATCCACCCCTCCTCGGCCTCCCAGTGAATTGTTTTTAAAACAGCCTAATTGGTGTGTTTATCACTTTAGCATCTGCCTTGTACTAAGTGGTTATTCACTAATAATTGTCATCCTTGCCTTATTTTTTACAGTCAACTCTCTATTTTGGGGGTGCTAATGGTGGTTTGGAACTTAACCCTGTTCAGGGCCTTTCAAAAGTGTATAATGCCTTTCGGCCTTTATTTTTTGAGATGGAGTTTCGCTCTTGTTGTCCAGGCTGGAGTGCAATGGCGCGATCTCAGCTCACTGCAACCTCCGCCTCCTGGGTTCAAGCCATTCTCCTGCCTCAGCCTCCGGAGTAGCTGGGATTACAGGCATGTGCCACCAAGCCCAGCTAATTTTTGTATTTTTAGCAGAGATGGGGTTTCACCATGTTGGCCAGGCTAGTCTCGCACTCCTGACCTCAAGTGATCCACCTGCCTCGGCCTGCCAAAGTGCTGGGATTGCTCATGCCTATAATCCCAGTACTTTGGGAGGCCGAGGCAGGTGGATCGCCTGAGGTCGGAGTTGGAGACCAACCTGATCAACATGGAGAAACCCCGTCTCTACTAAAAATACAAAAATTAGCTGGGTGTGATGGCACATGCCTGTAATCCCCGCTACTAGGGAGGCTGAGGCAGGAGAATCGCTTGAACCCAGGAGACGGAGGTTGCGGTGAGCCAAGATCATGCCATTACACTCCAGCCTGGGCAACAAGATTGAAACTCTGTCTCAAAAAAAAAAAAAAGAAGTTCTGGGATTACAGGCATGAGCCACTGCTCCCAGCCGATGCTCAAGGAATGTAAATGCACATTCAACTGCTTACCTGGCAGCTCCCTTCTTCTTTCTTAAAATCATGTTAATTTAGTTCATGTTTCCACCCCTCCTCCATGCAGCCCATGTGCCTCAAGAGAGGCTAATTGATCTGAGCTGTAAGGGAGGTCCTGATTATTCAACCCAGTCCTTCTCAAACTCTTATGTCATTAGAATAATCTGAAGGGATTGTTACACACACACACACACACACACACACACACACACACTCCTATTTTTTTTTCTGGACCATCCCTCTAGTAGGTGTGAGGTGAAGTTGAGAATGTTTTTTAGTAAGTTCCCAGGTGATGTTGATGTTGCTGGTTTAGGAACCATGCGGAGAACCTCTGATTTCATCTAGTCATGATGTCAGACCGCCCGCCTTGCCTGGTTGGTTTAGTAAGACAGCAGAAAAAGTTTACTAGGGGCTTCTGGAGAAGGAGCTTTTTATTGTTAAGAGATTGATGAGTTTCAGGACATGCTATTCTGAAAAATGGCACATGGCATTTCAGAAAACAGCAAAAGCAGGAAGGTCTCTCTCTCTCTCTCTCACTTTCTTTTCCACTTCTTCCCTGAAGCAGGCCATAAAACCTAGCTGACCTTCCTCTGAAAGTAGGTCAGAAAATCCTCATTTCAGATAAAGGGCTTCTCTCCCTATACCCAAAACAAAATAAAGAAATGTCCTCCTCTCTGAAGACACAGAGACACCAAGAAGAATCTGGACAAATAGGTTTTGCTGAGTTCCCCCACTTTATTACCATTGGATCACACCCTTCTGTTTCCCAGTCATCTTTCTGCAGCCCAGCTCTCCACAACAATACAGTCTTCCCTGTATCTTTGGGTCTTCATTTCTGCAGGCTCCTGTGTAACCTAAAATTTATATTAAATAAATTTGTATGCTTTTCTCTTGTTAATCTTTTTGTTGTTGTTGTTATAGGAGCCTTTAAACTGCCTTTGCAAAATTATAGCAATGAGAAATCTAACACAACTGACTCTACCTTGCTTCTAACCTCACAAGCTGTCTTTTCTCACTCTTATATGTAGGCTAACCTAACTGTGGAAGAAATTTAGTTTATTGTTTAACTTTAGAGCAAGGATGATAATAGCCCTTGACAGAAAAAGAAGTCTTGAAGTGAGTGGGTGTTGTTTCCATGTTTGTTTTTCTTTCTTTTCCTTTTAAACTAAACATGTAGTATTGTGTCTTTAAAAATTTATGTAAATGGCAAACCTGTGTATACCGTACAGATTATCTTGTACTTTGTTTTTATCCATCGACATTTTCTCTCAGTTTATTGTGGAGGGGCTTCAAGATGGCTGAGTAGAGGCGTCTCTTACTCGCCTCTTCTGCTAAGAAAAACCAAAATAGTGAGCAGATAATCACACTTCAAATAGATCATCTAAGGGAGAACACTGGAATTCAACAGAGAACTGACAGGAAACACCTAAAGTAAGGAAGGAGAGGGAAGAGAGGAAGCCTGTTTGGCCAAGATCAGCTGGGAGCTGGAAGAGACTCCCCATTGTGGGACAAGGTAAATGAGAGATACCCAGTGGTCCACATTCTCAGCATGAATCCCTGCAATCTTACAACGGGAGAGCCTCTCAACCCCAGTGGCCCCAAGACTAACATAGGGGGCTCCCTGGAAACCGTGGTAAGGCACTGCTCTAGAGACAGAGCTCATCCTGGGTCCCACACATCCCTAAGCAGTGGTCAGACAGTGCCATGTAAAGAGCCCAGCCCCCACTGGACTGGGTTTTGCCTGGCAACCAGGATGAGGCAGCAATCTCGCACCCACCCTACCCACACACACCTGCCCTGGCCCCATGCAGAGGGGCAGCTGTGCATTCTTACATGCCCCAAGGGCAAATTCCACTGCCCACAGCTGCTGTGGCTGTGGACTGCAGGTGGGTGAGGCACAGGGGGATGCCCATGCTCCCTGGCTGCCTACCTATGGTGGCTCCCAGGGAAAGCAACCCATCCTCCCTAGTAGCAGGGCCTCTGCTGCCTCCACCTGAGCATTTTGCTGGCCATGGCTCACCCTACCCTTGCATACCACAGCCAGCATCTATATGAACCACTAGGGTGTCTGGCCTGGCTCCACCTCCTCCAGTACAAGAGTGCAGCATCCAGAGGCCTGGGGATTGCCCAGCCCTCTCCACCACCAGTGGCACCTGAGCACTCCTCCTGGGGTATAAGGCTGGGCCCACTCAACCTGCTGCTACCACCACAACTGCCACTGACCTGCAGGTCCCACATGTGGGTCTGGGGACTGGCCTGCCTGACCTGTCACAGGCACTGCCAACACCAATGTGGACCACTTGGGTCCCAGAGGGATGTCCGTTGCTGCTACTGGCATCACCCACACCACACCCACTGCACAGGGGCTTGGGAACCTGCTCACATGCCTGGCCCACTGCTGCCATTCCTGGGAACAAGCCACCCGGAGGCCCAATAATCAGCCTACCTGGACCTGCTAACACCAGTATGTATGATGCTCTGGGGCCCTAGGACAGGCATGCTCAGCCCACTGCTGCCATTGCTGGGGCCTGAAGACTGGCCTACCTGGTGTCCCAGTCCCCAGCAAAACTTCATCACAACAGTGTCCACTAGCAAACTGCATCCTGTCATCAAGGAAATCACAGACACCACCAATGCTGTTTATAGCCAAAGAAATCCTACAAAGACTAATCATCAGGGAAATGCAAATTAAAATCACAATGAGATATCATCTTACCCTAGTTAGAATGGCTATCATTAAACAGACAAAAAAACCCCTGAAGTTGGCAAGGATGTGGAGAAAAGGGAACATTTATACACTGTTGGTGGGAATGTAAATTAGTACGACCACTGTGGAAAACAGTATGGAGGTTCCTCAAACAACTAAAAATAATCATCAGAGAAATGTAAATCAAAACCACAATGAGATACCATCTCATACCAGTCAGAACAGCTATTATTAAAAAGTCAAAAAACAACAGATGCTGGTGAGGCTGTGGAGAAAAGGGAATACATACACTCTTGGTGGGAATGTAAATTAGTTCAGCCGCTTAAAAAGCAGTTTGGAGATTTCTCAAAGAACTTAAAACAGAACTACCATTTGAGACTGCATTCCCATTACTAGGTAAATATCTGGATTAGTTCGTTCTCACATTGCTATAAGGAAATACCTGAGACTGGGTAATTTATAAAGAAAAGAGGTTTAATTGACTCACAGTTCCAATGACTGGGGAGGCCTCAGGAAACTTAGAATCATGGCGGAAGGCACCTCTTCACAGGGTGGGAGTAGAGAGGATGAGTGCCAAGCAAAGGGGTAAGCCCATTATAAAAACATCAGATCTTGCGAGAACTCACTATCACGAGAGCATTATGGGGGAAACCACCCCTATGATTCATTTATCTCCACCTGGTCCTGTCCTTGACATTTGGGGATTATTACAATTCAAGGTGAGATTTGGGTAGGGATGCAGGGCCAAACCATATCAATAATGAAAAGAAAAAAACATTATACCAAAAAGACACATGCACTGCCATGTTCATTGTGCGCTATTCACAATAGCAAAGACATGGAATTAACCTAGTTGCCCATCAATGGTGGATTGGGTAAAGAAAATGTGGTATACATATACATACTACAATAGCACAAAGCCATAAAAAAGAAAAAATCATGCCCTTTACAGCAACATGGATTCAGCTGGAGGCCATTATCCTAAGTGAAATAACACAAGAACAGAAAACCAAATACTGTATATTCTCACTTACAAGTGGGAACTAAATATTGGGTACTCAGGGATGTAAAAATGGCAAAAATAGAAACTGGGGACTACTAGGGAGACAGAGGAAGGGGGCAAGGGTTGAAAAACTTACTATTGGGTACTATACTCATTCCCTGGGTGACAGGATCATTTGTACCCAAGCCTCAGCATCATACCATATACCTAGGTAACAAACCTGTGCGTGTATCCCCTCAATCTAAAATAAAAATTAAAACCCTGAAAATAGAACTACCATATGATCCAGCCATCCCAATACTAGGTATTTATCCAAAAGACAGAAAAGGAAATCAGTATATTGAAGAGATATCTATACTCTTATGTTTATTGCAGCACTATTCACAATAGCCAAAATATGGAATCAACTTAATTGCCTACCGACAGATGAATGGATAAAGAAAATGTGGTATAAACACACAATGAAATATTATTCAGCCATGAAAAAGAATGGAATCCTGTCAATTGCAGCAATAAATGGATGACTGGATGGAACTGGAGGCCGTTAGGTTAAGTGAAATAAACCAGGCAAGACAAATACCACATGTTCTCACTCATATGTGAGAGTTAAAAAAGTTGATCACATGGAGGTAGAGAGTGGAATAATAAATACGAGAGACTGGGAAGGTGTATGTGTGGGCATTGAGTGGGGGATGGAGAAACGTTGGTTAATGGGTACAAAAATACAATTAGATAGAAGAAATACTTTCTAAAGTTTGTTACCAGAGTAGGGCCACTGTAGTCAACAATAAGGTATTTTTCAAAATAGCTAGAAAAGTAAACCTGAAATGTACTGAACACACATAGAAATGATACATACTAAATACACTGACTTGACCATTACACATTCATGCATGTAACAAAATTTCTCATGTACCCCTAAATATGTACAAGTATAACGTATCAAAAAAAAAAACAAAAAAGATTTAGTTTATTGTAATAGCTTAAAGTGTTCCATTTTAGGAGCAGACCACATTTTCTTATCCATCCTGATAAGCACATAGCTGCTCTAGGGTAGCTACCCAAAGGGGGAACTGCTCCGCTGATAGTGGTATGCATCAGCCTTGCAGCTTACTAGGTAGAGCAGAATTGCTCCCCAAAGAGCTACACAATTTGTTCTCCTACTACGCACATGTGAATTTCCATTTCTCACGTCCTTGCCAACAATTTGTATTAATAAACTCATTATTTTTAAAAGTTTTTGTGAAAGACATTGTGAAAAAATAGACCATACTTCCCCCACTAATTTTTAAGGCTTTTTTTTTTTTTTATATAAACGAAGTTGCAATAAGTCAACCTGAGTCTGTTTCTTGGCTCTGTATTCTGTTCCGGTTGTCGCTGTGTCACCTTGCTCTGTGATATGACTTTACAATGAACCCTGTCATCTTTGAGTGTAAGTTTTTCTACATTTTTCTTCTTCAAAATTGTCTTGGTTATTCTTTGCCCTTTCTTATTCTATGGGAATTTCAGCATCCGCTTGACCAAGTCTGTGAAAAACCCAGGAGGATTTGACTGCAATGCATTGACTTTGTTGATTAATTTGAAGAAAATTGCCAACTTAAAAATATTGATTCTTTCTTACCTGTGAACATGCTGCATTTTCCCATTTTTTCCAGATTTAAAAAATTTATATCCTTCAATAAAATTTTATACTGTTTTCATAATATGAATATATACCTTTTGCCAGCTATGTTCCTATGTACCTTATATTTTTGCTGTTATTGTGACTGATACGATTTTAAAATTACATTTTCTAATTGGATGTTGCAGGTGTACAGAGATGTTATTTATTTTTGTATATGATTTTATATCCAATAAGCTCTTACTGCTTTTAATAGTTTATATATTCTCATAGATTTTTCTACATGGACAATACTATTATCTGTGAATAATGACAGTTTTGATTCTTCCTGTCCAATCTCTACATCTCTTTTTTCCTCCCTCTGGTCTTTGCTTTAGCTAAGACATCCAGGAAAGTGCTGAATACAAGTGGTGCTAATGGACATCCTTGTTCTTTAAAATGCAATGTTTTAAACATTTTACTATTTAGCATGATATTTGCCAAAGGTTTTTGGTAAATATCTTTATCAAGTAAAGAAAGTTTCCCTGAGTGCTGGTGTCTAAGAGTTTTTATAGTAAGTGAATATTGAATTTCACCTATTCTTCTGCATTTTTGAGATTATCATATAGGCTTTTTTTTTTTTTATTAGTTAGGGTTGTGTATTACCTTTATTGATTTTCTAACATTAAATCATCTTTGCATTCCTGAGATAGGCCTTAGTCAGTCATGGGGTATCCATTTTTAAATGTCTCACTGCATTTATTTGCTAATAAATTATTTAAGTCCTTTACATCTATGTTTATGAGTGAACTTGGCCTGTAATTTTCTCTTTTTATATGATCCTTCTCCAGTTTTGGGTACATTAACTTTATATAATAAACCAAGGAGTTTTCTATATGCTTAGCAGCAGTTTGAATAAGTTAGGAAACACTATTCCTTGAAGGTTTGAAATATACTTGAATAATCATTTTGGCCCTTATTTGGTGGTGAGGAAGAGCATAGATTGTTAATTACTGGATTCAATTTTTTATATAATCATGTCTATTCAGGTTTTTATATTTCTTATGAGAAAATTTTGGTAATTAATTTTTTTAAAATGTATGCCTGCCTGGGTTTCAAATTTATTGGCATCAAGTTATTCATAATATTCCTAAGATGCTATAAGTTTCTGATGTGTCTGTAATTATGTGTCTTTTCTCATGTCTAATATGGATACTTTGTACCTCAGTTCTTTTTCTTATTCAGTCTTACCAGAGGATTAGTTTGTTTCTGGTCACCGCAAAGATTCAGCGTTTTGCTCTGTTGATCCTCTTTTATTTATTTATTTTTTGTTATTATATGATGAATTTCTACCCTTAAATGTTTTATTTCCTTTCTCCTACTCCTTCATTTGAGTTTACTGTTTTTCCTTTTCTATTTTTTTGAATCAGATGAAGTTCATTACTTTTTAAAAATTTTCTAAGACTAAATGTATTCAATATCCTCATGAAATTTGTGATCGTAAGTATCCAATAGTTTAAAAAGTACAAAACAGACCTGTGGATTTTGAATGTATTAATACAAAGTGCATGACTACATACAGTATATCCTACAGGCAAAGAGAGGTGGAAGGGGAAAAAGAAGACTGTGGCTGAGGGCTAGTAAAAAATAAATAAATACAGAAGCAGAGATGATTCATACTATAGTGTATCCTACCACCAATACTACAGCCAAAATATACAAACAATTTTTTTCAGAATAACTCTGGAGGATAATAATGGCTGGACTCTCATAATTCACCTCAAAGACTGTGGGAGAGCCAACCCAAGTCATTGTGTGGTCTGTGCATATGCTGGCTTGTAGCATGTAGTTTTTTCCAAAAGGAGGAAATATAAAATATGTTTAGATTAACTATAAAACTATAGGGTACCTATAAAAGGCGACTAACTCCTTATTGTTATACTATCCAATTTTAAAAATCCTGTTTAAAAAATAAGCACTGAGTTATGTTACCATAAGGCAGACAAATGCTTCTTCCTCATTGTGAAATCTGAACTGGTGATTTTTTTTTTCCTGAACATTTAGAAAAGAGGCAGTAAGAGTACTTTGGCTTGGGTTCAAGTGAGAGGCTTTTAATGAGCATTTTAGAATTGAAGAGCCCCAAGTTCAGGATATCTCAATGTTCAGAAAGCTAAGCTGGCTAAAAGAAGCCAAACCAAAACCAACCCACTTATCATTAACACCACCCCTCTTCTAGTAAAGTTTTCTTTAAATATAGAGTGGAAAAGAACCCTAATAGGCTAAAACAAGTCAAACACCCACTCTTCACAGACAAAACCTTCACAAAAGCCAGCTGAAGTAATCCAGACCTAAAACTGACCTGTGCAGATTTTCAAGAAAGTCATCAGTCATGTAACACAAACAAAAGTCAATTATTTACACACTCGGAAATTCCTCTAAGAAATGTGCCCTAAGAAGCACTAACATTTGCTTTGTGCCATCCTGAAGACTATACATTTTATTTTTGCGATAGTTTAACTTTTGTGTTTGTTCGTTTAATTGAGGCAGAGTCTTGCTCTGTCGCCGAGGCTGGAGTGCAGTGGTACAGTCTTGGCTCACTGCAACCTCTGCCTCCTGGGTTCAAGCTATTCTCCTGCCTCAGCCTCCTGAGTAGCTGGGATTACAGGCATGCGCCACCAAGCCCACGTAATTTTTGTATTTTTAGTAGAGACAGGTTTCACCATGTTGGCCAGGCTGTCCTCAAACTCCTGACCTTGAGTGATCTGCCCACCTTGGCCTCTCAAAGTTTTGGGATTATGGGTGTGAGCCACCACACCTGGCCTCTGATAGTTCAATGTTTTTAATAAAATGTGTTCTCTATTATGTGGTAATGCTTTGGTACTGTTCATATAGGGTCTTGGCTATCCTAAAGACTTGTCATTTCCCCAAGAGGAGCATTGATTCTGCTTTAGAAGTTTCATAAAAATTGAAATCGTTATCAAATATTAATATGAAGAGAGGCAGCACAGGATGCAACATATACAGTCATCTTTCCTTTCTGTATATTTAGAAATTACTTTTTCCTTTAAGGTATTTGCAACAGAAAGCACAGTCTGTCCTGCTTAATAATCAGTAGTACAGGTTTGAATTGTTGGAACCTTGGCAAGACCTTAATATTTCAAAATTATTAACAACTACCTCTAGGGGCAAGTCCATGTTACTGAGTTATGACAAATTATTATCGTGAGGGAAAACAAGTGTAGCCAGCTACCTTAAAAAATGCCCCAACCACTGCTTCTCAATATAGAAAGACTAAAACTACCTACCGTTTAGCATATGACAAATCCCATCTCTGTACCCTGAAATTCCCCTAGTTTCATTCATTAGAAGGGTATTAAAAAAGACTTATAGCAGCATTCGGCTTTCTTGTGAAATATCCAGCATCTTAAATATTATTTTCAATTCTTTTTTTGTGAAGCTAGAAATCGACTTCAGAATTTGTGAGACTAGGGGGAAAATAACCCATTCAAAACTATTCTAGAAGTTGTTTTTTGGCAGAGTAGCAGGTATCCAAGTTAAAAATAGGTGGGACAGTTAGTTGCTTTGTGGTCTTTTCAAAGTTTAAATTGTTTTTTGTTCCCCGTTTCTACTCCTGAGTGATGTGGGCAGAGGCTCTGGCCCCTGCCCCTACATTTCTCAGTAGTTGCTTTTGTATTCCTGTGGCAAGGCTTGAACAGATGTGAGTTGATGAGGACTTTCCCAAAATGGCCTTTATAAATAATCCCACTATGTATCTTCTTTTTCAGTCTGTGAGATCTAAAAAGGAAAACACCTGGTGTTCTGGTAGAACCAGAAGCCATCTCCATAACTGAGCCATCGTCTGACTAGTTGCTGTAACAAGGAGGCACTTGAGGTGGTACTGTGAGCATCATCATTGCAATCTTTACCTTTCTTCTGCAGTTTATTGGTCTGGTTGCTTTTTATCCTGTTCCCAGATACAGTTTTCACTCTCTTTGGTTTCAGTGTAGTATTTAGACTGGGTCCAGCCCTGCATCTGCCACATGAATCCAGGGTTTTTTGATCCTGCTGGCAACGTCTTCCATCTTTTCACAAGCAGAACACAGGCATCGCAGATGTCTCATGCAGCCCCAAAGAGCTCTGGAAGTCCTTTTCATAGCGTTTACTGTCAGTGAATCAAGAACTGGAGGACTTAGCTCTGCAAACACAACAGCCCTCTATACTTCGGTACATCTTTGGCTTGGGAAAAACTAAACATCTTTTTTCTGGGCAATAGTCTTCCAAAAGCATCCATTCCATAAGAAACAACATCCTGGAGATGCAGAGTGCACGCCAGGCCAGTCCCTCTGTAAGCCCTCCCTCTTCAACTGCCTTGTCTAGAAAAATTGGCCCATTACCTTTTGACCTTTCTTCTTATCTAATAAATGCATTTCAGGCTAAATTGCCCTTAAGTACTGATTGAGTTGCATCCATCAATTTCGATATGCAATATTCTTAATTGTTATTCAGGTCTGAATATTCATAATTTTCTTTATGATTTATTTGTGGACCTATAAATTATTTACATGACCTTAAATATTTCTCTAACATATATGGTTTTGGAGTCTATTTCTCAACTATTGGTTTCTAATTTTACAGTACTTTGATCACAAAATGTGGTCTGCTGCACAATGTTTTGAATTTGTTGAATCTTGCTTTGTGAGGAAGTCTCTAGTAAATTTTTGGTAAGTTATTCATGTGTCCTTGAAAATAAAATGCATTCTTTAATTTTTGGTGTAGAATATAAGTTGCAATCTGTTTGATAAAGTTTATTAATTGTACTACTTAAGTGTCTATTTTCTTTTTGATTTTTATTCAGTATTGTAAGATGTTAAAATCTTCCTTCCATGATTATGGATATGTTCATTTCTCCTTGTGAGTCTTTGGTTTTGCTTTATATATTTTAAGGCCATGTTATTATAGACTATTATAAGACTATTATATCTTTTTAAAAAAATTATTCATTTAATCATTACATCATGTTTTCTCCCTGAAATTTATTTTTGTCTGATTTAATATGACTATTTATTTATTTAGTTTATTTTATTATACTTTAAGTTCTAGGGTACATGTGCACAACGTGCAGGTTTGATACATAGGTATACATTTGCCATGTTGGTTTGCTGCATCCATTAACTCATGATTTACATTAGGTATTTCTCCTAATGCTATCCCTCCCCCAGCTCCCCACCCCCTGACAGGCCCCAGTGTGTGATGTTCCTCGTCCTGTGTCCAAGTGATCTCATTGTTCAATTCCCACCTTTGAGTGAGAACATGCAGTGTTTGGTTTTCTGTCCTTGTGATAGTTTGCTGAGAATGATGGTTTCCAGCTTCATCCATGTCTCTGCAAAGGACATGAACTCATCATTTTTTACGGCTGCATAGTATTCCATGGTGTATATGTGCCACATATTCTTAATCCAACCTATCATTGATGGACATTTGGGTTGGTTCCAAGTCTTTGCTATTGTGAATAGTGCCACAATAAACATATGTGTGCATGTGTCTTTATAGTAGCATGATTAATAATCCTTTGGGTATATACCCAGTAATGGGATGGCTGGGTCAAATGGTAATTCAGGTTCTAGATCCTTGAGGAATCACCACACTGTCTTCCACAATGGTTGAACTAATTTACACTCACACCAACAGTGTAAAAGCATTCCTATTTCTCCATATCTTCTCCAGCACCTGCTGTTTCCTGACTTTTTAATGATTGCCATTCTAACTGGCATGAGATGGTATCTCATTGTGGTTTTGATTTGCATTTCTCTGATGACCAGTGATGATGAGCATTTTTTCATTTGTCTGTTGGCTGCATAGATGTCTTCTTTTGAGAAGTGTCTGTTCATATCCTTTGCCTGCTTTTTGATGGGGTTGTTTGTTTTTTCTTGTAAATTTGTTTGAGTTCTTTGTAGATTCTGGATATTAGCCCTTTGTTAGATGGGTAGATTGCAAAAATTTTCTCCCATTCTGTAGGTTTCCTGTTCACTCTGATGGTAGTTTCTTTTGCTGTGCAAAAGCTCTTTAGTTTAATTAGATCTCATTTGTCTATTTTGGCTTTTGTTGCTACTGCTTTTGGTGTTTTAGACATGAAGTCCTTGCCCAAACCTATGGTATTGCCTAGGTTTTCTTCTAGGGTTTTTATGGTTTTAGATCTAATATTTAAGTCTTTAATCCATCTTGAATTAATTTTTGTATAAGGTGTAAGGAAGGGGTCCAGTTTCAGTTTTCTACATATGGCTATCGAGTTTTCCCAGCACCATTTATTAAATAGGGAATCCTTTCTCTATTTCTTGTTTTTGTGAGGTTTGTCAAAGACCAGATGGTTGTAGATGTGTGGTGTTATTTCTGAGGCCTCTCTTCTGTTCCATTGGTCTATATCTCTGTTTTGGTACCAGTAGCGTTGTAGCATAGTTTGAAGTCAGGTAGTGTGATGCCTCCAGGTTTGTTCTTTTTGCTTAGGATTGTCTTGGCAATGCGGGCTCTTTTTTGGTTCCATACGAACTTTAAAGTCGTTTTTTTCCAATTCTGTGAAGAAAGTCATTGGTAGCTTGATGGGATGGAATTGAATCTATAAATTACTTTGGGCAGTATGGCCCTTTTCATGATATTGATTCCTCCTATCCATGAGCATGGAATATTCTTCCATTTATTTGCATCCTCTTTTATTTCCTTGAGCAGTGGTTTGTATTTCTCCTTGAAGAGGTCCTTCACATCCCTTGTAAGTTGGATTGCTAGGTATTTTATTCTCTTTGTAGCAACTGAGAATGGGAGTTCACTTATGATTTGGCTGTTTGTCTGTTAATGGTGTATAGGCATGCTTGTGATTTTTGCACATTGATTTTGTATCCTGAGACTTTGCTGAAGTTGCTTATCAGCTTAAATAGATTTTGGGCTGAGACGATGGGGTTTTCTAAATATACAACCGTGTCATCTGCAAACAGGGACAGTTTGACTTCCTCATTTCCTAATTGAATAGTCTTTATTTCTTTCTCTTGCCTGATTGCCCTGGCCAGAACTTCCGACACTAGGTTGAATAGGAGTGGTGAGTGTTAGGGTTAGGGTTAGGGTTGAATAGGAGTGGTGAGAGTGGGCATCCTTGTTTTGTGCTAGTTTTCAAAGGGAATGCCTCCAGCTTTTGCCCATTCAGTATGATACTGGCTGTGGGTTTGTCATAGATAGCTCTTATTATTTTGAGATATGTTCCATCAATACCTAGTTGATTGAGAATTTTTAGCATGAAGGGCTGTTGAATTTTGTCAAAGGCCTTTTCTGCATCTGTTGAGATAATCATGTGATTTTTGTCATTGGTTCTGTTTAGGTGATGGATTACGTTTATTGATTTGCATATGTTGAACCAGCCTTGCATCCCAGGGTTGAAGCCAACTTGATCGTGGTGGATAAGCTTTTTGATGTGCTGCTGGATTCTGTTTGCCAATATTTTATTGAGGATTTTTGCATCGATGTTCATCAGGGATATTGGTCTAAAATTCTCTTTTTTTGTTGTGTCTCTGCCAGGTTTTGGTATCAGGATGATTTTCGCCTCATAAAATGAGTTAGGGAGGATTTCCCTTTTTTCTATTGATTGGAATAGTTTCAGAAGGGATGGTACCAGCTCCTCTTTGTACCTCTGGTAGAATGCAGCTGTGGATCCATCTGGTCCTGGACTTTTTTTGGTTGGCAGGCTATTAATTATTGCCTCAATTTCAGAGACTGTTATTGGTCTATTCTGAAATTCAACTTCTTTCTGGTTTAGTCTTGTGAGGGTGTATGTGTCCAGGAATTTATCCATTTCTTCTAGATTTTCTAGTTTATTTGCATAGAGGTATTTATAGTATTCTCTGATGGTATTTTGCATTTCTGTGGGATCAGTGGTGATATCCCCTTTATCATTTTTTATTGCATCTATTTGATTCTTCTCTCTTTTCTTCTTTATTAGTCTTGCTAGCGATCTGTCAATTTTGTTGATCTTTTCAAAACACCAGCTCCTAGATTCATTGATTTTTGAAGGGTTTTTTGTGTCTCTATCGCTTTCAGTTCTGCTCTGATCTTAATTATTTGTTGCCTTCTGTTAGCTTTTTAATTTGTTTGCTCTTGCTTCTCTAGTTCTTTTAATTGTGATGTTAGGGTGTCAGTTTTAGATCTTTCCTGCTTTCTCTTGTGGGCATTTAGTGCTATAAATTTCCCTCTACACATGGCTTTAAATGTGTCCCAGAGATTCTGGTACGTTGTGCCTTTGTTCTCATTGGTTTCAAAGAACATCTTTGTGTCTGCCTGCATTTCGTTATTTACCCAGTAGTCATTCAGGAGCAAGTTGTTCAGTTTCCATGTAGTTGAGCGGTTTTGAGTGAGTTTCTTAATCCTGAGTTCCAATTTGATTGCGCTGTGGTCTGAGAGACAGTTTGTTGTGATTTCTGTTCTTTTACATTTGCTGAAGAGTACTTTCCTTCCAATTATGTGGTCAATTTTAGAATAAGTGTGATGTGGTGCTGAGAAGAATATATATTCTGTTGATTTGGGGTGGAGGGTTCTGTAGATGTCTATTAGGTCTGCTTGTTGCAGAGCTGAGTTCAGGTCCTGGATATCCTTGTTAACCTTCTGTCTTGTTGATCTGTCTAATGTTGACAGTGGGGTGTTAAAGTCTCCCATTATTATTGTGTGGGAGTCTAAGTCTCTTTGTAGGCCCCTAAGGACTTGCTTTATGAATATGGGTGCTCCTGTATTGGGTGCATATATATTTAGGATAGTTAGCTCTTCTTGTTGAATTGATCCCTTTACTATTATGTAATGGCTTTCTTTGTCTCTTTTGATCTTTGTTGGTTTAAAGTCTGTTTTATCAAAGACTAGGTTTGCAACCCCTGCTTTTTTTTGGTTTCCATTTGCTTGGTACATCTTCCTCCATCCCTTTATTTTGAGCCTATGTGTGTCCTTGCACGTGAGATGGGTCTCCTGAATACAGCACACTGATGGGTCTTGACTGTTTATCCAATTTGCCAGTCTGTGTCTTAATTGCAGCATTTAGCCCACTTACATTTAAGGTTAATATTGTTATGTGTGAATTTGATCCTGTCATTGTGATGTTTGCTGGTTATTTTGCCCATTAATTGATGCAGTTTCTTCATGGCATTGATGGTCTTTACAATTTGACCTATTTTTGCAGTGGCTGGTACTGGTTGTTCCTTTCCATGTTTAGTGCTTCCTTCAGAAGCTCTTGTAAGGCAGGCCTGGTGGTGACAAAATCTCTCAGCATTTGCTTGTCTGTAAAGGATTTTATTTCTCCTTCACTTATGAGGCTTAGTTTGGCTGGATATGAAATTCTGGGTTGAAACTTCTTTTCTTTAAGAATGTTGAATATTGGTCCCCAGTCTGTTCTGGCTTGTAGGGTTTCTGCTGAGAGATCTGCTGTTAGTCTGATGGGCTTCCCTTTGTGGGTAACTTGACCTTTCTCTCTGGCTGCCCTTAACACTTTTCCTTCATTTCAACCTTGGTGAATCTGACGATTATGTGTCTTGCGGTTGCTGTTCTTGAGGAGTATCTTTGTGGTGGTCTCTGTATTTCCTGAATTTGAATGTTAGCCTGCCTTGCTATATTGGGGAAGTTCTCCTGGATAATATCCTGAAGAGTGTTTTCCAACTTGGTTCCATTCTTCCCATCCCTTTCAGGTACACCAATCTTACGTAGATTTGTTCTTTTCACATAGTCCCATATTTCCTGGAGGCTTTGTTCATTTCTTTTTACTCTTTTTTCTCTAACTATATTTTCTTGCTTTATTTCATCAGTTTGATCTTCAATCACTGATACCCTTTCTTCCACTTGATTGCATCGGCTATTGAAGCTTGTGCATGTGTCACGAAGTTCTTGTGCCATGGTTTTCAGCTCCATCAAGTCATTTAAGTTCTTCTCTATACTGTTTATTCTAGTTATCCATTTGTCTAATCTTTTTTTCAAGGTTTTTGGCTTCCTTGTAATGGGTTCAAACGTCCTCCTTTAGCTTGGAGAAGTTTGTTATTACCGACCTTCTGAAGCCTACTTCTGTCAACTTGTCAAAGTCATTCTCCATCCAGCTTTGTTACGTTGCTGGCAAGGAGCTGTGATCATTTGGAGAAGAAGACGTCCTGTGATTTTTAGAATTTTCAGCTTTTCTGCTCTGGTTTCTCCCCATCTTTGTGGTTTTATCTGCCTTTGGTCTTTGATGTTGGTTACCTACAGATGGGGTTTTGGTGTAGATGACCTTTTGTTGATGTTGATGCTGTTTCTTTCTGTTTGTTAGTTTTCCGTCTAACGGTCAGGTCCCTCAGCTGTAGCTCTGATGGAGTTTGCTGGAGTTCCACTCTAGACCCTGTTTGCCTGGGTATCACCAGCAGAGGTGGCACAACAGCAAATATTGCAGAACTGCAAATATTGCTGCCTGATTCTTTCTCTGGAAGCTTCAACCCAGAGGGGCAGCCGCCTATATGAGGTGTCTGTTGGCCCCTACTGGGAGGTATCTCCCAGTTAGGCTACACAGGGGTCAGGGACCCACTTGAGGAGGCCGTCTGACCATTTTCAGAGTGCAAACGCCATGCTGGGAGAACCACTCCTCTCTTCAGAGCTGTCAGACGGGGACATTTAAGTCTGCGGAAGTTGTCTGCTGCTTTTTGTTCAGCTATGCTCTTCCCACAGAGGTGGAGTCTAGAGGCAGTAGGCCTTGTTGAGCTGTGGTGGGCTCCACCCAGTTCAAGCTTCCCGGAGGCTTTGTTTACCTACTCAAGCCTCAGCAATGGCAGACGCCCCTCCCCCAGCCAAGCTGCCATCTTGCAGATCGATCTCAGACTGCTATGCTAGCAGTGAGCAAGGCTCCATCAGCGTGGGTGCTGCTGAGCCAGGCACGGGAGAGAATCTGCCGGTTGCTAAGACCTTGGGAAAAGCACAGTATTTGGGCGGGAGTGTCCCATTTTTCCAGGTAGTCTGTCACGGCTTTCCTTGGCTAGGAAAGGGAAATTCCCCGACCCCTTGTGCTTTCAGGGTGAGGTGATGCCCTGCCCTGCTTCGGCTCACCCTCTGTGGGTTGCACCCACTGTCCAACCAGTCCCAATGAGATGAACCGGGTACCTCAGCTGGAAATCCAGAAATCGCCTGTCTTCTGTGTGGATCATGCTGGGAGCTTCAGACCAGAGCTGTTCCTATTCGGCCATCTTGACTCTGACTGTATTTATTTTATTTTGGTAAGTATTATTTCATTACGTAATTTTTTACCTCTTTACTTTCAACATTTTTGGAATTATGTTTTAGGTGTGTCTCTTATGAATAGCATATAATTGGAAAGTGTATGTGCCAAAAAACCAATGTAAGACTGGTGAGTTTAGTATGTGCATATTTATTGTGATTGCTGATGTATCTATTTCTACCATTTCATTTTATACTTTATAAGTACCACATAGCCCTTGGATTCTTCTCTTGCTCTCTCATGTGTATGTGTTTGGGGGAGATGGGGTCTATTAGATTGATTGAGTTTTCTTTATTCTGTGCAGCTACCCACGTCACCTTGTCCTCTGGACGTTGCATGTTATTCTACCTTTTTAGGTGCTACCTTCCTTTTTTGCATGCATAGTTGACCTAAAATGTCTGAATGTAATCAATATCTCTATTCTTTACATGAAAAAGCAGTATCTCTTTCCTTTCATGTTATTATTGTATATTATTTAATTCCATCTTTAAAAACACACATGCACAAGATCAGTCAATACCTTTGGCATTGTTTTATACAGTCAGTGCTTCACCTATTTCTTCACTTTCTTTACTTTCATTTCTTCATTGTAGGTTTAATTTCCTTCTTCCTAAGAAACATCCTTTAGTATTTTTTTCAAGAAGATCCTGTGTATGGTAACTTTTTTCAATATCAGTCATTGTTAATCTGAAATGTCTTAGTTTGCTCTATTTTAGAAAATTAAGTTATAATTAAGATATAATAAAATGCATACAGTTCAGTTCAACATGTTCTGACAAACCACCACCAAAGCAAGCTAAAGAACATTTCCATCATCCTAAGAAATTCCCTTGTGCCTCCTTCCAGTCAGTTTCCTGCCCTGCTCCATTCCAGAGACAACCACTGTTCTCTTTTCCTTTCTTTTTTTCTTTTGAGACAGAGTCTCACTCTGTCACCTAGGTTGGAGTGCAGTGGCACAATCTAGGCTCATTGCAACCTCCACCTCCCAGGTCCAAGCAATTCTCTTGCCTCAGCCTCCTGAGTAGCTGGGACTACAGGCACCCACTACCATGCCCGGCTAACTTTTGTATTTTTAGTAGAGATGGAGTTTCACTATGTTGGCTGGGCTGGTCTTGAACTCCTGACCTTGTGATCCTCGGCCTCCCAAAGTTCTGGGATTACAGGTGTGAACCACTGTGCCCAGCCCACTGTTCTGTTTTCTATCACTATTAGATTAGTTTTGTCTCTTAACAGAACTTCTTCATATATGTATATGTTTGTATATATATGTGCTCTTGTACTTGACTTCTTTTACTCACAATGTTTTTGCAATTCATCCATGTGTTGTGTGTTTAGTACTTAATTAAAGAAAATTGTGAAGAGTATTTCATTATGTGACTATAACATTTGTTTATTCTTTCTCCTGTTGACAGACAGTGGGTTCTTATATAGACGAACTTTTCCCTAGCCAGGTGGGTCTGTTGTTCTGAGAATTTGAACAACCATTCAGGATGGCAAACTCCATTCTCTGTCCCCATCTAATAATACTTGCAATTCATTTCCTGGACTCTCATTCCTCTTTTGTCTTTCAAATTTCTTACCTTTCCCAGGGATTAAATACAAGAATGCTATCCACAGTTCCTTCAGTTTTTTTTTTTTTGTCCAGTATCTCAAAATCCAAGACTTTTTCTGATGTCACAATTGCTTCCAAATTATTCAGCAGCTGTTCGGAGTGGTTGGAGCATAAGATAACTGTTAATGGGATTCTTCATATATAATAATCAGTTATAACATTTATGAAGAATTTACTATGTGGTAGATGTTTAGTTAAGTACTTAATTTAGATGATCTCATTTAATCCTCAACACAATTCTAAGATGACTCTCACTTAACAGATAAAGACACTGAAGCTTAGTTAAGCTCAGGAAGATGACCCATCAGGTGAATGGCGAGTTAGAATTTGAACTCAGCCTATCTCTCTATCTTGCATTCTTAAAAACTGTTTGCCTTGTTGGTCAGAAACTATACTTTTAGCTGATTGGGGCACCTCCATACATATCACCAGGGTAATTTTTTAGGCTATCTTTTCTTTCTGGAGCTAAGGTACTTGCTATTTATCTGCAGATCTTTCTTTCTTCTTCACGAGCATGGGATGTTGCGCTTTCTCCAGGAAATGTGGCTCACATTCTAGAGATTGCCTCGTTTGTATGTGAATCTCTTTTGTTCAGAGATCTTTAACCTTTCCTTTCTCCTTAGTGGTAACCAGCTTTCCAGTGAACCAGAAGGAGACCAGAGGGATCTCTGCCTCTACAGGCAGGCCAAAGTGCTGTTCTCCTGGCTTCTGGAAGACCTTTGGGTTATTTAGTGATTATTTTCACAACCCAGCTGGGCATTCAGTGAGAGAGACTCTTGGATTAATTAAGCAGTGGTAATTAACTGAGTTTCAGGCCTCAGTGGAGTGGTTGTAGGTGGTAATTTCCCAGTTACTACGACGACAGCTTTAAATCTCTCAGACAATCTTACACATTTTTTTTGTACCTTAGAAGTAGCACAGCTGATTTTCCAGAGAAATTTGGTGCCCTGTGTATGTGAATAAAGATAATAAATATAAATGAGGTAGATAGGCCAATTGGCTACTTGTAATTCAAGCTTCCTCAGATTGTCCATGAACTTGTGATATAAGAGAAGAAATCCGTAAAATATAGTGAATGGACATTAAATATATTGAGGTTTGGTTTCTAGAGCAAATGTGAAATGGAAGGAAAATGCAGTTGTTGAAATAATTCAGGTCAATTGCATACTGGAGAGACTAAACCAACAACAAAAAAATGATCAAGAGAGAATGGGAAAGGTAAGAAATATGAGACACTGGTTTTGACCCATACAAGATGAAGGGCAATAAAGCACATTAAATTCACATGGAAAGGGTATAGGCCAGGAAGACTCATCTTTGTTTAGAGAGCTATGCCTCTGAATTACTAATGAACAATTTGGAAGATAACACTAGAGTTTGATTTATGCTTACAAAGAAAGACTTGGCTTTCAGACTAAGGAGCCAGCAACAATGGAAAGCCTCAAGGTAGAATTTGAGACTGTTCTCCTGTCCAAACTCCAGATCAGTGGCAAACAGAGAAATGGAATGATGCACATTTTGGTCTTATAATGCCCATGGGAGATCTCTTCCCTGTTTGTAATCTTGAAGAAAACCCCTGTCTGTGTCAAGGCTCAATCATCATGAAGTGTAGGGTGGATACAGACATATGTCTGCTGAATTCCAAGTTCTCACTAACCAGAAAGTTATTTCTCCTCAGCAGCCGGGACCGAGGGGAGAGAGAGAAGGAAAGTATCCTCTTGGGTTGGGAGACCGGGCAAAATCCCCTGGTCCTTTTTGGGTCTGAGGCAGAATGTGGGAAGAAGGGAATGTTCTTTAGCTACTTATTTTCTTTCAAACTTTAGGGTGTGGGTCAGTGTAAAAAGCCCTGAAAATTACTCAGAGTCCAGTCATAAGATTGGGCTTCACAACCTATACCCGTGAAGGGTTGGATGATGCCTTCATTGAAGGGGTTGGGATCTTGAGCATGCAGCTCCACTTTTTAGACCCTATGGGCTGTCTCATGAGGAGTGGAAAGTTTTGACTGCTGGGAAAGTGTGTTAGTAAGGGTTTTCTAGAGAGTCAGAACCAGTACACACACACACACACACACACGCACGCACACACACACACACACACACACACAAAGTTCTGTAGAATGATGTTTCAGTCAACAATAGACTGCATATTGATGGTGGTTCTATTATTGGCTTATCATGGAGCTGAAAAATTCCTATCACCTAATGATGCTGTAGCCCTTGTAATGTCAGAGCACAATGTGTTACCCATATGTTTGTGGAGTTGTTTGTGTAAAGAAACTACTGAGCTGTCAGTCATATAAAAGTATAGCGCTTATGGTTATATACAGTACATAATACTTGATAATGATAATAAAATGACTATGTTACTGATTTATTTACTTATTATATTATCGTTTTTACTGTTATTTTAGAGTACTCCTTCTACTTATATAACATAAAAGTTAACTGTAAAACAGCCTCAGGCAAGCCCTTCAGGAGGTATTTCAGGAGAAGGCATTTTTATCATAGGCGATGACAGCTCCATGCGTGTTATTGCCCCTGAAGACCTTCCAGTGGAATGATATTTTGAGGTGGAAGAGAAGGCTATTGACGACCCTGACCTTGTGTAGGCCTAGGCAAATGTATGTTTTTGTGTTTTAGTTTTTAACAAAAAAATTAAAAAGCAAAGAAAAAATTGAAAATAAGAAAGCATATAGAATAAAGATACAAAAAATGGTATATAGCTGTACAATGTGTTTGTGTTTTAAGCTAAGTTTTATTATGAAAGAGTCAAAAAGTTAAAAAAAGCTTATAAAGTAAAAAAATTACAGTAAGCTCATGTTAATTTACTATTGAAGAAAGAAAAATTAAAAACGTAAATTCAGTGTTGCCTAAGTGTACAATGTTTATGAATTCTACAGTACAGTAGTATACAGCTTTGTCCTAGGCCTTCACATTCACTCACCACTCACTGACTCAACCAGAGCAACTTCCAGGCCTGCAAGCTCCATTCATGGTAAGTGCCCTATACAGGTATACTGTTTAAAAAAAACTATACTATATTTTACTGTATCTTTTTCTATGTTTAGACATGCAAATACTAATCACTGTGTTACAATGGCTACAGTATTCAGTAGTCACATGCTGTACAGGTTTGTAGCCTAGGAGTAATAGGCTATACACATAGCCTCAGAATGTAGTAGGCTGGACCAATCTAGGTTTGTGTAAATATAACACTGTGTGATGTCCACACAAAGATGAAATTGCCTAGCAAAACACTTCTCATAATGTATTCCTGTCATTAAATGACACATGACTATCCATCTATTTGTCTGTCTGTCTATCTATCTATCTATCTATCTATCTATCTATCTATCAGCGAGACTATAAGAGAGAGAGAAATAGAGGAGAGAGAGATTTATGTTAAGGAATTGGCTCATCCAACTGTGGGACTGTTCACTCTGAAATTTGTAGGGCAAGCTGGCAGGCTGGACATTCCAGCAAGAGTCAGTGTTGTCTATCGCAATCTGAAGGCCATATGGAGGCAGAATTCCTTCCTCTTTGGGGGAACCTCAGTCTTTTTTCTTAATGCCTTGAACTGATTGGATAAAGACTACCCACATAATAATGGGTAAGCTGCTTTACTCAAAAAGGACTGATTTAAATGTTAATCACCTTTGAATAATACTGTGTTAGTCCATTCTTGTGTTACTATAAATAAATACCTGAGTCTGGGTAATTTATAAGAAAAGGTTTATTTTAGCTCACAGTTCTGCAGGCTGTGCAGGAAGAATGGTGCTGGCATCTGCTTCTGATAGGGGCCTCAAGAAGCTTCCAATCATGGTGGAAGGTGAAGAGGAGCCAGTGTATCACAAGGCAAGAGAGGGAGCAAGGGCTGGGGGAGGTGACACACTCTTTTAAACAACCAGATCTCTTGTGAACTACCAGAGTGAGAACTCACTCATCACCAAGGGGATGGTGCTGAGCCATTCATGAGGGATCTGTCCCCGTGATCCAAACGCCTCCCACCAGGGCATTACATTTCAACACGTGATTTGGAGGGGACGAACAACTAGGTATCATGACCTAGACAACTTGACACATAAAATTAACCATAGCAGGAAGGGAGGGAGAAAGGATGCTTCCTCTCACATTCCACCTCTTTTTCCTCCTCCTCTCCAGCTGCTGGGCAGCATCTGACCCCTCAGTGGAGGCAGTGGTGGGTCACAGGTGTTAATGTTCAAAGCTTGGCACTGATGGTTGCATCAAAGGAATGAGACCAGAAACTGTAGCAGCACAACAGGGAGCCATTCACGCCCCATGAGGATGGGAAGAGGATCTCTACACACACTTCCACCATAAAGGGGGCTTGAAATTAGAGTAGGGGTGGGTGGGTGGAAGTGGAGCGAGATGAAGTTCCAGAAATACAACTTGGTGAGACCCTCAGAGATCTGGGATTTTATTTTCTCTTTGGTGGTCCTGGCCCCAGGAGACCCAGGTCTTGTGGAAGGCTGGAGGATTTTTGTAAGACTTCTTTAAGGTGCTATAATTAAGAGCTTTTGGACATATCCATGGGTGATGCATTAATACCACTCCAGCGCCTTAGCTTCCTTACTCAGCTGCGATATACTGAAACAGAATTCTGAGCTGCAACAATGGGATCAACTGATTTTGTTGTTAAGTAGCTTCTAAGAGCATTTTGAAGTCTCAAAAATGCCACTGAGGAAAAGCTCTTCTAATCCTCTTCTCCTCTTTCCAGCTGCCCCTCTCTGTTGGCTGCAGAAATAGATTAACATTTGTTAGACCTCCATTGTAAGCAGTCAAGCAAGCAATCGGGCATTTTATCTTTGGTATTTGATTGAACGTAGAAGGTATTTTTCATTTATATTTTTGCCTGAAGGGAAAGGGGAAGCAGATAAAAAGAAGAAAAGGCATTGCTCTTATGTACTTCTCTTGGATATAAAAGTTGTAATCTAATGTCATACTCCAGCTCTTTTCAATTCAATGAATATTCCTCCATTATCTGACAAAACACCCAGTGCTGGGATATGGGTACCTGACATGTAAGGGAATGTTGCAGAGGTAATAAAATTGTGTCAAACATCTTCTAAAGTGTTTATAAATTTTCTTGCCATGCTTTATTCTTACCTTCAAAAAAATGGATTTATGTATTTATTTTAGCATCCACTTTGAAAATAAACTTAAGTTACAAGTCAACAATGAAGAGAGATTACAATTAACTTATTCCAGGTTAAAGATAAAGATGCAAATCTTTATTCTTCCAATTATTCCAATACTGCAGACAATAAATAGCAAAGGCACTATGTGGAGGGATGATATTAAAATAAATAGACGTGTGTGTGTGCACGCACAAGTAACACTTCTTTCTAGAAAACTCATGTATACTGAGTACAAACTGCAGTATTGGATGTACTGAAATGTAGTAATAATACCTCCTATTTATTTGGAACTTTAGATTTTATAAGTACATTTCTATACTTTGCTCATTTAGGGTAATTTTTTCCAGTTGAACAATCCTCTCAGCTCTTGGGTTTTCAGAGATGGAGAAAACCTCCCTTGTGTATCCTGAGGATTAAATTTTAGACCATGGAAATGAGATGGAAAGTGAAAATCAAAGAATTGGCTGTCAAATTTTTTTTTCATTACAGTATTTTTTTTCTTCAGACAATTTAATGGAAGAAGTCAGAAAAATTTTTCCTTGAATAATTTTCATATTTCTGTTTTTCAACATTAACTGGTGGGTATGGGAGGAGTTTAGAGGACACTGGTCAGGTTTGCCTGAGGCACAGTTATTGAGAGGAGGCTGTAGTATTTGACTGGAGTAAAGGGAAATATATAATATTATCTAGATTTGAACTAACTATGCCAGTCAATGCCAAACAAGGTTTTTAAGACAAAATGGGAGAGAAACCATAAAGGTAGATTGACATGAGTTCTGGGAATGACCAGAAAACTGATAACTAAATGTTTCTGTATTCTGCCTTCTGGTTCTTCTTAGAGTTAAAATAAGAAGAATTTGCAGGAACTATGCAAGGAAAACATATTTATAAAAGTTTGTTTATCATGTATACATAATATGTGTATAAATAAATACACATACATATTAAACATAAAAAAGTTATTATAAAAACAATCCATGTTTATCATGGTAAAATTAGGAAATACAACTTAATAAAAAGAAAATAAAATTTCTAAACCCATCTACCTGGAAATAATTTAATTTTTTCCTTCATATCTGTGTATCATATACATAACAGGTAAAAATAAATCATTATTTTGAAGCTAGTGGTAGAATTTATTTTAGGGAGAGGATAATTTTTGTTTAAGAAAATTGTATGATGGACTTGTCAGGCATGAAAGAGGAAGCCCAAGGATAGTGCTTTGTGGAGAACATTGCCGTGCTCACCAATATCCAGTTTCTTCCTTCTGGATCCTGTTGCAGCTAGGCAAAGCCATGCCAGTAATTCTGGCCAATGAGCTGTGAATGAAGTGATGGGTTGTGTGTGTGTGTGTGTGTGTGTGTGTGTGTGTGTGCTGTTTCTAAAACAGAAATTGGAGCGAGAGCTCTGTGTGTTTCCTTTTTGCTGGTGTGCTGGAGCCAATATGTGTATCTCTTCTCAACTCAGCATTCAATGACTTTATGTTGGTAGATTGAAGCTGGTCATGATGGGAATATTTTTTGATGTTGTTTAGTCATCGCCATGATGATCATCGAAACATGATAATGTTTAGTCAAATCTTTGTGCATGTCTTTTGTTTATTTCTTAAGGTAGCTTCCTAGAGGTAAGATTTTGGGATAAAAGGTATAAAAAGTTTTAAAGTTTTGCTATATTTTGTTCAATTGCTCACCAGAAAGGTGATTTCACTTTATTTAGTTCACAGCAAAGGCCTATTTTGAATATATTCAGTTTGATAAAAAAGCAATACTGTTAAAATGTTTCACGATTAGTCAAAAGCTTACTGAAAAGTTAGTTCTATGTAGATTCAACATATAGAACAGAAAGGTTTAATTATTTTTAATAGCTTGGGGGCTCATAAGGGAAGACTCCTGTGCACAATTATCTTCAAAATTGATATCCTCTTATACCTATTCCTGCTCAACTTCCACACCCCTCCCCTCACTATTCACTTTCATATGATAACTTCATATACTTGGGATCAGAATCTAGCAAAGATTAAGGGAGGGGAAAGGAGAAAGAGTGGAAGTAGGAAAAGAAGTATATAATGTGCTTGTGTCTATATGCTAAAACCATTAAACTAAAAGCATTATTTTGAATTATTTTACCTTATTTAAAAGCATATTCTCTTTTTTCTTTGCCCCTAGTAATAGCTCCATCATGAGAGCTTGGATAAGTCCGAACATTTGGCAATGGACAAGCACACGGAAGTACCACCATTATTAGTATTCCAAAGTTGCCTGTAAAGACTGAGTTAACATGGTACCCTAAGCACTCCAAAGTCCCGTCCCTGCCTACAGAGCACTCTAGACTCCCCCCTCACTGAACTGTTTGCAGTTTCCCAATACATGGTTTTCCTCTTATGTCTTGACGCTGGCAGTATGCTTTTCCCTTTGCCTAGAACCTCCTTCCCCCTCTTTGTTCCATGATGTGCTTACAGTTTCAGTTTAGATATTACCTTTTACTAGAAGCTCCGGCTCCTCCTTTGAATGAGCATATGCTTCTGTCATGTTCTTTCAACATGTTTGATGCTCATCGCACAGTATTGTTCTGTCTGGTTCACTTGCTTGCCTCCCTGACATTAGACTGAGAGCTGCCACAGCGTGAAGACTGTGTCTGGTTCATTCTATTCATTTAGCAGAGTAGCTGATAACTGGTGAGCTATCAGCAAATCTAAATGAATGCACAATTAAAAAATGACAAACACAAAAATTCTTGTGAGTTTTTGAATCTGTTGTATACATTCAAATCAATTAAAAAACATTTTCTAAGACCCTGCTTTGTTCCTGTAACTTTACTAAGTGCTCCGTAAAGATGAATACATTTTAAGACAAAAGTCTTAAGAAGTTTACCATCTGGTGAGGGATTTACAATCTGATTCTGACGATAATCCAGTCTGCTGAACTATTGAACAACTGAAGGAGAGGAAGTGGCAAAAGTTTGAAGGGTTTCTTATTTCTATAAATCTGGCAGCCTAATAAAGGACAGAGAAGTATCAAAAGTTTTTAATCTAAAGTTGCAGGTAAAGAAAGATTGACCACTTAAAAATATAATTTCACACACCTCCAAGATTACTAACATAAAAGTTATTGTGGGATCTGTCCTTGTGAAGATATCTTGGCTTCTACACTATCATAAAATTAGAATTTAACTTTCCCTACAAAATCTGTTATCAGTTCTGGTTTCGTTAGTTTTCTGTGTGTGCCAAATTCAATAGAAGCTGTCTTAAGTGTTTTCCTCCTTATTAAACAGTTTTCTAAAATCCATAATTCAGTGAGACAGTAAGTAGTTGCCTTTATTTCTGTGTAATTCAGCTCTGCAAAGCCAACTGTGAATTCAGTGGGGGCATTCTTGTGCTAGCCACTTTTTGTTATCAGCTACTCCACATGAAAGAAGATTGCATTTCCCTGCTAATGGAAGAAACTGAAGGGGAGAATAAAGACCCTGAGTATTTTAAAATACTGGTTTGAATTGCAGCTTGAGATCTAAAGGTAAAGAGCTGTGCAAGTTCTGGAACAGATACATCATTTACTTATGTGAGACAAAGGGATTTCATTTTTCTTTTTCTTTAAATGAAATTACCCTTTCTATTTATGTACCGAGCCCAAACATTCACGCCTTAAAAGAAAGTTTCATTCCTCAGCACTCTATTCTTTTATCTTCTCATCTCTCATATTTTAAGTACATAAGGACATAAGCCTGAACTTTAATTTCAGCATTTCCAAAATATGTTGCTAGGAAGCTCTTTTGTTTCAAGAGAGACCTTAGGATAAATAGAGATTTTCTATTTCAGAAGGGTCTTCCAGTTGCAATATCTTCAATGCGGCTTCTCCAAAGACATTTTGTCCAAAATGTATGATTGTGATCTGAAGCAGAGATAAAACAAATCACAGAGACAATATGCTTTTCCATGCAGTTTTTACATTTTTGACATTCTTTGACTGTTAGTCTGCAAATGAATTTTGCTAACAGGGTGGTGAAAAACATCTCACAGGTGATTTTATTTCAAGAGACTTTTTCTCCCCACTTGTGTTTGATCAGAATACCTTTTTTTTTTTTGACAAATAGACTATATGTACATAATACATACAGGCTATACTTATTGGAAAAACCAAAACAAAGATAGTAAAACCATCCTAGCAAAATCTACTTTACTCCACTTTCATGCTTTGAAAGAGTTGGTGCAGGCCAAATCCCATTAAAGTGAATAGAGATTTGAGTTACGACGGTATTTGTGAAAACAGATTTGACGTATCTCTTTAATTAACAGATCTGGTATCAATAGAATTACTCTCTTTTGTTTCAATTGATAGGAAATTAGTTGCAAATGCTTTTTAGCATCTTGGGTGTTTTCCCCTGGGCTAACCACACTCTTCAGAATTTTTCTTTTAATAGCCTTCAAAAATCTAATTTTCAAGTTACATGGCAAATTCAGATACCACCTACATAAGGACCATGAGAAATGCTCCAAGAAGCAGCATCCAGTTAAGCTCATTTTCTACATTTCTGCTTTGGGTAAGCTGAGAAGCTGATCATATGAAGAAAATGACCACTATAACTTGACTTCTTATGACAAACTCATAACTAATCACATTTTTGCTAGGGGAAACTGGAGGTTATAATGGTTCAGTGTCTTAAGATCTCAAATTTAACTTTTGAAAGGTGGCTTGATATAGTGGGGTTAGCTAGAGCTGGAATCCAATTTTAGTCCTGATGTTAGATGTGCTACCTTGGTTAAGTAAACTCTGAGTCTTGTTTTCTTCATCAGCAGAATGGGTATATAACAATATCTACAATACAGAGTTGTCATGAGATTAATTTCTATGACTTATGGAGAGCACCCAACCCCATAGCTGGCACATGGTATATGATCGATCAATGTGTGCTCCCCTTCTTACCAACTCTTCCCTTACCTTGTCCTTCTTGGTTGAGCTAGGACTGTGGATGTTTTCCAGAGTGCAGAATGAGGATCTTGAGATTTAAAGGACTTCCTGTCCCCAAATGCTTGCCTGGCATATTCTCAGAATTTCCTTACTTTAGAAATTAATTTGTGAGAGGAGAGTTAAGGCTCTATATCTGCTAGTCCTCTGCTCAAAATGTTAAAATGTTAGCTGGCCTACGTAAATGGGAACATTCACTAGCTGCCCAGGTTTACTCAGCAGAGTCCTAGTTTTATCTTGGTCTGATTATTAATAGCAATGCTTTCACTCTCAAAAGTGTCCTGATTTCGCTGACAAATTATATGATCACCTGTGTTCCATGACAAGAGATCCTTCATTGTTAACTGCTGTATTTATGGCATCTAGCATGGTACATGGTTGTTGCACACCATACATTTGTTGTATAAATGATGCTATATCTGTTTTCTTAATAGTTAATGTAATATTTCTGAATATATCTGTAAAATTAGGACATATTACTTATGGAAAATTTGGAAACTTCCAAAAAGTAAAAGAAGAAGATAAAAAATTAAAACATAATTGCTAATATTACAGGATAGATTGCCTTATTACATAATTTTTTTGAAAACAGAGGACAATATCTTAAGCATATTTGTGATAAGGAGAGGTTGGAATATCAAATGTGTTGGTCAAATTGTCTGCCACGCTCATAACCTCTTCTGAATGGATAGTCCTAAATTGCTATGTTTTGTACTATGTGAACCTGCCCTACTCACTGGAGCTGGTTGTATAAGGGGTGAGTGTTGATCTAAGAATAGTCAAATCAAAGACTGGCCAGCAGCCCATGACCTGGTGCAAAATGATGAGCAGGGCTGATCATATTCCCTTTTTTGAAGCTGAACTTGAAAATTCAGTTAGCAGTGGGATCTGAAGTAGAAGGAAACTATAACGAGAAGCTATGAGGTAAGGTAGGGCTATGAGGGGGTCACAACAGGCTGAAGTTATGAAAAAGTAAAAGCTATGAGAGAGCAGAAGCTTTGAAGTAGAGGAAAGCTACACAGAATGGGGGGAAAGAATAAACCAATTGGTATAGAGAGGCAGCAGAGAGGGGCAGAGACATTATCAGAGAGAGATTGTGAAGGCTCTGAGCAAGACAAGGAGATAAAGAGCAGCTTGTTCTTAACCTGTCTTGGTTCCCAGACATTTCTCTGGCCTTGAACCGAGTTCATGAGTATCTGTATGATAACTCACTCGTTCTTAGGGGAGATGTTTTCCCTCTCTATTCTTGCAGCTATCCACAGTCCTAGTGCTGACAGTTGGTCTTCTTCCCAGTGTTTCCCCTAGAGTGTGTCTCCTGACCTTTGCAGTCCAAAGAATCTGGAACAACTGGCCAATTACAACAATGAGATGTATGCTGACTGTGGGGGACCTTGCAGGATTAGGATTTCCTGGTTAGATTACAAAGATGTAGGAGATCTCAGAGATCCCGACTGAAAGAATAACCACAAGATCTCTTGAGAACCTGAAAGCTGTCAGACAGGTAATCTACCCATTTTCCTTTCCCTCTTGGATCACATGGTGTCTCATCTTTGCCACTCTCTGCATATCTTCTTTGTTCTTTCCCACACCAGCTTCTTTTGAAGGCTCTTAGTTTCTGCTCCTTCATGACCCTGGATTGCATGTGACTTTGAGTTGTTGTGGTGTTGACTGGTGCTTAATCTCTGTGGCTTTCGAGATCTAGTGTCCAGCACTATCTGAGTAGCTGCAATTAGTATATCTTTTATATTAAATTCTCGAGAGAGTGGATCAGATGCATCTCCAGTCAGCTAATGAATTGGTTGCATTTGAGTCAGATGTTCTTCTGATCCAATGATCTGTGGCAAAGGTATGTAACTCACATGATCACCCTGCTCCCTCAGCTGGGGCTATGGATATTGATTCTCTGATTACCAGAGAAAGGGAAGGGCAAATTGAGCAACATTGATGTTACACCTTGGTGTCGCCCTGCTATTTAATCCTGATCTTTATTCCTAGTGCAAACTCAGCAGTTGAACTGCTCAGCAAGTTTCAGACCCTACCTGTGTCATGACTTCTAATATCTAGGGAGAGTTCCTTACTTCTACCTTTGCCCTGGCTCACCTTGCAGATTTTTTCCCCTTCTCTATTCTTGGAGCTGTCCACAGTCCTAGTGCTGACAGTTTGCCTTCTTCCCAGTTTTGCCCCCGGGGTCAGCCCGTGAATCCACACTTCTGGTAGCCAATCTTCGTCTTTCCTCAGAACTGGCAGTGCTATAAATGCTCACTCTGAAGGTGCAGAGAAAAGGCTGTGCTCCACATAGACTGGAATAAAGAAGTAGCTGAAAAAATTACACAGTCTTGAATACTGACAGATTCAGCACTACTTGCCTGAGGGCGCCAATTGTGTAAATTCTTCCCACAGCAATGTGACAATCTCTTAGCAACTCTGAGCTTCTCTAGTTTCAGTTTAACAGCAACAGGGCAGCAGACCACAGGGGAACTCATTTCATCCCATAGTGTGTTCACCAAAGCCACCTCGGCTTAGTTGTCTGTCTGAATCAGCATATCCTGATGAAGGGCTATTTGACCTTCTTTTCAAAATGTCTCAGTGGGAATGACAGAGAGATGTGAGGACTTGCAGCCTTTGGGAATTGTCCACTTGGCCAGCTGAGGCTCTGGGCTACACTCTGTCCACAGAGGCCCCTGTCATTTTTTGCAACTGCTCTTCCAGGTCCGGATCTTGTTCATTCCTTCTCAGGGAGGGAGAACCTCATGTTCATCACCTCTGCAATGCTTTGCACTTGCATTCTACAACATTTTCATCTGACACCACAGATTCTGTGGCTGTCGTTCTCTCAAGACTGTGTGGCCAGAATAGATTATATCTGACAAGTTGAAAGCCCCATAGAGCCATCTCCATGAAGGAGGAAAAAAAGTCAGACCAAAAATCGAAGGCTTACCTTTCTCTGTGTGGGTGTGGGGTCTATTTTGCTTAGAGAACAAAAGGAAAGCATTGAACTTGGAAGAGAGGAAAAATGTGGGAGTGTGTGTGCATGAATGTGTTTTTCATTGCTTTGTCTCAAGTGACTATGCACTTGGTCATTTGAACAAGTTGTTGACTTGCATACTTTCCCATTCCTCAAGTAGTATTAGAAAATAACTAGCAACCACAGGAATCCTATAATGTGTTTTTGAAGCCAGATCTTCTTAGTACATGGGCTACTGCATGCGAGTAAGTCAGACACTTTGTGAAACTTTGTAACTCTTTCAGGCAACAGAGGGACCATTTAGTAAATTAGTCCTTGAAATGGTACTCACAGAAGTTGTTAGCTAGGGTGAAATTACCAAAATCGTTCCCTGGTGACCTGAAAGAATCAGTGAGTTCTTAAAGTATTCTTAGAGAGTTTTCTACATGCAAAACATATATGACTCCCCTAATATGAATTCTATACCATGTATTGTGTAGGGGTAAGAGGCAGGCAAGCTTCTGGGTCACACAAGGGGCTTTTGATTGTGGAGCATTGCTGTAGCAGTGATGATTCTAATGATGAAGTTCTGAGAGGTATTTCTTTCTACAGAGCTCAATGAGGATTTTTTTTTTTAATTTTTAAATTTTTTTAGACTGAGTCTTGGTCTGTCATCCAGGCTGGAGTGCAGTGGCACAATCTCTGCTCACTGCAACCTCCACCTCCTGGGTTCAAATGATTCTCATGCCTCAGCCTCCCGAGTAGCTGGGATTACAGGCATGTGCCACCAGGCCCAACTAATTTTTGTATTTTTAGTAGAGATGGGTTTCATCATGTTGGCCAGGCTGGTCTCAAACTCCTGACCTCAAGTGATCCACCCGCCTTAGCCTCCCAAAGTGCTGGGATTATGGGCGTGAGCCACCGCACCCAGCCTAGTGAGGAACAATTGAGATTACCTGTGCAGTTAGCCAAATAGAGTCATGGTCAGCGAAAGCTGAACTGGAGTACTAGCAGTGTAGACACCAAATCTTCTTTTCCTAAAAAAGAAGATTTCTTTAATAGAAAATAATTTCTCTAAATCACCACTTGGAGAATTAATAGAAAGATTTTAATTTCCAGGTTTGTGCAAAAGTAACTAGAAAATCATTAGTGAGCTACGACAATAGCTCATAATTTTTTGATTCCTCTATTGCAGAAATTAAGTATTTATCTGGAGAAGATACTGAGAGATACCTACTCAATATTGACTATCACCTTTTTTCTTATATAGAATGTTGATTTTATTGGAGAAGTAGTTTGCTTACCTAAAATATACTAGATTTCCCAGGATTCCTAGAAGATGAGAGGTGCATAAGACTAAATCCTAGCCAATGAGATGCAAACATAAGTTGTTGGGTGTGTCTTCTGGTAATGCTCCTTAAAAATAGGCAATGACTCAGCTGGCATGCTCCTTTTGTTCCTTGTGTTTTCCCTTCTTCCTACTAGGAATGAGAAAATGCCGTTTGGAGTTCTAGTAGCCACTTTATATGTATGAGGCAGCCTTGAGGAAAGGAGTCACAACTCAAAGATGTCAGAGAAGAGGGATGGAAAGTCTACAATGAGGTTGCAGAGCCCCTGTACCACATCTAGTGTGTTTAAGCCCTGTTTTCAGGTCTCTGCTCCTCACAATTGAGCACATTTTCTAACTGATACAATATGCAAGGCTGGAATCCCACATGTTTTACTCTTAAATAGAAGTTATTCTGTTCACACAACAGGAACATCAGTAGGGAATAAGATTCTAAAATCCAGCCAGCCTATCCATATGGATGGGCACCATATGGCCTTTCTTTGCTGCCAAGGCCAGTCTAACAGACACAGGGAAGAATGTCAAGTGCAAAGTCAATAATGACATTCTAGAATACATGAAATGGAGACAACCTGAATAACCTTGAGATACTATAGAGGTATTGATTCTGAAGTGTTTAAAAGAAAAATACCTTATAGTGTGTACTGACCATATTTTATGAAGTCCATAAAGCAACTCTTTTATCTTGAAACCATCAAATTGGTCAGCTGTTTTAATTACTGTTGCCTGCATTATTTATCAGATCAACTACGTAGGAGATCACTTTGGTTACATTGTGTCCATTTTTGTCCTTAATCCATGTTGATTTTACAGGTACATACTTAGAGCTGCATGGGAACTTGAGTACATTCTGTCTTCATTTTCTATCTCCCAACATAACAAAAATCCACCCCAACATGTATAACTGCACATTTGCTCTCATATTCTGCTTCCAGAAGGTCCACATTGCATAATAATGGCCTCCATTTATTTGATATACAAGGCATTGCACTCTATGAATTGGGTATTGTTATCCTTATCTCACAGATGAAGAAATCGGGGTTCAGAGAACTTTCAAAATTTGCCAAAGATTACGGTACAGGTGGGATAAAAATCCAGAACTGTGTAACCAAAATCCATTGTTTTAACCACTCTTTATTCATTCAACAAGTATTTGTTGAGCATTCACTATGTGCTAGATAATATTTCAGGCCTTAGGGATGAAAAAGTGAAGAAAAATTACAAACATTCCCTGCTTTCCTGAAGGTGAAGTTTCTTTCTCTCTCTCTCTTTTTAAATGTTAGGCTTGTGACTGTAGTCTTAGCCACTTGGGAGCCGAAGGCAGGAGGATGGCTTAAGCCCAGGAGATCAAGGCTGCAGTGAGCTATGATTGCACCACTGCACTCCAGCCTGGTTGACAGAGTAAGACCCCGTCTCTAAATAATAATGATGATAATAATAATAATAATTTAGTGGGGAAGATAGGCAACAAACATACTAAGTTATGTGCTGTAAGTAAATTATGTGTGATAAGTAAGGAGACGATGGAGCAGGGTAAGATACAGCGAGCACATGGTGGGGACAGCCAGGGACAAGGTTGTGGTATTCAGTAGGGAGATTAGGGAAGGCCTCTCTGATGAGGTGGCACCTGAGCAAAACTTTGAAGGATGTGATGGTGTGAGCCATGTGGATATTTGCTGAGAAGAGAGCATTCGAGGCCAACAAATAGCTGGTGCAAAGGCCCTGGGCTGAGAGCACACTAGCATGTTTGACAGACAGTGAGGAGGTTGGAGTGGAGTGAGGGTAGGGGGGTGGATAGTAACTGGAAAAGAGATTTGAGAGGGAACAGAAGGCCAGATTATATAGGGTCTTGTAGACAACTGTGAAGACTTTGGTTTTTGCTTTGAGAGAAATAGGGGCCATTTGACCTGAGAAGTGATGTGATCTGACTTATGTTTCAGAGGACCACTCTGGCTGATGTGTGGAGAATAGACCGAAGGGAGGTATAGATGCGGGGTGTCCAGTGAGGACTGAACAGAGTTAGGCTGCAACTGTGTTCTACTTCACAGGTGATTAGAGAACACTGTCAGAAGAGGGACTTCTGTCCTCCTCGTCCTTTTAATGTTTTTTGATTAAGGGGGTAAATAGTGGAACGGTAAGGGTAATAGCAGACAATGGCTTCAGCACATGGAAGTGGGTCAGGGCTGGGGGGAGGTGGTGGTGGTGGAGGAGGAGCAGAAGTCTCAGCTGTCTCCTCCATTCTTCTTTTCTCTCTTAGGGAAATGTGCAGGCAGAGGCAGGCACTGTCGGGATGGACATCTTCAGAAAGCATGTAAGTGAAACTTTCCTGGGACCAAAGTTTTGAGCATTTATTTTTCTTCATTAATTCAATGAATATTTATGCAGCCATCATATAGCTTAAATTGTGGGGGAAACTGACAATAAACATTAGGCATGATAAATATGCAAATTATACAATGTGTTAGGTTGTAACCTGAGTTGTAGAAAAATGTGAGACAAGGTAGGTAGGAGTTCCCTGAGCTGGGAAAGGGCAGGTTGACGTATTAATGGGGTGGTCAGGGTAGGCTTCATTGAGAAGGTATTCTGGTTTGGTGGCCAGCAGGCCTTGATAATTTCACACCGTCATTAACTAGAGACACTGTGCTATCACCTTTTCTTTTGTATTGTGCTCCCTGCTGGTAAGGAAGATAAGTCGGCTGACATCTCTTCCTTCTCTCCCACTGAGTGGAGAGGGCTGCTGCTGCTGAGCTCATTTTGTATTCTTCCCTGTCAGAGTCTCAATCCTGTTGACTCCTTAGAGCCTTGAAGGGAGATCAAGATTGGCTCCTTCTCACAAAACGTGAGCAACTCCTGCTCTAGCTGAATTGGTTTTCTGGGGAAACTGCAACTTCTTGTCATTTATAGATATTGTTTCAGTATCATTGTGGGAACCCCTGAGATTGGGTTAGCATTGCCTGCATCTATATGATACAATATGGGTAATGAAAACATTCATCAATCAATTTTTTCTTCTTGCTTTCCCCTCTGTTTATAAATACCTGATAATGGACTATTTGAGCACATTGTCAAGTAGTTCTTTAAATTTGGTCTCAAGGGGATGATGGTTCAATCAGCTATGTGATGGTCTTTAATGTCTAACTAGTCATTTTCTGTTTAAATGAAGTGATTTAATAATTTTGAACAAATGTAAGGACAGTGTCAACTCTAGATAATATTTACAAGAATTACCTAATGTAAGCATTATCTAGAAGAGTAGAATTCAGCACTTTTCAAAGTGTATTCCATGGAACAACAATCTTATTTGGTGTTCTCAAAAAAAAAAAAAAAAAGGGGATTCAGTGGTCAAATAAGTTTTGGAAGTACTGCATGCTGCAGCCCTGTCCTGGAGATTCTTGATGCTCATTGGTTTTTTAATAGCTTTGAGAACTTTTCAATAAATGAACTTACTTTGTTTAATTCAGTGTTTCCCAAACTTATTTGATTATCTATTTGTCATATAACCATCAATTAAATCCTATGGGACTACCAGTTTACAAAATGTGCTCTGGGAAAAGCTGATGTGGCTGAAGTTAAATTTCCTAGAAAAATAAAACAGAATTGCTTATTAATGGGATTCAACCAATGTTTATTGAATGAATGAGCACTGAAGTTCATTTAATGCTGAGTTGAATGTTAAATGTTGAAATGTGTAGCTTGTGGGTGAGTTACACTTTTGAACTTATTTTTGTTCCTGATGTTTATTGTGATTACAGTGCTAAAAGTTTCTATATAGTTTTCTAAGTCTGAACATTAGGAATCTCACATTGATTTAATTTTGAATTTATTATATAGTCATAAAATAGACAGGGTCTCAATAGTCATCAACTTCCTAAAGCTATGTAAGGAAGGCACTAGTGGCATTTAAACAAACCAAAGATATGGCTTCTAATGTGTGACCCTGCTCTAATTGTCCCAAGTAACTGCTGTGATAAAATTTATTTCCTCAAATAAAAACAAAAGAGATCAGGCTTAAATATTGATAATTTGTTCTAGAATTAGGGAGTTTCTTACCATTGCCCACAACATGATAATATTTTTGAGACTTAAGATGAATACTTTTAGTTTTCTAAACTCTTCCAAGATTTTGAAGTACTAATCATAAGGATGTCTGAGATGGCAATTGATTTTGGCAGTGCTAAATAGTCAAAACTAGTTTAAACTTCTCTTTTTTAACCTCTGCCTCTTAAGCCGATTCTCCATTGCGTATGCAAAATGAAATTAAAATACATACTTCTTTTGCTGAAATGCCCTTAGAAGATTTCTCTGGAAAATTTCTTTTTCATAAATGATCATATCTTTAAAGTCTTCTGTTACAGTGGACATTCTATTTTCTCTCATTCCTTATTGAGTAGGAAGTCAGGGGACAATTGAGTCTTTGTAATCTTGAACCAAAAATTTACTTTTTAGTAGAGGATAACATTTTTCATTTTTTGTCACATTGTCTAATGTTTCAACTCAATAAGTTTGACTTATCTGAACAATTTTTTTTAAAATGATAATCACTTTTTCTCTTCAACGAAGAAACAGGACAAATTTTGCCCTGGAAAATAAGTGTTGTATTGCAGTGATTCCTTCATAATTTTTGTGAAAAATGTTGGCGTGCTCACTATGGTGTGTTCTGTGTACCATATATTTTCATGCTTCTCCTTGTGATTCCCTCCCTGTGGGAGGATGATACATTTCTTTCCTGTTGAGCTTAGGCTTGTCCTGGTGACTTGCTTTGGCCAATAAAATAAGAACAGAGGTGATATGTGGCACTTCCAGCATAAGCTTGTAGAGCCATCTCATGGTTTGCCATATGCTTTTTTCCCACCCTGCTCTGGAAACCTGTTTTGTCTGAGTTAGAGGTTGTTGCATCATTCTAGATCTTAGAGTGAAGCTGATGGGCAGCAGATCCACAGCCAACCAGCAATTGATACTTCTAAAAGGAAGAGAAAAACCCTTGTTGTCAAGAGGTTCAGATTATTTGTTCTTGCTCATAACCCACTCTATCTTGACTAATACAATCACCCTCCTCATTGTAATATTTCTAACTTTCCTTTCTAAAAACTTGATATAAATACAACGAATTCAAACAATCATCTATCAGTTAATCAATATTAAATAAATAGAATAAATTTTCAACAAATTGATACAAAGCTAACTTTCAACATCAGCAAACAATAAACTCTTTAACCACTGTAACATAGCTAATCACTGCTATCTAGTTTTAAGTAATGAAGCAAACAAAAATATAGGCTCCACTGCAATGCTGCTGTTTAATGGACCGATTACAATGATTCTTGAATGTGAACATGATATTTTTAATCTAAACCTTTTTTATTCGGACCTTAATAACTGTCTTTGTGAGTTGCAATTTAGTCTCTCAAAAGCACCAAAAGAAAAAGCAAAATTAAATTTTTAGTAACTTGTGTTTACATACAAATGATTCTTTGAGGCAGTGGTAGTTAATGCAATAAGCCCCTAGAATATCATTTTACAGATGCACATATTTTTCTCAGGTGAGAGTAGACTTCATTGGTGTTAGGGCAGTGCTGATTCTGATGAATTATTTAATTCATAAATAACAATCAATAATTATTATTTCTGTAGATTTTCCCCCAGGAAAAGTGAAAGGAGTACTTGATAAATTTTTTAGGTGAATATGAGAGATGCCATTCTTGAGGGCTTTTAGGACTTGCAATTCTTAGGGCAAATATATATATACATGTTTTGAATTTGTAAAGTACATGAAAATACTGAGATTATTTTATTTTGATACAGAATTTTAGAGTTTGGGTCACTGATAAAACCAAATATTAATCTTGGAAACTGAATAGCACAATTAATTCTGTTGGAACTGGCTCATAAACAGGTAAGGAGGAAACAGGTTAACTTTCCTCATTTCTGGACATAAGCAATTCTCTTTCAATTTCTTGAAAAATCCTAATCTCTTCCAATGGGAAGAATATTATTTGAAAAATGCCCTTCAAGCAGTTGGTATTAATCTTGTTTGAGAAAAGTATGATTTTATTGTCAGAAGCTTTAGAAAAAAATAAATCTTAAATACATTTCCCCATCTATAACCCAACTTGGCTTATTACCCCCCGACAGTTTTCCTGAAAAAAGGCAAGAAACTTAGAATGCTTTAATTTTTCTCTGAACAAAATGTCATCTTCTATATATTGTTCTCATGTTTTAGCTCTACTGTGTTATTAGATTACCTTTCAAAATTAGTTACTGTGGTTATTATTTTATGGAGCCTATATTTATTCAGATTTGCAAATAAAAATAGATTTTTTTCCCACCATTACTTCTTGTATCCCACTCCATTGTTGCTTTTTTGCTTTTTGCTCAAATTCAGTTTTTAGTTGTTCTTTCCTAGTGTGGTAGGGCAGGGAGCATGTCTATAAATAGCAAACTTCCTTATTCTTTGTATGCCTAAAAATGTCTTTTTTTTTACTCTCACTTATTAGTTTCACAGGGTAGAGAATTCTAGGTTGACAGTTATTTTTACTGAACACATTTAAAATGTTTATGCTTTGTCTTCTGACAGGTGTTTCTGCTGATTACAAGTCTGCTGTTAGTCTGATTGTAGTTTATTTGTAGGTAAACAGTCATTTCTCCCAGGTAGTTTTAAAAATTGTCTTTACTTTTGTTTCTCTACAGTTTCACTATGATGCATGTTTTTTAAAAAGTTCTGCTAAGAACTCACTATGCCCTTTAAAATCTAATGATTTATGCCTTTATTCATTTCAGGAAACATTTCACCGTCATCTCTTTGAATATTGTCTCTCTCTAAAGACATTATCTCTCTTTACGAAACCCTATTATATGTATGCTAAAGCTTCTCATTCTATCCTTTGTGTTTCTTAACTATTTCCTTCCCCAAATTTTTGGTGATTGCCTTACCTCTTTACCTTTCAGATCACTAATTTCCTTTTCTGTTATGTCTAGTGTATAGTTTAAGTCATCAATCGATTATTTAAATGACCATGGTTTTTGTCTTAATCTGATTGAGCTGCTATAAAACAATATCATAAACTGGGTGGTTTCTAAACAACAGAAATTTATTTCTTACACTTCTGGAGACTGAGATGTCTAAGATCAAGAAGGAGGCAGATTTAGTGACTGGTGAGCACTCAATGCCTAGTTCAAAGACTGCTATCTTTTCGCTGTGTCCCCACATGGCAGAAGGGGCAAGGGAGCTTTCTCAGATCTGTTTTATAAGGAACTAATCCCATTCATGGGGTCCAGAGCCCTCATGACCTAATCACTTCCCAAAGGCTCTACCTCCTAATACTATCACCTTGGAGGTTGGGATTTCAACATTGGATTTTGGGGGGACATAGCAGTCTTCATTTCTAAAAATTTTGTTTTGTTTAGATTTTTCTTTCTCAAGTCTGCCTGTTCTTTTTCTAAAGCACCTTGGTCTTGTCTTGTTAATACTTTATTTATCTTGTGGGACATTATTAATGTACTTATTTTCAAGATTTCATTTTAGATTGTTCAATTATCTTAATTTTTCCCAGCTATAAATTCCCCCTTTATGACACTTGCTTTCTCAGGGCTTTGGGTTTCCCTGTGTGTTTTACAATTTTGGATTATGAGCTCATCGTCAGTTGGCTTTGTCTCCTGGGGAAGGCTTGTTTGTGCCATGAGTTGAAGAGGCACCTCTATTAGGGACTGTTGCCTAAGTCTTTGCTAGGGCTCTGTGTTTTTCCATGGCTCTGAAACTGTTTTAATGTTAGTTTCTTGGCTACAAACATTCTCATGCCACTTAAATAATGTGAATTCAGGTCACACATTCAATCCTTTTAGTTCAGAAAAATGTGAAAATAAGCCATAGAGTTGCTATTGAGAGTGTTTGGCACTAATGAGAACTTTAAAATTTCTATCTGGAAGGTGGGTAGAGGCTGTTAAAGAATCTGTCTTAAAGTTGTATCTGCAATTTGCATAGCAAACATAGTACTTTTACTATATTTGCATGTTTATTTGGAATAACTTGGAGATAGGCTGATGGAAATATGGTATGGTCTTTAAATTGTGGTTAACAGTAATAACAGTGTTTTACTTAGAATATGTGTTTATTTGGAGTATATTGAGAAGTGCTGACAGAAATAATGGTGGGTGAAAATCATCTCAAGCCTCCTCTTGTGGTTGGAGCTAAATATACAGTCTGGAATAATATATAAAGGCTCTGATCAGCCACAGTGCCTCTCTGAAGAGGTCAGGGAAGGGAACTCTTGATAAACATATCTTTTAACACCTATGCTTCTGGATTAAATTTAAAAAGTGTTAAATAATGTTTAGGTTTATTTTGAATTACATGACAGTTGACCTAATCAAGTGTGGGATATTGGATTGCTTAAGATTTCAGAAAATAAGCTAAAATCAATCAAAACATTTAAGTTTCTCAATTTAATTTGATATGACCCTGAGCTTTTGCCTCATATAAAACCAAGAAGAGGAAATTTAAATTAAAAATGAAAGAAGATCTTTATTAACTTGGACAGAAAGAGCTTTGATTATAGTCTTTCTTTCTCCAATCAGTGAGATGTCTGGCAGCGAACCTTAGGGACTCCAGAGTTGCAACAAATTAAGAGAAGAATACTGCTGTTCCAGTGACAGTGTTTGGAGAGTGTAAAACAATACTAAGTCCAGGAGGGCTTTGTCTTGAATGTAAGACCTGAAACTCAAGGAGGTTAAAAATGAAGAAATAATGGGATATCCAGGTTGTTGGTTTAATAATTAGCACAAGAATAAAAATAAGTAGCCTGGATTGAGTTTGGGAGAGAGGAGGCACAGTATTTGGTCCCACTCTTAAGTTTTTGGAAGTAAGATAGAATAGGTTCTTTTCCTTTTCGGTTTTTTTTTTTTTTTTTGGTAGAAAGGATATATTACTAGAAGAGGGATGGGAGTGGGGGCAGCATCTCACTTTGGTTATATGTATGTCCAAGGTCTTTGGAGATAGACTGCATGACTTCCAGGTCTACTCTGTCAGTTCCTTGAGGTGGGTGATGGTAAGAAGTTGCTTAAACTCTCTATGCATCATTTTCCTTATCTGCAAAATTGGGAAATTTGAGTTGTTACAGGAAGCAGATAGTCTTTGTAGAGTGTTGTGCTGCCTCACAGGAGTCTATGGTGTTCCTAAGGGAAATTGGTGCTGAAAAATAGGGATTTTAAGTTATAATAGGTTCTCAGGAATGCTTCCCTTACATATAATTGAATTACCTTCTGTATGCTTATGTGTATTTACCTAGGGGGTTGAGGGAGTGACAGGAGCCATAGCTTTTTTTGGATTTTCAAAATTATTCAAAATCCCTGAAAGGGATTTGTCCTAAAATTTCTACAGGGGGACAGGACAGTCCTAATTTGTGTATGAAATATATTGGAGTTGATGTAGTTCTCATTTCAATAAGGTGAGTATTTGAGCACATTGGAACATCAGTACAGATTGGGGAGAGGTATGTTCCCATGGCAACAAGAGTCCTTATAAGAAGGTCCAGAAATACGCACCTACAAGGACTTTCCTTGGGACCACATTTGAATTAACCTTTAGGAACTTCTGAATTTGTTGGGTGGATTGGATTGTAGCTGTGGTCCTCCTAATTCTTTAGGTATTTAGAGGTTGAACCAAGGAAAGAACTATTGCATCTTATTTCTACTTTGATTTTGCTGTAACTCCATGTCCCTGGCCAAGACATTTAATTATCTACTCCTATATATATCTTTGACTGGAGCATGTGGTTGTCAGTGACTTATTAGCTTCATTGTATCAAGAAGACTTGTGGTTTGATTCACAAATGTAATGGTTATTTAGGTTATACCAGTTTCTTATAATCTGTCACTTACTTTTCATTTGTTCTTTGAAAAATTCAAAATTAGTGAGGGACATTCTCTGGGTAATGCTTACATTTTCCACTCAGACTTGAAATGTCAGCTGAGATTTAGCGATTACTTAGAAAAAGGTGGTAAAGTACCTTTGAGTGGACCAGCAGAATTCTAGTGCAATGCAAACACAGGTTCGAGGTGGAGGAGTCAGTGGTCTTAGTTGGGGTAGTTTCATCCTATTCTCCTTAGCCAGGTACGTTGCTCTCTGCTTCCTGGCATTGACTCTGTGCACCTGTCAAAATGACCTCTTCACATTCCCCTGCCAATGTTTGCCTATTTCTACCTATAATTTTGCTCATACCGCATTGTTTTACTTCATGGGATGACTCTTTATGTTTATCTCCTTATTCTACCCATTTTAAAAGTCTCTCCTTAGAAAGTTTTCACTGACTAATTCTGCCTCTAGTGATCCCTCACTTATTATGTGTACAATCCTTCATCTTGTCTTCCTCTTTGAATTATAAGCAACTAAAGGATGGGATAGTGGCAGAGACTGACTAACTGTTCAAATTCATTCCTCTTTTTGGGAGTATAGTTAGACCATGTCCTCAGAATGCTTTGCCTTGCAGTTAGATGTGACCATGAGACTGAGTTCTAACTGAAGCAATATAAGCAGAAGTGATGAACACTACTTCCAAGTCTGACATTAAAATATCCTACACATGGTCCTCTATGTTCTTTTCCCATATGCTGGCTGAATGTAGAGGTTTGAGGGATTTAGGCAAGGGCAAATCTGCAAGATGGAAGGGGCTTAGGTCTCTGAAGTATTATATGAAAATATTCCACCAACCAGGAATAATTACATTATACTGTTAGAGGATAAGCAACCAACTTACCAACTTACCATGTATTAAGCCACCAGGGTCTTGGGGCTTCTCAGGGTAGTAGCTAGTGTTACTCTAACAAATATAGAGGTGAATTATATTATATTTGTTTCCCTCACAGTACCTAGGATAATGTAGACAGAGGTTCCATCAATGCTGGCTGCCTCCTCCAAAATGTCAATATACTGACCATCACCTTCCAGAGCAAAGAGAAGTAGGATGATGTTCTGCTCAGGTCTGGAGAGTGGGAAGTAGGACAAAGAAGAGATGTTAGCAGTAGATGGCCCAGTGTGAAGGTACATAGGGTAGTTAAGGCACATACCTTTGGTCTTCTACCCTGGTCAATGGCATCAAATAAACAAACAGTATTGTTATTGATTATTATATTAAGTAAATATCAGGAAAGGTATTGATATTGATTATTACATTAGATAAATGTGCAGAGTAGTGGTGTTATTGATTTTTATATTCAACAAATATAAGGATGGACAAAATTCACACCCCAGCCAACACATCTTAAAATGACTTAAGGTTTTGAGCACAATTCTGGGACAGGGACTTATTTTATGATTAATGTTTTAGAATATCTGAGAACTTTTCTCATCGAATTCCCATTAAGAAACAAATCAATTAGGGACACATATGCATCTGTCTATAAAAAGCCTTGGAGCTGGCAGCATCATTGTCAGCAAAAAAGACCCATGGGATCTATCAAATACCAAATGTTGAACAGAGCCCCTTTAAGATATGGGGCCAATTAAAGAAATCAAACTGAGAGATGGAACGCATTTGCAAAAAGCAGGAAAATTTTAGTTATGTGTAAAATGTAAACAAGGTGATATAGTTTGGCTGTGTCACCACCTAAAATCTCATCTTGAATTATAGTCCCCATAATCCCCATAATCCCCACATATGAAGGCAGAGACCAGGTGGAGGTAATTGAATCATGGGGGCAGTTTCCCCCATGTTGTTCTCATGACAGTGAGTTAGTTCTCACGAGATCTGTTGGTTTTATGTGTTTGGTAGTTCCTCCTGAGTTCATTCTCCCTCCTGCGGCCTTGTGAAGAAGGTGCCCTGCTTCCCCTTTGCTTCTGCCATGATTATAAGTTTCCTGAGGCCTTCCCAGCCATGCAAAACTATGAGTCAATTAAACCTCTTTCCTTTCTAAATTACCCAGTCTCAGGCAGTTCTTTATAGCAGTGTGAGAAGAGACTGATTCACAAGATTTTCTATGATTAGAGGCCTACAGTTTTGTATCTTTGAGGTGGAGAAATGGTAGCTACATAGGGTAGGTGAAGCAATCCCTCATTTACACATGCTGGGGGTAAAGGGCAAAAAAATCAAGTTATCCAGTTTGTGACTGTGGGACGGGAATACATGGTTGTTACTGAAGCTTGTTTATTTTTTGAAAAATTCAAGTAATAAAAAAATTCTTGGTTTTAACCAATATATATTTCAATGTTAGATTAAAACAACCTAGAGAAGGACTGATAACAGGATAAGAAAAGGGTTCAAAATAGTATTTGTGGGAAGGCATTTCCTCGTGTTGGGAAGGATGAAGGAAGAGTTAGAGATGAAGATGCCATAGAGAGGTGGAATACCAATGTACACATTCAGAAGAATCTGAGAAATGTGTTCTGCAGGGAAGGAGGCACAAAAGAATGTTCATATACACGACATATGCAAGCAGTGAAGACACCATTAAGGCTGTTGCTGTTGTCTTGCCTAGACAACTTCCCCCCTTTGATTGACTCTTGTCATTCAGGTCTCAGTTTAGATCTTTGCTGACTACCCCATGTAATGTTGCTCCATCAGCCATTGTCTTCACATTGTAATGGTGAATTTTCTTCATAGAACTTACTGTGTTTAAAGTTTTCTAAGTCATTTACGTGTTTGCAGTCCATCTGCCATGGCAACAGGGATCTCATCTGGCTTGTTCATCACCATACTCTGAGCACCCAGACTAGGACCTGGCACAGAGGAGGCATTCAATAAACGTCTTCATCAATTCAGGCTGCTGTAAGAAGTCATCATAGACTGGGTTGCTTAAACAACAGACCTTTATTTCTTGCAGTTCTGGGAGTTGGGAAGTTCAAGGTCACGGTGCTGGAAGATTTGGTGTCTGCTGAGGGCCACTTCCTCGTTCAGAGATGGCTGTCTTCTCATTATATTCTCACACATTGGAAAGATGGCAAGCTAGCTCTCTGGAATCCCTTTTGTAAGTGCACTAGTCCTATTTATGAGGGCTCCACCCTCATGACCAAGTGACCTCCACAGGCCCCATCTCTGATACCTTGACATTGGGGATTAGGATTACAACATAAAAATTTTGGGGAATCACAAACATTTAGTTCATTTAAACACATATCTATAGAATGGATGAATCAGATACCTGTCCTTTGTAGTAGAGAATTTGCCTCTGAATCAAAATCAGGTGAAGGAGGAGCTTAAGAAATACCTAAAAACTTTCTGTGACTAAGGGAAGGGCCATCAGCACATATTATTTAGTTATCCTGCTTCAAATATAAAAACATTGAACAGAAGTTAAGCTGACAACATGTTACAAACAACAGCCACGATCTTCTGACTCTGAAATTCTTGATTATTTTGCTGCCCATTTTATACATTTCACTCTTCATTGTTTGGGGGGAGTCATATTTAGGAGGAAAACAAGTTGTTTGGCCACTTGGATAAAGCCATTGGCTGCCTCAGCAAATCCTCTGCTTTGGCTGGGGGCACTCTGACCCGAATGAGTAACAGGTGGTGAATTAACAGTGTGATTTGCATTTTTGAGGGTATGTGCATGCAGAGTCTCGCTTATATTGGTCTATAGCTCTTTATATTACAATGTGTTTATATTTAAAGAAATAGAAAAGGAATTATTGGCCTGCTTTTGTCATGGTTGTACTATAATCCACCATGAGAAATCATAATATAATTTCATTTTTCCCTTGGTTTAATGCTGTTAAAGAAGCCAGCTCTCAGTCTGAGGAAACAAATCTACTTTTAAGCATACCTGCATGCAAATGGGTTGTGGAGGTGGTTTATCCTTTTACATAATAAGTTAGAGAATTCTCTTTTTCAGTGGAATAGATGTATAGATTAATAAACCCCGACTAGGCACACGGATACGTGGAATCAATGTAAGCCTGGTTAGAGATGACAAAGAGCTTCACGCTCGAGTGCTTTGCAGCCTAATTCAATAAAACAAAATGAAAGGCAAATGCTTGAGGAGTTGAAGAGAGGATCTTTATGAAAATATTAAAACCTCTGTACAAAGAAAGTCATATTCTTTTTTGAGCTTGCTCCCAATATTGCAATGTAATATATGGGCCTCTTTCGGGGGAAAAAATTAAAGGCGCTTTGTGATTTTTTTAACAAAGCAACAAAAAGGAACCATTTTGAATGTAGAAGCCTACACTTTGGTCTTTAACTGGAAAGTAAAATGCTGAGATAAAACTAGATTTTTTTCCCCCATCAATTTGCAAAACTAAAGTCTGAATCTAAACTGAAACAGCGACAGCATGAAAAGCTATTCACGGGTCTGCAGCCATCTCTGATTCTATCAATTTGTTTTCCAGTCTTTGTTGTGATTCCGTGTTTCTCATGGATCTCTGGAGACAGCTTCCGGCTTGAGGAGAGAATATCAATAGCCCACATGTTCCTCTAGGAGGCTTCCCTGCGACAGTCACGATGCTTCCACAGATCAGATCTTCTCTTTCTTTAATGATAGTGTAAAACAACAAAAATTATTTATTTTTGGGAAACATGAAAATCAACAAAGCAGTAATGTCTGAGTGAGAATATAATTTTGCTTCCTCTTTGTGCAATAAGCTCAAAGGCAAAAAGTAAGCATCAATTGGTCTCTTTTCTGTGATTTCATAAATCCATAATTATATCACATGCATTTAAAAATGAAGCAATGACCTTAATAAATTTGGACAGAACTTAGACACTACAATGAAATAAGTACTGGACTTTCTAACGGAGTCTGGAAGGCCTGGTTTCTGGCTGAGCTCCATCAGGTGACAAGTGGGTCATCTCCGATAAAACCCCTAATTCCCCTGAACTCTATATTTCACACCCATAAAATGGAAATAACAATATCTGCTGTTCTAATCTCACAGGGCTGATGAAATATAACATGGCATGTACGCAAGAATCTAGAAAATGTTCGAAGCATGTGTGAATACAACATGCTGTCAAATTATTAGAGAAGTTACACTTTTCTTTAATATTCATACCATTCTCTAGGAACTCTGTCCTGTCCAGAAAATCCTACAACGCCTCCCAGGTTCACGCCATTCTCCTGCCTCAGCCTCCAGAGTAGTTGGGACTACAGGTGCCGGCCACCACACCCGGCTAATTTTTTGTATTTTTGGTAGAGACGGGGTTTCACTGTATTAGCCAGGATGGTCTCGATCTCCTGACCTCTTGATCTGCCCGTCTCGGCCTCCTGAAGTGCTGGGATTACAGGCGTGAGCCACCGTGCCCGGCCAACGTTTGTTTTTAAGAGAAGAATTGCTGCTTTCAGTTGTATATTTTGTATTTTAAAATATGTGTGTTTACGTATATGTAAATATTTATATTTTTCTGGCTTTTTCTCTCTTCTCCCTCTTCCCAGCCCCTTAGTTCTTTCTGATTTCCTTGAACATTCAATTCAGTGTTATCTCCTTTAAGAAACTTGCCCCATGCCCAAGGCTGGATTGGTCCATACTACTGTGCTTTAAAAAAATTTTTGAGTTTATCTTCAGTTACATTTTCAACATATCTTATGTTTATTTTTCTGTCTCTTTGGTAGATTGTGAGTATCTTTTTTTTTTTTTTTATTATACTCTAAGTTTTAGGGTACATGTGCACATTGTGCAGGTTAGTTACATATGTATACATGTGCCATGCTGGTGCGCTGCACCCACTAATGTGTCATCTAGCATTAGGTATATCTCCCAATGCTATCCCTCCCCCCTCCCCCGATCCCACCACAGTCCCCAGAGTGTGATATTCCCCTTCCTGTGTCCATGTGATCTCATTGTTCAATTCCCACCTATGAGTGAGAATATGCGGTGTTTGGTTTTTTGTTCTTGCGATAGTTTACTGAGAATGATGGTTTCCAATTTCATCCATGTCCCTACAAAGGATATGAACTCATCATTTTTTATGGCTGCATAGTATTCCATGGTGTATATGTGCCACATTTTCTTAATCCAGTCTATCATTGTTGGACATTTGGGTTGGTTCCAAGTCTTTGCTATTGTGAATAGTGCCGCAATAAACATACGTGTGCATGTGTCTTTATAGCAGCATGATTTATACTCATTTGGGTATATACCCAGTAATGGGATGGCTGGGTCAAATGGTATTTCTAGTTCTAGATCCCTGAGGAATCGCCACACTGACTTCCACAATGGTTGAACTAGTTTACAGTCCCACCAACAGTGTAAAAGTGTTCCTATTTCTCCACATCCTCTCCAGCACCTGTTGTTTCCTGACTTTTTAATGATTGCCATTCTAACTGGTGTGAGATGATATCTCATAGTGGTTTTGATTTGCATTTCTCTGATGGCCAGTGATGATGAGCATTTCTTCATGTGTTTTTTGGCTGCATAAATGTCTTCTTTTGAGAAGTGTGAGTATCTTAAGAGTGGACTTTGTTTCTTATTCATGTTTGAATTCCCAAAGCCTAGACAGTGTTGGCCACATTGTAGGCACTCAGAAAATTTTGTTGTATTACTAATGGCTGTTCTTATCAAAAAATATAAAAGTGTAAATGTTTCTATTCTAACGTAAGGGGCCAGGGACTGGTTAGATTTATCTGTTGCTATAAGAAATTGGGTTTTTCTTTGGAAATTGTGGTAGACAGAATGGTATCTCCAAGATGTCTCATACTGGAATCTGTGACTATGTTATGTAACATGACAAAAGGAACTTTACAGATTTATTTAAGGTTACAGATCTTAAAATAGAGAGATCATCCTGGATTATCTGGTTGGGCACAACCTAATCACATAAGCCCTCAGAAACAGATAACTTTCTCTGGCTGGAAGCAGAGGAGGTGCGGCAGCAGAAGTACTGACGTTCAAAGTGTGAGAAGGAGTTGATGTGTTGTTGCCAGCCATAAGAAGTAGGGGGCTATGTATGCAGGATGGAGAGGGACCTCAAGGAGCTGAGAGGGATTCCTGGCTGACAGTAAGGAAGCAGGAACATCAGCCCTACATCTGCCAGGAACCAAATTCTACCAACAATGTGCACAGGCTTGAAAGCAGATTTTTCTCCAGAGCCTCTAGATAAGCGCTCCAGTTGGCTGACAACTTGACTTCAGCCTTAGGAGATGCATAGCCAAAAAAACAGTCTAGTCAACCTGGACTTCTGTATACAGAATAGTGAGATAATACATTTGGGTTGTTATATACCAATTAAGTTTATGGTAATTGGTTAAGGCAGCAATAGAATACAAATACAGGAATTAATTTACTAGTTCCAAAAGACCAGTTTTTAGAAACTTATCATAAAGGTGGAATAGGCTGGGCACAGTGGCTCATGCCTGTAATTCCAGCACTTTGGGAGGCCAAGGGGCAGATCACTTGAGCCCAGGAGTTCGAGACCAGCCTGGCTAACGTGGTGAAACCCCATCTCTACTAAAAATACAACAATTAGCCAGGTATGGTGGTGCGCGCCTGTAATCCCAGCTACTCTGGGAGGCTGAGGCATGAGAATCGCTTGAACCCGGGAGGCAGAGGTTGCAATGAGCCAAGATCACACCACCGCACTCCAGCCTGGGCAACAGAACAAGACTGTCACAAAACAAAACAAAACAAACAAAACAAAACAAAAGAATGTGGAATAGCCTGCAACAGACTATGAAAATCCCCAGAGAGGATGCCACTGAAAAGTTACATAGGTTAGATTCCCTGGGATGGTGACAAGTGGCGGTGGTGGGATTAGGGGCTTGGCTGGAGCTGCCATCCTAACTAAGTCAGGGTGGGCAGTTCATGGATCCCCCCCACCCCAGGAATTGGCTTAATTTCGTCCTGATTTGAAGCTCAGTACAAGTTAGATTTGGCAGGGCAGAGCCGGGCAGAGCAGAAGTTGCAGAAATAAATAGCAAGAGTTAGCTTGGAAATAGTTTTTCTCCAGAATTTTAAAGATATTTCTCTCTGGTCTGCCAACTTCTAGAGTTCCTCTTGAGAAGTCCAATGTCATTCTGATTTTAAATCCTTTGTACATTTTTTCTTTTTCTCTCTGAAGTGTTTGTATCTTCTCTTTATCCCTGATATTCTGAAATTTTATAATAATATACACTGGAGTTGTTTTTGTCATTCTGTGCTGGACACTGAATAGGCCTTTTCATTTTTTTCAGTTCTATGCAATTTAAAGTATTATTATTATTTTATTTATTTGTTAATTTTTTTTTTGAGACAGGGTCTCTTTTTGTCACCCAGGATGGAGGGTAGTGGCAGAATCATGACTTACTGCAGCCTCGACCTCTCAAGCTTATGCAATCCTCCCTCCTTAGCCTCTGGAATAGCTGGGACTACAGTTACATACCACCATGCCTAGCTAATTTATTTATTTTTTTATTTATTTACTTTTTTTTTAGAGACCAAGTCTTACTATGTTGCCTAGGCTGGTCTCGAACTCCTGGATCCTCCCAAAGTGCTGGGATTACAGGCATGAGCCACAGTGCCCAGCCTCATGTGTTATTTCTTTGATAATTTCTTTCCCTCCTTTTTCTGTATGGGACTTTTAGTAATAAGATGTTGGGATCCTAGATAGATTATATAATTTTCTTATCTTTTCTATCATCTATCTTTTTATTTTCTAATTTCTTCAACTTTAACTGCTAATTCTCTTATTAGAGTTTTAAATTTCTGTTTTTTTTAAATTAAAATATTTTTCTCATTACATGTATACTTACTCATTTTAAAATAGCACTCTGCACTTGTTTCTTGGATACGATATCTTATTTCTCTGAGGATATACTAGTTTCATTTTGTTTTTTCTTCTCCACATTCATTGTTTCTGTTTTCTCTGACCTTCCTTTTCCCCATTTGCTTAGGTTCTTCTTTTTCACATTAGAGACTTTCTTCAAACTTATTGTTTCCTTGGCTGTCTGTTCATATTTAATGGTAAGGTTCTACAGTGTTGAGTAAAAGCTCTGGGTGCTTGGTGGGTCTGGCTGACTGGTGGCTTTGGTCAGGCAGGGGCCTATAGATCTTTCCTCGGTGGTTTCCTAACTTCTCTAAAAATGGATAATCTAATTGACTGCTTTGGATTGGTGCAACTGAATGACGGCTTTCTGGAAACCATAAGGCATAAGGGTCCGTTGTTAACAATCAGACTAAAATCAGGCTGGCTGGTTCCAGCGTTGTGCTGCGTTACTTGTGACTGGCTGTGGAACTTGTTTCCTTCCTCATTAGGATACTAATGGTACCCACGTTGTAGCACTGTTGTTAAGATTAAATGAATTTATACATATAAACTACTTACAATGTGAAATGTCATGAGAGCTCAATAAATTACATGTTTTTACTGTAATCATTGTCATCATTACTAATTCAGTCCAGTTCTCCTGCCGTGCCTCACGCCTCCCTCCATTGCCTTAGTGTGGAAGCTTCTCTGGTTCACTGTTTCCAACCTTCTGCCAAAGTGGAGAATGAACAATCTCCTTGCTGAGTTGAATTGCGAAGGGGACCTAGGGGACTTCCCAGCTCCTCAGGCTGACTTTTAATCAGTCTTCTAGGTCTTCATCCCCACCTGTCACCCCTTCAAACATACCTGGTATCGCCAATTCCTATGTCTTTCTGAAGTTCAGAGGTACAAGCAGACTTTCTTGCCAGTGGCTTTTCCTTCTGGAGGCAGTTTCCAGATTTCTGTCTGCTAAGTATGTGACAGCCACTTTTCCCTCTCTGGTCTCGCATCTATTGTCTCCTTTCCTGTTCTTATATGCTTGGAGGATTCATACCTTTCATATCCCTTTACTGATAGTCTAGTTTCGTTTGAGGAGGAAATGAAATCACCCTATGTCTCCAATTAGCCATGTTAACCACAAGGCCACTGGCCTCATTTCTTTGTCTATGAAATGAGGGGTTACAGTGGTAAACTTAAAGGCATTTTCCTCCACTGAAAGTCTTTGCTCCTGCATATGGTTTAGATTTAATATAATTCCCAGATGATCACAGCTAGATTCTCTATCACTTATCTCACTCTCAGAAGAGCAGTGATTATTTTTGCTTTTGTTGTTTTGAATCTCTTTGAGCGAGAGACCTGCAGTGTGGCAAATTATATCTTGTGTACAAATTAGAGTAAACTGAAAAACACAGATGACTTTTGTTCCCTTCTGCATCACAAAGACCTTTTCAATACACCTGATTGATTGTAAAGGGAAGTCCGCAAGCAGACGTGAGCTACTGGGACTCTGCTAATGGTAATTTAGGTGCTGTCATATTTATCATGCTGTGCTATTTGGCAAGCAAGTAGGAAGCCTTTAAACTTTTTGCTCTTTCTGAAAAAATAAAAATTCAGAAAGAAGATGATACCAAAATTTCAATCAGAAAGAAGTTTCCTTTCTATGAGGAATCACAAAGAATGTTCTGATAAGTCAATAAAAGTCCTGCTTTGGTCCAATTAGATTGGAGTCTTTGATTCATGAAGTCTGGTGGAGATGGATTGCCTTCCCCGTTGGAACTCCACTACGTGGCTTAGCGCTTTCTACTTGTAGCATCAGTGCCTGTTCCTGTTTGTTGTAGTCACTGCTGTTAATGACTAGCTCTTAGGTGTTCTCTTTTAATATTCAGAAGAAAAACTTCCAAAAGATAATGACTTCTTCTAAGATACTAAGTTATATAATATTTGAAATGAAAAACAACTTACAGGCCAGGTGCGGTGGCTCACACCTGTAATCTCAGCACTTTGGGAGGCTGAGGCGGGCGGATCACAAGGTCAACAGATTGAGACCATCCTGCCAACATGGTGAAACCCCATGTTTTCTACAAATACAAAAATTAGCTGGGTGTGGTAGTGCCCATCTGTAGTCCCAGCTACTCTGGAGGCTGAGGCAGGAGAATCGCTTGAACCCAGGAGGCGGAGGTTGCAGTGAGCCGAGATTGTGCCACTGTACTCTAGCCTGGTACCAGAGTGAGACTCCATCTCAAAAAGAAAAAACAAAAAAAACCCACAAAACTTAGAATTTGGTATAATCCATTGTATATGGTTTTTGTTTGTCTCAGTGCCATTGGTATAGGGCATGAGAATAGATTCCTCTGAAAAGTTTTCAATTAAAACAGAAATCCTAAATAATCAAAGTAAAGGAGACAGACATTGACAATCTTTAACTCTCTTAAAACTCTCAATTATTTTGCATGCAGAACATTATTAAAGAATCATAGAAAAAGAGATGAATGCATCAATATTTGACACATTTAGGTTATTCGGTGATTCACTCTGCTTACTTATTTATATTGCTACCTAATAGATGTACATATTTTTGGGATACGTGTGATAATTTGATACATTCACGTGAGCAAATAAGGGTAAGTGGGATATTCATTATCTTAAATATTTATCTTTTCTTTATGCTAGGAACATTCAAATTATTTTCTTCAGCTATTTTGAAATGTACAATCAAGTAATATTAACTATAGTCACCCTACTGATCTGTTGAACACTAGGTCCCATTTCTTCTATGTAATTGTATTTCTGTAACCATTAATCAAACTCTTTTTATATCTTCCTCCCCACTGCCCTTCCTGGCCTGTGGTAACCACCAATCTCTTTACTTTCATGAGATCCACTTTTTAAGCTCCCATATATGAGTGAGAATGTGGGATATTTATCTTTCTGTGCTTTGCCTGTTTCACTTAACATAATGACCTCTAGTTCCACCCATGTTGTTGCAAATGACAGGATTTCATTCTTTTTTATGAATGAATAATATTCCATTGTGTATATATATCACACTTTCTTTTTTTCTTTTTTGTTTTTTTTGAGATAGAGTCTCACTCTGTTGCCCAGGCTGGAGTGCAGTGGCACGATCTCAGCTCACTGCAACCTTCACCTCCTAGGTTCAAGTGATTCTCTTGCCTCAGCCTCCCCAGTAGCTGGGATTACAGGTGCCCGCCACAACACCCGGCTAATTTCTGTATTTTTAGTAGAGACAGGGTTTCGCCATGTTGTTCAGGGTGGTCTTGAACTCCTGACCTTAGGTGATCCACCCACCTTGGCCTCCCAAAGTGCTGGGAGAACAGGCATTAGCCACCGCACCTGGCTATATCACATTTTCTTTATCCTTCACTCATTGATGGACACTTAGGTTGATTTCATATTTTGGCCATTGTGAATAGTGCTGCAATAAACATGAGAGTGCAGACACTCTTCAATATACTGATTTCCTTTCTTTGAGGAAGTTCCATACTATTTTCCACAGTGGCTATATTAGTTTATATTCCTACCAACATTGTACTAGGGTTCCCCTTTCTCCACATCCTTGCCAGCATCTGTTTTTCCCTGTCTTTTTGATAAAAGCCTTTCTCACTGGGGTAAGATGATATCTCATTGAGGTTTCGATTTGCATCTCTTTGATGATTAGTGAGTTGAACGTTTTTTTCATATAACTGTTGGCTGTGGATTGTCTTCTTTTGAGAAACGTGTATTTAGATCTTTTGCCATTTTTAAATCAGATTTTTTTTTTTTTTTTGCTATTGAGTTTGAGTTTCTTATATACTTTGGTTATTGATACATTGTCACATGGATAATTTGCAAATATTTTCTTCCTTTCTGTATGTTGTCTCTTCACTTTTTTGATTGTTCTCTTTTCTGTGCAGAACCTTTTAACTTGATGTAATCTCGTTAGTCTATTTTTGCTTTTATTGCCTGTGCTTTTGAAGTCTTACATAAAAACTCTTTGCCCAGACGAATGACTTGGAGCCTTTCCCCGGTGTTTTCTTCTAGCAGTTTCACAGTTTTAGGTCTTAAAGTCTTTAATCCATTTTGATTTGATTTTTGCATATGGTGAGAGATAGGGGGATGAAGGTATAGTTTCATTCTTCTGAATATGGTTATCCCATTTTCTTAGCACATTTCCCCATTGTATGTTCTTAGCACCTTTATAAAAAATGAGTTTGCTGTGAATGCATGGATATATATCTGGGTCCTCTATTCTGTTTCATTAATCTGTGTGTCTGTTTTATTCCAGGGCCATGCTGATTTGGTACTTCAGGTTTGTAGTATATTTTGAAGTCAGGTAGTAGGATGCCTCCAGCTTTGTTCTTTTTGCTCAGGATTCCTTTGGCTTTTTGGAGTTTTCTGTGGTTTCATATTAATTTTGGATTTTTTCTATGTCTGTGAAGAATGTTATTGGTATTTTGATAGGGATTGCATTGACTTTGTAAATTGTTTTGGGTGGTATTGTCATTTTTAACAATATTAATTCCTCTAATCCATGAGCATGGAATATTCTTCAATTTTTTTTGTGTCCTCTTCAATTTCTTTCAGTGTTTTCATCATTGTTTTATGGTTTTCCTTGAATAGATTTTTCACAACTTTGGTTACATTGATTCCTAGGTATTTAATATTCTTTGTAAATGTGATTGCTTTCTTGGTTTCTTTTTAGATTGTTCACTACTGGTGTATGTAAATGTTACCGATTTTTGTATGTTGATTTTGTAAGTCAAAACTCTACCATATTTATCAGATCTATTTTTTTTTTTTTTTTTAGTGGGGTCTTTAGGTTTGTCTAAATATAAGATCATGTTGTCTGTGTACAAGAGTTAATCTGACTTCTTCCTTTCCAATTTGGATGACTTTTATTTCTTTCTCTTGCCCAATTGCTCTGGCCAGGACTTCCAGTATTATGTTGAATAAAAGTGGTGAAAATGAGCATACTTGTCTTGTTCCAGATCTTAGAGAAAAGGCTTTCAAGTTTTCCCTATTCATTATGATGTTGGCTGTGGCTTTGTCATGTATGGCCCTTATTATTTTGAAGTATGTTCCTTCTATACCCAATTTGTTGATGGTTTTTATCATAAAGGGATGTTGAATTTTATCAAGTGCTTTATCAGCTTCTATTAAAATGGTCATATGGTTTTTGTTCTTGATGCTGTTAATGTGATATATTATGTTTATTGATTTTCATATGTTGAATGGGATGAATCCCACATAATCATGATGAATGATCTTTTAAATATGTTGTTGAATTTGGTTTGCTAACACCTTGTTGAGGATTTTTACATGTATGTTCATCAATGATATTGGCTAGTAGTTTATTTTTTGTGTATGTGTGTGTCCTTGTCTGGTTTTGGTATCAGAGCCTCATAGAATGAGTTTGGAAGTATTCCCGCTTCTTCAATTTTTTGAAGAGTTTTGCTAGAATTGGTATTCATTTTTTTTAGGTGAAATTAATTTTAATATATATTCATTTAACCCAATATATGCAAAAATTATCATTTATTTTATTTTTTCTTTAATTTTTAAGTTCAGGGGTAGATGTGCAGGATGCACAGATTTGCTACGTAGGTAAATGTGTGCCATGGTAGTTTGATATTCAGTTTTCTTTAAATGTTTGGTGGAATTCAGCAGTGAAGCCATCAGATCCTGGCTTTTGTTTGATGGGAGACCTTTATTACGGCTTCAATCTTGTTACTCATTATTGGTTTGTTAAGATTTTTTATTTCTTCATAGTTCAATTTTGGTAGCTTGTATCTGTCCAGAAATTTATCCATTTCTTGTAGGTTTTCAAATTGGTTGGCATGTAATTGTAATTATCTCTAATGATTTTTTGTATTTCTATGGTCTCAGTTATTACATCTCCTCTTTTTGTTTCTGATTTTCTTTGTCTTTCCCCCTTTTTTCTTAGTTAGTCTAGCTAAAGGTTTGTCAATTTTATCTTTTCAAAAAACCAACATTTTGAATTTTTGATCTGCATTTTTTAGTCTCAATTTTATTTATTTCTGTTCTGATCTTCATTATTTATTTCCTTCTGGTAATTTTGAGTTTGGTTTGTTTTTGTTTTTGTAGTTCCTTGAGGTATATTATTAGGTTTTCAAATTTGAGGTCTTTCAACTTTTTTTATATAGGTGTTTGTTGCTATAAACTTCTCCCTTAGTACTTCTTTTTCTGTATCCCATAGATTTTGGTATGGCATATTTACATTTTCATTTGTTTCAAGAAACTTTAACATTTTCTTCTCAATTTCTTAATTGACCAATTGGTCAATTAGGAACATGTTGCTTAATTTCCACGTGTTTGTGTAGTTTTTGAGGTTCCTCTTGCTATCATTGCTAGTTTTATTCCATTATAGTCAGAAAAGATACTTTATATGGTTTTTACTCTTTTGAAATTGTTGAAGCTTGTTTTGTGGCCCAAAGTATGGTCTTTTTCTGGAGAATATTCCATGTACTGATGAAAATAATGTGTATTTTGTAGCAATTGGCTGAAATGTTCTGTAAATGTTAGGCCTATTTGATTTAGTGTGTAGTTTAATGTTTGTTGATTTTCTGTCTAGATGATCTGTCCATTATTGAGAGTGGGGTATTGAAGTCCCCTACTATTATTTTATTGCAGGCTGTACCTCTCTTTAGATCCATTAATGTTTGCTTTATATACTTGGGAGATCTAGTGTTTGGTGCATAGATATTTATAACTGTTACATCCTTTTGCTGTATTGACCCCTTCATTATTATATAGTGACTTTCTTTTTCTTTTTTTACATCCTTTGACTTGTAGTCCTTTACATCAGATAGAACTGTAGCTACTCCTACCTTTATTTTTAGTTTCTACTTGAATGGAATATTTTTTCTATCCTTTCATTTTCAGTCTCTGTGTGTCTTTATGGGTGAGGTGGCTTTCTTGTAGGCAGCATATAGTTGGGTCTTGTTTCTTTATCCATTCAGCCACTCCATATCTTTAAATTGGAGAATTTAGTACATTTAAATTCAGTGTTATTATTAACAAGTAAGGACTTACTACTGCCATTTTATTGCTTGCTTTTTGGTTGTTTTGTAAGTCCTCTCTTCTCTCTTCCTTTCTTACTGTCATCCTTTCAGGTTAAGTGATTTTCTCTGGTAATATGTTTTAATTTGTTATTCTTATTTTTAGTGTATTTATTATAGGTTTTTTCATTGTGGTTACTGTGAGGCTTACGAAAAGATCTTATAGATACAAGAAGTTACTTTAAAGAGATAACAATTTATTTTAGATCATAAAAAGGGAATAAAAACAAAGAAAAAACTGAAAAAAAAAAACAAAAAATAAAACCCAAAACCACTGCACTCTAACACCTTCTTTTCACATTTTGAGTTTTGGTTGTGTCAATTTACATATTATTATATTGCTTGGCCCTTGACAGGTTGTTACAGCTATTATTGTTTTTGATGAATCTGTCTTTTCAGTTTTATACTAGAGTTATAAGTGGATCGCACACCACTATTATAGTATTGGAGTATTCTGGGGTTTTCTCTGTTCTGAATTTTACCTGTGGGTTTTACACCTTCAAATTGTTTTGCACATTAGTGGATTTTTCTTTCAGATTGAAGAATTGCTTTTAGCATTTCTTGTAATACAGGTCTGATGGTGAATTCTCTTAGCTTTTGTTTGTCTGGGAAGGACTATCCTTCATACTTGAAGGATAGCTTCATTGAATAAAGTATTCTTTGTTGGTGGTTTTTTTCTTTCAGTATTTTGAAAATGTTGTTCCACTCCCTCCTGGTGTGTATGGTTTCCATTGAGAAGTCTGTTGCCAGACAAATTGGAGTTCCTTTATGTGTTATTTGTTCCCTTTTCTTGCTGCTTTTAGTATCCTCTCTTTGTTCTTGACATTTGGGAGTTTGATTATTACATGCTTTGGAGTAGTCTTATTTGGGTTGAATCTGGTTTATGTGTTATTTGTTCCCTTTTCTTGCTGTTTTTAGTATCCTCTCTTTGTTCTTGACATTTGAGAGTTTGATTATTACATGCTTTGGAGTAGTCTTATTTGGGTTGAATCTGGAGATCTCTGGACTTCTTGAACCTGGATACTTATATCTTTCTCAAGTTTTAGAAAGTTTTCTATTATTGGCTGGGTGCAGTGGCTCATGCCTGTAATCCCAGCATTTTGGGAGGCCGAGGCAGGTGGATCATGAGGTCAGAAGATCGAGACCATCCTGGCTAACATGGTGAAACCCCGTCTCTACTAAAAATACAAAAAATTAGCTGGGCGTGGTGGCGGGCACCTGTAGTCCCATCTACTTGGGAGGCTGAGGCAGGAGAATGGCGTGAACCCAGGAGGTGGAGCTTGCAGTGAGCAGAGATCATGCCAGTGCTCTCCAGCCTGGGCGACAGAGCGAGACTCTGTCTCAATAAAAAAAAAAAAGAATGTTTTCTGTTATTATATCTTCAAATAATCTTTTTAATCCTTTCTCTTGCTCTTTTCCCTCTTGAACACCAGTAATTTTTAGATTTGGTCTTTCGAGGTTATTTTCTGTATCTTGTAGGCAATCTTTTTTCCTTTTAATTCTCTTTTCTCTTCTGAAAGTATAGTTTCAAATTGCCTGTCTTCAAGTTCACTGATTGTTCCCTCTGCTTGATTCATTCTGCTGTTGAGAGCCTCCAGTGAATTTTCCATGTCAGTGAATGTATTTCTCAGTTCCAAAATTTCCGTTTGATTTTAAAAATTATTTAAATCTCTTAGTTAAATGTCTCTGATAAATTTCTGAGTTGATTTTCTGTATTGTATTGGAGATCACTGAGTTTCCTTAAAACTGCTATTTTGAATTCCTGGTCAGAGATCTCACATATCACCATCTTGTTAGGATCTGTCACTGGTTCCTTGCTTTGTCCATTTGGTGAGGTCATGGTTTCCTGTTGTTTCTTGTGGATGTCTATATCTTTGTATTGAATAATTAGTTATTTATTACTGTTTTCTCTGTCTGGCTTGTTTTGCTTTTTATTAGTTATGTTTGCTTAGATATTCCTTGTGATTTACTTGTTGAATTTCTTATATATTGTTTTCTGTTAGGCCACTGCCTTCTTTTTGGTACTAGATGGTGCCTAAAGCTCAGGTTTGTCTTGGTTCTAGCAAATAATTAGCGTGCTTCCTATTCAGAATGTGGAATGTCCCCAAAAAAGCATATCCTGGCAGTATGGAAAAGCTGGCTAAGGGTTCATTTTCAGGGGACCTATGGAACATACTTCCTACAGCATAGGGCTCCTGAACAGCCACTCTGCTCTGGTGTCTCCTTTGGCTGAGTTATAGAGCAGAGTTTTCAAGGCTGGAGATGGTGGTCCAACTTTGCCCGTTTTTTGTTGCCTGTCCTCAGGGATATGTCTCCCTTCAGGTAGTTACAGTGCTTCCTGTGGGTTAAGGCATAGACAGGTCTCCTGCCAAAGAGCCCGAGATGGTGGAGAAACTGCTTGTCCACCTCTATCTTACTTTTTCTAGTGTAGAAACCAGAAGTCAAAGGACATATTCCATGTGTTTGGTGCGGAGCAAATTTGGGGAGGGGAGTGAAGGATATGAGAATCTGATTTTCTTTCTGTCTGCTCAGAGTTTTGTTTTAAACTTCTCTGCGGCCCCAGAAATGGATTCATCCTTATGTTTGAGTTCTGGGATATTACTGGTGATAATCTCAGTGCTGCATATTGGGTTTTGGTTTTCTGTGGGGGGTGAGGGTAAGGATGGAAGCCAGCTTGTATGTATACCACCACTTTGGAATCAGAAGTCTCTATGCTGTGTCTCAGTGGCTCACTCATTTACTTGGAATCAGTACTGCATTCAGAACAATTCTTATCCCATTTGGAATGGCTTTTTTTGATGAGATCATAATTATGGCATATGCTGTTTGTTGACTACCTAAGCAGATACTCATTCCTTTATCTTTGCTAACAGAACACAGGTTTTGTTCAGGAAAAGAGTGGCTGAATTCTTCAGGGGCTTTGTGTTCCTCAAGGACTTTGTAATTTTAGCTCCAAGAGCTGAATCCTGATAAGTCTTAGGTTTTGTCTCTTGCCATTGATTGATTTAGGGCTGAGCATGTAATGTAATTTTGGCCAGTGAAACGTGAGATGAGGTAAAGTCTACAAAGTGGCTTCTGAGAAAGTTATCTTTGCTCATGATGAAGGACCTGGAAAAGGTCATTGTTGTATGTGGGTATGATATTTGAAAGAGCTAAAACTATTTGCAGTCATGAGGGAATATTCTTGAGGACCTCACTGAGGATAGTAGATTAGAAAGACAGGCTGGGCGCAGTGGCTCACGCCTGTAATCCCAGCACTTTGGGAGGCCAAGGTGGGTGGATCACGAGGTCAGGAGATTGAGACCATCCTGGCTAACACGGTGAAACCCCATCTCTACTAAAAATACAAAAAATTAGCTGGGTGTGGTGGCACATGCCTGTAATCGCAGCTACTCAGGAGGCTGAGGCAGGAGAATTGCTTGAACCCAGGAGGCAGAGGTTGCAGTGAGCTGAGATTGCACCACTACACTCCAGCCTGGGTGACAGAGGGAGACTCTATCTCAAAAAAAAAAAAATAATAAAAAATAAAATCAATAAAAAATAAAAAAAAGAGAAGAAAGACAAAAAAAACCTGGGTATTGAAAATATTACCAACTGCTGCTTTGATTAATGCTAGAACAACTTAATGTTTTGACTTCGCGTTTTGTGCTATATTAATTTCCTTATTATTTAACCCATTTTGAGTTGTTCCATCAGTTATGCATAGCTGACATAATCCTAACCAATATAAAAGAACTGCAAATATTAAAGAACTCACAGAATGTAAGCACTGAAAAGGATGTTAATATATTATTCAAAAAGCACTTGTTTGTTGAGAAAGATAGCACTGTGCTAGATAGTGGGTATAGCAGAGAACAAGACAGACACTGTCCCTGATCTTTTGGAACATATCGTCTGTGGGTCTTAGAAAGTATTTGGTCTAATCTTCTTATTGGACAGACAGGGATAGCTTTTATCTCTCTCAGTGTTGGTATAATTATTTTAGTCACTTAATATAGGAGGGTGGATCCTATTAAAGGAAAGACATAAGTTTGCCGTTCTTTTTGCTTTTGAACACACAGCTAGCTCTTTTGCTCATCTTGTTACTCAAAAGTGTTGGCTATTCAAGGTTGGGCTTGGAACTGAGTTTAGACATAAGGGTTGTAGAATGCTAAATTTCTGTGCAAAATAGGGTGAGAGGAATGTGAAATGACTTGGGCAATCTCTCTCCCTCTCTTTCTCTCTTTCTGTCTATCTCTCTCTGTGTGTATGTGTGTGTGTGTGTGTGTGTGTGTGTGTGTGTGTGTGTAAGACAGAGAAACAGCAAGACAGTCAAAGACTGAGTGCTAGACTAGAAAGACCAGTGAGAAATCCCCTACGTGTTGATGACCAAAGGAATTCCAAGATGAGACATGACTGATATGTAGTTTTAAGTATTTGCTGTATCACGCAGAAATGTAACTTTTTGGCAGTGACCTAGAAAAGTTTTGTAGAAATGTGAAAGTTTTGCTACACATCACAAGCTTTGTTCCCTGGTTACTTGAGTGAGAAGTCAGGAAGATAAAGGATTGACTTCAAGGCATGGAGCACAAAACAAGCATTCAGCAGAGGCAGGAAATGGGAGAGAATTCAGCAGAGGCAGGAAAGCATGTCCCATTCTCCTATCTGCCTCTGTGCAGAAATTTTGCAGAAATCTTGAAGAGGGCTCTGGACTTTCCACTAGATACACAATGGTATTTGACCATTTTAATTGACATCTTAAGGGGACAACTGGATTAGAGTCATACTCTACTGGTGGCTGCAGCACTCATCATAATAGTAATTATTCAATTATTGGGTCATTGCCTTCCCATCTAGAGAGTAAGCTCTTTGATGACAGGGCCCATGTCCATTTTCATGATAAAGTTCATATTAAGTAGGATTTAAAAATAAGTATTCAATTAATTTTTATTAAATAGTTCCCTTCTGGCAGAGAAAGACTGTAATTCAAATAGTCACAGTATTTCCCTTCCTCTGCTTGCAGAGGAGAAACAGTCTGCCCTCCTCTGACCTCTCCTAGGGAGAGAGCCTTGCCAGGTGGGTTCCAGAGTCAATTGTGTATGATTGTGGCTGTTGAAGAGACTCGGAGAAGTTGTGAGAGACCACCCAGTTTTACATGGAAAATATCAGAGAGCTATGGACAAGAGAAAAGTAACAGATATAGACACGGGGAAGAGAGGCAGAGAAAAAAATCTTGTTTGAGAGATCTGTGGAGCATAGGAGGGAGAGGAGAGGCTTTGGCGGCAGGTGCAGTGACAATTGAATGCACACACACATGCACAAATAAGATATTAATGTAGAGAGAAAGTGGCAGGAGGAATGGTTTCAATAAGTTTTGCTGTGTGTTATGAGTGGGATCTCTTTGGGTAAATTTCAATAGATTTCAATAAAGATATAATTTGCTTATTGGCTATTTTTGACTGTATTTCTTTGAGGCTGACTTCTAGGTGAGAAAACGCCAGCCTGGCTTTACGTGGGTTACAACCATGTGTAGCAGATTGAGTTTCACACTTTGGTGTCCTACATGCTGCCTCCAAGCACTTAGTGGAAACAGCAAATATTTCTTGCACGTAACTGAAATAATAATCGTAAGATTGTGTGCCATCCAATCTTATAGCTTCTAACTATGGAATGAATTAAGACTAAAATGAAGTACATTCTTAGGATTTGTTCTGCTCTTTAGTAGATTTAAAGAATGTGTTAAAACATGCATTGTGGAAAAGGACATTCCATTTTGAACTATTCCAGAAATATGCATAGGAACCATTTAGACTGATCTTATTGTCCATTTGAGTTAATCTGTGGGAAGCAAGGCACTCCCTATTGCTAGCCAGATCCTTCCAAGAATTTTAAGATATTCAAATTGGAATTTCTTTCTTCAAGCCCCCGAAGCTCACAGAAAAATCGCCCACATGGCCAGAGTCGAAGTTATGCCTCCCTGCTGGGGCTCAGTCAAACAAAGACATTCCTTCTTGTTGGTAACACATCTCTGTATCAGCTGAATTACCGGGATTTAAATTAAATGGAATCTCAGGTGAAAGGTTTTATTTCAGAGAGGCAACTTTCGTTTTGGCGGCAGGGAGAGAAGGCCCTCCTATCATCTGGTGGTAAGACGGGGGCTTCAGAAAGAGGCAGGAAGAGCTCTGCGAATGTTAGGTGGCTCAGTGGGGAGTTCAGGAAGTCACTGTTGTGTTCTTAAAGAGGCTATGCCAGAGGATTTTGGAGACCCAGATGCTTCATTCAATGAACTACAAATGGTGAGTACCTCTGTGAGACATTGAGTTGTCTAGTCCTACTCCTTACCTTTTCCATTTTCACCTCCCTTATTCCTGCCCTTCTAGGAGGCTAACGTGGAACTGTGTTTGTAGCCATGTTGAGGTAGGAGAAGAGTGTATCTCTTTATTTTTGTTTTTGAAGGCATTAAAAAAAATCTTAGGACTGTATGGAAGTACACACTCTGACATCACTTATAGGTGTCGCTAGGAGGAGGTGTGGATGCTTAATGACCCAACAGGAGATGTGACCCCTTGGGAGGCTTCCAGACCTTGCTTTCCTCTCTGGGCTGGCCAAGATGCTGGGTGTCCAGAAGAGGAGCTGTGGCCTCCAGGGACTGTTAGGTTACTCAGGGGGAAAACCACAGCGAACTGATTGGACCCCTTGCTGTCTGGGAGAAGTTCACTCTTTGAACCAGCCTGTCCCTGCCCTGCAATGTCCTCATGTGCCTAAAAGAAAAGAAATAAAGAGGTTGTAATTCCAAGTTAATCACCTAATAAGGGAGGCTGCTTGGGATGATGAGAGAAAAAAAAAACTAAAATGCATGGGAATGCCTTTGGAGAAGCACTTAGAACACCTGAGTGGGGAGATTGTTGGCAGAAAAGCTAAAGATGTGGCTTGGGTTTGTGTTTTAGGGTGAAGCTGAAGCAAAGCTCAAGGGACCTGTTTGTTACACACGGTCTCCAGCCTTTGTGCCCGTGGGAATATGGGCTCCGGGGGGTAGTCAGGGCTTGAGGTGTGGGGAAAAGGAGTGCCCAAATAAGTGCCTATCATCCGAGATTCAGAAGAAATCCTGTGAAGAATCTGGAGTTGTTTCAGAAGTTGCTTCAACCTAGAAGCCTTTCCTGAAACTCAGAATTATTGCACGCATACACACACACACACACACACACACACACACACACACACACACACACACACACACACATTCTTCAGGGGCAATGCCTCTTTAGTTTTTTATTTTCTTTTATTCTAGAAGGGGAGAGAATAGCATTGAGGTGGGATAACCAAAATGGGATTATTTTAAAATGCACTTTCCCTCCCCATTCTACAGGGGATTGAGGAGGATTATGTGCAGCTTTCATGAAATGTCTTGTGTTCCTCTCTGGGAAAGAAACTGTAAATGTCAAGTTATCAGTCTCTGTGATAACAGCTCACACAGGTACAGGCAGACCCAGCAGGGAGGAAAGAGCATGGCTGGCCCATACACTAGTGTCACCTGCAGTTACCAAGACCAAGACCCTAGTAGTCTGGTGTAGCCAACAGATGGAGAGGTGACAACAACTAGAGTCAGGGAAGGGGATGGGGAGCATGGCGACACGTGAGAGGTACCAACCACCCTGCAGAGGGTTGACAAAGCAGAAGCAGCAGGCTTAGTAGGTGCAGCCCCTCACTTCTCAAACCCAACCTCCAGGTGCCACTTTTATGCTTAGTGTTAACTGAGCTGCTCAGACCCTGATGTGCAAGCAAGCCACCTGGAGATCTTGTTAAAATAAAATTTCTGATTCAGTAAGCCTGAGGCTAGGGCTCCCCAGGTGATGTTGCTGCTGCTGGCCTGGGTACTATGCTCTGATTAGCAAGGTGTTAAGAGAATCTCAGGTCACAGCTGTATTTTTAGGTTGCACAGCTGCAATAGAAAGGTGAATCAAATTGTGTACAAAGATATACAAACACATTCTGCTGTCACTTAAGCTTACTAGTGTCAGGGGGAAATTGTCCAGATAACTCCAAATCTTTTGAATTTGGATTTGGAATGCTTTATATGAGTAAATGTTTGCTTTCTATGGCTGACAGTTGATGTTGGGGTGTTCAGGTCTATATAAAGATGGCTTAGTAACTTTTTTTTTTTTTTTGAGATGGATTCTCACTCTGTCACCCAGGCTGGAGTGCAGTGGTGTGATCTCGGCTCAATGCAACCTCCACCTCCCAGGTTCAAGCAATTCTCATGTCTCAGCATCCTGAGTAGCTGGGATTACAAGCATGTGCCACCACACCGGGCTCATTTTTGTATTTTTAGTAGAGATGGGGTTTCTCCATGTTGGCCAGTCTGGTCTTGAACTCCTGGCCTGAAGTGATCTACCCACCTCGGCCTCCCAGAGTGCTGGGATTACAGGCATAAGCCACTGCGCCCGGCCCTAAGATGGCTTAGTACTTATTGAGTACACACCAGCTGAGGGGAGGAGCATGCTGAGTGACAGGGGAGGCGAGCTTGCCATGTTCCTTGGCCAAGGACCACCTATAAAGTGTACAGCTTAACTGTGCATAGTTGGGAGCTGGCTTTTGCACTGGATATGTCTCCTCTGGTTAGGCTAGAGAGGGGAAGTTAACACTGTGCTCTTAAGGCTCCCTCTTCTAAGGAAGAAAATTAGGTAGGAAGAGACAGAACATAATGGCAAGAGAATGAAAGTCACGATATTGTTTGGGATTCTATTTTTTATCTTTGGGACGAGAGAAAAATGAATTCCATAGGAAGAAGGACAAATCAAGGGGAACAACATTAAAAAAAGAAGAAACAAAAGAGATGAGTGATGAAGAGAGGAAGGAAATCTCCTCAGTAGATAAAACAGATTTGCCAAATATATTACATTCATTAAGATTTTTCTCTGCTTATAATGTGTGCTTTTCGGAGGCTTTTCTTAGCATTAACGGACGCTCTGGGAGAGGAGAAAGTTGGCAGAGAGAAGCCTAGCAAATATATAAATAAGCTTTGGAGGTTTCAGAAGTTTCTCTTCCCACAATAGAATGTTCTGCAGCCTGGGCAAACTTTTTCTTACTTAAACAAATGCTTTGAAAGACAAAGATTTCATATCGTCAGTGGAACATTCAGACTAATAATTGCCTCTGTTCTTCTGCCTTGAAGTCTCAACAGCCAGCAGATTTATGATTCACTTTCAGCAATAAGCTCCTTCAAATAAATACCACTTTCCCCAGCTGCAAATTGAGTTTTCGCAAACACACAGAGATAGACTTCACTAACAGGAACTAAGTTTTCTTGGTGTGTATGTATATATGATGGTGAAACAATGTGTTTGCTTTCTTTCCCCCATCTTCTTGGGGGAAGATTGACTTGAACACTTTATTAAAAAATAACACTTTTAAGCAGCTGATTTGCCACCAGAAAGACTTTTTAGAAACTTGTGTTTGGGGAGCAAGGGGTGGAGATGAGAAGAGAACAGAAGGAAATTTGACTTTTCCCTTAGGTTTGTGAACCTCAGAAATCTTATGCAGTCTAAGGTTGAGGAGTTGAAACCTATTTACTTGGTAACTGTGGGGGAGATAATTTCAAAATTCTTAAAGCAAAATAAATGACACAAGCACATGTAGACATCAGAATTAAATTGAGGGCTGAAGAACCTGTGTTGGGATTCAGACTCTTTTATGTCAACATGTCTTCTATCCGTGCCTTTCAAGTGTCCAGACCAAGTCCATGAACATGATTGGGTTCCTTATTATTAAGGAACATTATTGGGTTCCGTAAATACTCCTGGCAGTGGGTGTGAGGCATGCATCCTCAAGGATGTGAGGCATGACACTGACACCCAAACAGATACATTTAAGTTGAGAACAACATGGTGGAAACACAGCTGTGTGAGTGCAGAGGATGCCCAATCTGGGGTACGGGGCAGGATAGCGGGTCCTCGAAGAGTCCTGCCTTGCTCTGGGAGGTGGCAGTCCCTACACGTTCTTGTCCACAAGCATTAAGCAGAGTAGAAGGCAACCAGGCCTCTTTCAACAGACCCAGGACACTATTTCTTTGGCCGGATCTCATGACACTGGTCTACGTTCCGTCTGGATTCCATTCTCAGTCCCTGCCTCAGTTTGCCCTTTTTGTAGTGACTGCCTTGATGATAATGACTCTTCATAAGCACTTGGTGGGTGTCAGGCATCAGGCTGCTAGCCATTTTTTAAAGTGTATTATTTTCTTGATACAGATATTATTGTCATATTATAGATGAGGAAGCTGATGTTTACAAAATGTAATGTAACAAACTTTCCCAAGGTCATACAAACTAGTAAGTGGTAGAATGTGGATTTAAATGCAAGCCTGTCTGACTTCAAAGCCTGTAACTTACACCATTAGCAACAACAACAGTTATTAACATTTATTGAACACTTACCTATGTGTACATAATTCCTATTATTTATTTTGTTTAACCCTCACATATGTTCCTCACATAAGCCTCACATGAGGGTAGCAGAGGTTTTTATCTCATTTTACAAATGAGGAAATTGAGGCTCAGAGATGTGACTAAGTTGTCCAAAGTCACCCAGCTAGTAAGAGGTGGAGTCTAGATCCAAGCTCAGGTAGCCTGGCTCTGGAGCCCTGCTCTTAACCAGCCTCATCACCCAGATGCTGAGACCCTACGTTGGTCACGTCCAATCTTTTAGTCTATTTCCTTTTCTATTCCTTCACTGTTCCCCCAAACATTTTCTAAACGCCTGTGGGTCCCAGGTGCTGTACTGGGTGACTGAGAGGTATGAGTAGATAACCAGAAGGATTTATTTAGAGAAATAATTAACTCTACTCTGAGCCAGTCACAATCAGGTGGGGAGGCAAGTCTGCAAAGTGTTCTAGCGCCACGTAACAGGCCCTGAAAAGGAGGTATGTGTGAGTGCACTGGTCACCTCTGAGAGGGTAGGAGCTGGCCCTGTGGAAGGTGAGGACACTCCTTGGAAGAGGCATTGTTTGGAAAAGAATCTTGAAAAGACAAGATCCACAAGGAGTTCACAAGGTAAAGGAGGGAAGAAAGGCATTTAATCTACCGAGAAAAACAGACCTCAATTGAAGTCAAGGTTTTTACCTTCTCACGTGAAGGGTTGGAAGAAGTTGATGGCTTGTTTGTGCCTCAGGAATCAACCATGCATAAAAGGCCACATAATAATAATAGCCGACATTTATTAGGTGCCTTCAATTGGCCAGGCAAATTTCTGAGTTGTTGCATGTGTTGTCTAATTCTCATGCTCATGCTAGGACACACATGTCATTATTATTTCCGGGTTCCACATAAGTATCACGGGGAGCCTCAGGGAGGGGACGTTTCCTTTTGCATCTAGTTTGTTTTGCTTCCAAGACAGGGATACAGATGTTTCTAAAGTGTCCACCGACCACCTCCATCTGAACTACCAGGGGGCTTGTTTAAAATATAGATGTCATGTTTAATGCAATAGAATCTGAATGATTTCTAAGACTCATTCTAAGTTGCCAAAGGTGAATCTGCAACACCCCAAATGCGGAAGCACCCCCTTCCCTGTTGGTGAGCACTGAGCATGTGGGGCAAATTTGTTCCCAGTTCATGAAGATTTTTGTGATCTCAATGGCCATTTACTAGCAGAACCAGACCAGACAGTTCTAGAGCGGCCGACATTTCTCCAGGAGGTGGAGTGTTTCTTTCCTCTTTAGTCCCACTTGTATATTCTAAGAAGTTATTTATTTATTTTTTTGGTAAGATTCTAAGCCTTGAGACAATAATTTTCAGAAATTAGGCCTCCTCTTTCAACAAGTGCTAAGGATGTGTTGATCTCTTAAGAAGAGAGCTGGCTGTTGGAATAATCTGGTCATGATTTTTCTCTTCAGCACGCATTTGGTCCTGATGGTTGTATCCAGAGGGTTTTATTCTTCAAGGTTGATTGGTTGTTCTAGCACAAAGGCTACTTTTCATTCACTCCCCTCTCCTGTGGGGGGCAGACTGTTGAGTGGAGACTATGGAAGAAAAGAAAGTGTGGTTGTCCACCAGGGAGATAGGCACAGTTCCTCTCAAAAGTAATCTCTTACCTTAAATGGCATAGAGGTGAAGGTAAGAAAATCTCTTACCTTAAATGCCATAGAGGTGAAGGATTTGGTGATCCTAGAGCAGCAAAGATGGGTCAAATGAAAGTACAGTCCAGTAGCATTATGTACACTCATATTGTTGCCACAATAATAAAAAGTAAAAAAAAAAAATGGAGTGAATGAATTGAATCTCCGTTTTCTCTTAGTTCATGCTAGCTGAGTCCTTGACAATGCTAAACTCTTAGAATTATGAATGTTCAGTGCAAGTGAAGAGTTGGAATGTGATATAAAGGCAAAAGGGATTGTTAAATTTCCTGTGTCTCCCCTTTTTCCAAAGCACCATGAAGAAACAGGTGCATGACACGGGGCTCTTTGATGACTATGTAAGTGCAATTTTCACTCCCGTATTCAGGTTGCCAACAATCGTTTACAGCAGGACGGGATCTTAATTCCTAACAGGTTTGCATGTATTCAAAGACTGACTTTGAATGTAATTTATACAGGTTGGAGAGATTTGGAGGAACAGAGAATCTGATGCCAAATGTAAGAATAAGCTTTATTTGGAAATGCTCATCCATCTGTTTAGTACTGACTATAAAACCACAATGAGTTTAAACAATGAGATGTGCAAAAAAGCACCTTGTATTCACAAGCATTTTGTCTAGCATGTGATCAAATAAACATAATCTACTTTGCTGATTGTTGTCAGGTTAAAATGCTGTACCAAGTGTGGGAGGGCTTTGAAAACTGTAGGTGGGCAGTTTGCTATCAAGGCTAGAGAGAGACTCTAAAGAAAATGTTTCACAAAGATAAGGTATTCATTCAACAACCAGTTATTTAATGGGTTTCCACTGTGTACCAATAAACTGTACTAAAACTTGAAATAATATGAGGAGCCAGGTAGGCACAGTTTTAATTGTATTGGAATAGGCAATCCTCAAGAGAAAGGAAATTAATCCAAGGATTTTAATAAGGTGTAATGACTTCTATGATGGGAAAAAGTATTCTTGCTGTGTAATAAGTCAGCCCCAGATTCAAAGGCTTGAAACAGCAATCATTTGTAATTTCTCAGGTATCTGCAGGTTGGGTGGCCTAGGCCAAGCAGCTTTGCAGATCTTCTCTGGACTCACTCATGTGTCCATGGTCATCGGGGGAACAGCTGATCTGGTCTAGGCTTGGCTGATGAAGCTTGCCTGGATGGTTCTACTCTAGATGATTTTATATTCCTCCTGGGATCAGCAGTTTAGCTCAAGTATGTTCTCATGGCTATGGCAGAATCAAAGAAGGCAAGTGGAAATACGTGAGACCTCTTAAGACTTAGGCTCAGAACTGGGACATTGTTACTTCTGCCTCGATCTATTGGTTAAAGAAAGTCATGGGGCTGAACTCAAATGTAAAGTCTGGGGAAATATTCTCTAACTCATTATTGGAAGAAATTTCAAAGTCATCCAAAAGAAGTGTGTGAATACAGTGAAGTATGACAAATTGGGGTGAGCAATGTGACCTCACTACATAGAGGATGTGCATTTAAGGAGACCTAAAGGATGAATAGGATTCATCCATATGAAAGGGAGTGGCTGGGGTAGTCAGGGAAGTATTCTAAGCAGGAGAAGCCATAAGTGGGCAGCTCTAGAGGAATGGCAGGTCTGAGGGACTGAAAGTAGGTCAGGGTGGATGGACAGAAAAAAAAACAATGGTAAAAATTGATGAGGAGGGAGAGCTTTACTGCATTAATAACTGACTTTGGATTTTCTCTTAAGGACCTTTGGAGCCATTGAAATATGGTTATTTGCTAGTCATCATTGGTTCCATGGTCTAGATTTAAGGGAGAATGTCCTTGCTCCAGTTTGCAGTTGCATAAGCAACAAACTGCACCTTTCTCAATATTTTGATTAGAGCTTTACACTATTTGTCCAATGTATTCCTATTCCCTTGGGCCCTCTGATTAATGTTTCTGCACAATCCCATTTTGACCTTTAGTAATTAGTGCAAATATTTTAAGTTCAGCATATTAATTCCTCTTGCAGGAAAAGCATTTTCTTTGAGAATCATCATAAATCATTTAAAAAATTAATTGGCCAGTTAGAGAAGAGGCCATGGTAGAGCAAATTCTGGCAGTCTTGTCTTGTTATGGGCTAAAGCTCTAGATGGTGGGAACAGTTTCTGACCTGCTCGGACCTTTGACCCATTCAAAGCAAAGACGTGTCTTTTTTCTCTCATTCCTCAGGGTCTTTAATCCTTTAAAGTGTTTTAAGGAGTTATGGCAGAGCTGGAAGAACCAGATTTTATTCCCAACACTGCCACTGATCATTTGGGTGACCTTGGGCAACTGACTTTTTCCTACTGGGCCTCAAAGTTTTTGTCAAAAAGTGGGTGTAAATGTGCCCCCATATTCCTTCCAGTTCTAAAATTCTTTGATTTTTGGATTCCGCTCTGAATATAATGGTAAGTCCACAGCAGAGACTTGTAGTTTTCAGTTCTGGAGACTGCCTGGAGTTCCCTTCACTATCATATGAAGTTGAAAATTGGGAAGGTTCATTAAAGATGAAGCAAAGTCAGGGAAAGGACACTGCATGCATGCAGGCAATAAATGAACTTATTATGAGTTAAGACATCTGCCAAGAGGCATTAGTGAGAACCCCAGTGGCTGCTTGATCACCTGAGTGCCAGAGTAAGGGCAGTGTTATATAATGTGCTGTGAGCTCGAATTACACTAAGGATCCTGTGGTTCTTATTTATTTAGTTGTTTTACTTTTTTTGTAAGTATCTTTTACCTTAACTTTGGAGATTTATGGCTATATGAGTATATCAGAATATTTTCTAGGTCCAACGATTCTTTGCACAGCAAGGGAAGCACCCCACCTTCAGCTTGTTGATGGCCAAGAGCTGTGAATGTAGGAAACTGTCATGAGTCAAATTCAATTTCAGAATTTAAATTTTCTTTGAGGTTAAACTTATTTGGCCTTCTGGATAGCAGCTGGATCAGGGAGTCTCTCAGCCCAGTATTTGATGTATTTGTAGTTGCTGTTTACTTACCATCTCTTTGACATAGGAATTTTCTCAGAACTGAATGTGAAAGGGAAGTGAAGCCCTACTTCTCTGTTGTCTTTCCAAAACTCCCCAGTCCACTGATGGAGGCATCTACAACTCAATTAGAATTTCCCAGAGCAACACAAGCACTCAATCCCAAAGATAAATCTCAAACGTTCTAAAGGTATCCCAGCACTTTGAAAACCAAGTTAGTGATTTCCCAGGGAAGGGTTTGACTGGTGGTGATTATAGAAATAAATCTGCACTTCATTTTTAGCCCAGTGGCCCATTACAGCTCGCTTCAGAGTCGAAGCTCCCAAGAATAACGAGAGTCATTTTATGGGAATGAGAGATTATAAATCACCGACTTTGTCAGTTCAGTGTTTTCCTCCAGCGTTCTTTTCTCTGAGAGTTGTGCATTCAGCAACCCTGGAGACCACACCTTTGAGAAGCCTCACCTGTTCTTTGTTTGGTTTTGATGGAAGGCTTTATTTGGTCCTGGCTGCTTCCCAGGGCCACCTGTTAGTCCCACATAGAGAGGTGATTGAGAGAAAGCATTCGTTTTTTAATGTGAATGTAGTTTCAGAAGGTTTGACTCATGTTTCCTAAGTGTTGCTTCTATGCTCACCAAAAACAGAATATTGCTTTGAAATGCAAACCCCCAGTAAGCAGAGGATTAAGAAAAGATGTGTTGCAGGGTCTGTAGCACTCTGACGGAGGAGTGTGTCCAAAGTTCTCCTTCACAAGACACCATCACAAGGATGTCACCCGAAGTGGCAAACTGAACCATCCCGAATCTGGGAGACACTCATGAAAGTGAGTGGCTCATAAGGGTCTGTGTTCTCCAAGCTGGGTGCTTGTGAAAAGAAAAAAAATAAAATTTCTATTTCTACTTTTTTTTTTTTTTTTTTGAGGCGGAGTCTCGCTCTGTCGCCCAGGCTGGAGTGCAGTGGAGTGATCTCGGCTCACTGCAACTTCTGCCTCCCAGGTTCAAATGATTCTCCTGCCTCAGCCTCCCGAGTAGCTGGGACTACAGGTGCATGCCACCATGCCTGGCTAATGTTTTGTATTTTTAGTACAGACAGGGTTTCACCGTGTTAGCCAGGATGGTCTCAATCTCCTGACCTTGTGATCCGCCCACCTCGGCTTCTCAAAGTGCTGGGATTACAGGTGCTATTCCTACTTTTATCTCCTTTTGGTATCTGTTTAAATGTATACCATGTTTTAGGACAGTCTTATATATACGAAATTCTATATATAGTGTGTGCTTTAATTTTTTTTTTTCCCATAGGATGCATAATCAGAAAATTTTGGAAACAACTAATTAGTGCTGGGTCATCTTTCTTCATGAGAATTAGTTCACAAGATTCACTATTAATGCAACTCCTCATTTTAGCCATTTGTTTTATATCTTTAGTCCTAAATATTATTTTACCAGCTAAACAGACTGAAAGCTTTGAGGGATAGAAGGGAGGGTGAGGCTGGGACACGAGGGAGGGAGGTAGAGAGAGTGGAAAGAGAAGTGGGGGAGACTGTGGGCAGGCAGCATGGAGCCCATGATGTCTAAGTTCCCTTTCAGCCTTGTGATTCAGTGACCCCAGGTTTTATCTCCTTTTGCTAGCCATCACTGCGTGCAGGTGCCGAAAGGTTGTGAAATGGCTGAAAGGGCCGGGCATGGTGGCTCACGCCTGCAATCCCAGCACTTTGGGAGGTGGAGGCGGGCGGATCACTTGAGATCAGGAGTTTGAGACCAGCCTGGCCTACATGGAGAAACCCCGTCTCTACTGAAAATACAAAATTAGCAGGGCATGGTGGTGCATGCCTGTAATCCCAGCTACCTAGGGGGCTGAGGCAGGAGAATGGCTTGAACTCAGGAGGCGGAGGTTGCAGTGAGCTGAGATTGTGCCATTGCACTCCAGCCTGGGCAACGAACGAAACTCCATCTCAAAAAATAAAGGCCAAAAGGTATTACACACTCTTGAAAGGCCCTGGACAGGGTTAAGTTCCAAACCACCATTAGCACTCCCAAAATAGAGAGCTGACTGTAAAAAATAAGGCAAGGATGACAATTATTAGTGAATAACCACTTATTCACTAATTTAGCATGAGGCAGATGCTAAAGTGATAAATACACCAATTAGGCTGTTTTAAAAACAGTTCACTGGGAGGCAGAGGAGAGGTGGATCACCTGAGGTCAGGAATTCGAGACCAGCCTGGGCAACATGGCAAAACCCCGTCTCTACTAAAAATACAAAAATTAGCTGGGCGTGGTGGTGGGTACCTGTAATCCCAGGTACTCGGGAGGCTGAGGCAGGAGAATTGCTTGAGCTGAGGCGGAGGTTGCAGTGAGCCGAGATCACGTCATTGCACTCCAGCCTGGGCGACAGGAGCGAAACTCCGTCTCAAAACAACAACAACAAAAACAGTTCACAGGCACATTCATCAGCCTGAGCAGTTCTGCCTGCCTCGATTCCCTTCTCTGTTGTGTTGGTACCTGTGTTAGAGTGGGGTAGATGCTGATGGCTACCTATTCTTGGATTTACTGAAATATAAACCGTGTAAGTATTTTTCATCTAGATTTGTCTGGGCATATCAAAAAGGCATAATTAGTTGAAATTATTATTACTTTTTGGTTCCTCTATTCTTCTGACAATTTGCATACCAAACAAATTATACTGGGTGTTGAGAGGTGAAATTAGCATTCTTCTGTGGTTACCAATAGGAGGCAAGTGTTAGATCCCTCATTTTAAAGATTTGACTGGTGCCGAAATGAACATGTATTAATACGGCAAGAATAGGGGATAAGTATGTTATGCCATTGGGACGGCATGACAATTCATTTATCACCATTTATGAACTATGGGTGCATACACTGTCACAAATGAAGATGGATGTATTATCTCTTGAGGTCCCCGATGCACAGAAGTAATGTGTGTGGGCATATGTGATTTTAATATATATTAACTTGCAAATAACTCTGTGATGTGTGCAAGCCATTGCATGTGACAGGAGAGGGTGCTTATTAGTCAATACATGGCTTAGATGTAAGAGACCCAGCTGGAATTATATGCTGACTGATCAAGGCTATGCTCATCAACCTGTTACCTTCATTATTTTTAAAACATTATTTTATCAGGGATTTCTATTTAGATAAGGAAACTAAAATAAAGAAACACTGTGTTTAACGTAAGACAAAATGTTGTGGCTCAAGAAACCTGAGTAATGATCCTAGCCCTAGAAATGCCACAATTCCACGTATTGTGATTGTGTTTGAAGAGCAAGATGATCTTTGCTGAGAAGAATTACCAGAGAGAGGTCTTTTGCTAAAGCTCATAGTTGAATAAACTCCAACTACGCTGTCCCTGATCTATTTGAGGGCCTGGTTGTTTGGACCAGTACTTATTACTTGGAATTCCCAGTCAGAGCTGACTTGTTGAGATAGCATTCTGTAAGGAGGCTACTTCCATGTTTCTACCCATTGTGGGTCCCCAGTGATGACTGTACCATTTAGACAGTGTCAACTTATTTTAATTTCTTCATTGATTCCTGGAAAGGTCTTGGAACTAGGAGCTTTATGGAGAATATGAATAAATTTATTAAGAATGACCAGGCCGGGCGCGGTGGCTCACGCCTGTAATCCCAGCACTTTGGGAGGCCGAGGCGGGTGGATCATGAGGTCAGGAGATCGAGACCATCCTGGCTAACAAGGTGAAACCCCGTCTCTACTAAAAATACAAAAAATTAGCCGGGCGCGGTGGCGGGCGCCTGTAGTCCCAGCTACTCAGGAGGCTGAGGCAGGAGAATGGCGTGAACCCGGGAAGCGGAGCTTGCAGTGAGCCGAGATTGCGCCACTGCAGTCCGCAGTCCGGCCTGGGCGACAGAGCGAGACTCCGTCTCAAAAAAAAAAAAAAAAAAAAAAAAAAAAGGAATGACCAAGCTACCTTCAGTAGTGAGAATGATTGCATGGCCTAATGTGTCTTATGTTTTAAGATACTAGAATTATTTATTTATCAAAATAGCACTTTGTTATAGTAAAAATATGGAGCATCCACTGTGTTCTAGGCCTTCTGGTAAATGCTTGATGCTTTTATCTCATGTATACCACAATAATCCTGTGAGGCAGCTAAAATCATTATTCCCATGTAATAGACGAGGGTCACTTGGCCCAAGTATCACAGCAGAGATAGGGTTCTAACTCAGTGAGACTCTGACTACAGAAGAGAGAATGTTCTGACGGCCACCTCTGTCCTTCTCACTAAGGGACCAGTGATAACCCTCAACATGTGTAGCTAAGCAAATAGCCCTAGTGCTGGTCTGATATGGAGTATCTTCTAGGACGCTCCTCCTGTCATAATCCCGTGAAGCTGGTACTGCTCAGGTGATTTCTTGCTTCAGTACATTCATGACTCCATCTTGGTCTCTTCTTTGTTTATATGCTTTCCTCACATGCAGTCTTAGGGTGTCACCAGGCTGGTTAGCTGAGAAATAACTGGACAGTGCTTGTATTTGTGGTATTTTGGGGGGACCTGCATCTAGCTCTCATGGGCACCTTCTCTTTCTGGGTGTTGTTTATGTGGAAGAAACCTTCCAGCCTCTTTGCCAGGCTATGGCTCTTCTTGCATAAAATCTTAACCGAAATCAGATCTTCTCATCATTGCAAACACCCTTGTCTTCCAAAATAAGCTATTGTAGCTCAAGGACACTAATGTTTAATCACTTATACTCAATGTTATGTGAATTTCACTTATATCATGTATGTGTTTCAGGTTCCTATATTTATTAGGTAGATAGTCATCTTTTTTATGTCTGTAAAACATAAATAGTCTCCCTACCTACAATTTTTTCCAAATGAAAAACTGGAATGTTACCTGACCTGGTTTAAAAGTGGAACAGAATATCTGAAATTATGACTAGCCAGGAAATGCGAGGGTTGTATAGTCATACAAATAGAAGAGGGGCACTGGACCTGGGAGGGGATCCTGTTTCCAGTCTTCGTTGTACCACTAGCTCATTCTAAGATCTTGGCTGGGTCACTTAATGTCCCTGGCCTTCATACTCTCTTCTGTGAAATGAGGATAATCCATGCGTGAACTATTCCCCCAGGTTGTGGTGGTGCAAATGACACTATGCACTCAGTTGTGAATTTGTCAGCCATTTATTGAGCATCTTTTATGTGTTGAACACTGTGCTGGACTCTGGAGATACAAGATGAGTAAGATACGTTCCCATTCCCTGACCTGAAAAACAGTTCCAGTTCTTCCTCATAAGATGTTTGCAGTCTTGGGCACAGAAAATTGCATACCATAGAAAAGCACTTTGTAAAATCTAAAGTTCTGATCAAGATGATCTGTGAAGAAAGATTTCTGTGGTCAAATAAGTTTGGGAAATGCTGTGCACCCTATCTTCAGGAACATCCTTGGAAATTCACAATGAACATTAGATATGAAAAGCTCTGTTAAGTCTTACAGCACAGAAGCATGTTTAACTCTTTAGCCTAATCTGTTCAGGGCTTAAAGAAAAAAATTTTTTTTATTGTGCATCACCTACTGACACCTGAAGTAAAACCTCACTTGAGAAACTCTCTATTAGTGAATATTAAGTGAATATTTAGTTGTCCCCATAACACCTTGTACACACTTCCATTATTGTACTCATCCATTGGATTACATTGCTTGCTTACATGTCAATATGTTCCTGACTAATCCATGGGCACCTCAGATAGTATTTGTGCCTATTCATATTTGTACCTGCAGGACTTGGGTGGAAGGGGTGTCCCTGGCCATTAGTAGGCATTCAACATTCAACAAATGCTTGTTGAATGAATGTATAGAATTATACAGTCAAACTGTACAAATGGGAGTGATTTGCCCGAAATGAGAGGATCCCAGAAGGCATTGATGAAACATCCTTAAACTGCTTTGTACAATGTCCAACTTATTTTTATGACCTTAAATTTTTTTTTAATTTTAAGGATAGAGGCGTAAGAACTATGTCTTAATTTGGAAATAGAGTAACTTTCAATGAGAAAACAATGATTTCCTGTGTTTAAAAACTGTTTATTGAGTTCCAACATTTTGAACAAATTTACCAGGGAAGAAAAAAGACACTATCTGTTTAAGAGCCCCAAATGGATACTGCTAAAGATGTAATATAGATTTGCCCTGCTATAGGAGCCTAAGGTTATGGAAAAATTGTAACCAGTAGATTAAGCATTTATTAGAATGGAAGTCAGGCTAGATGGATGAATGTTTCCATGGCAGGATATTTCTGATAGGGGACCATTGACAGAGAAGAAAAGGACATGGGGGCTCCATGTTGGTTGAGTTTTAGCCTCAGCCAGGGAGTTAATGTAGAGGGCTTGTTACTGCTCCAACAGTTGAGAGGCAAGATGAAACGCTAAGTATAGCAACTTGGATGATAAAGGCTTTTCACACTTAGTGGCCAGTTACCAGTAAGTCTCCTCCCTAGGGCTCTTGGTGGGGCCAGCAGGTAAAATGGCAGGCTGTGGCTTCCCTCCTATGTTCCATCAGTGAGGAAGTAGGGTACAATAAACCCAGATTGAGTAACAGAACAATTGAGCACAGTTGGAGCAGTGAAGCTAGTGCTTAGAAAGTTCTCTTTCCAGTCTTAAAAACATGGCTTTCATACTTAATGTGTTCACTGTAAACACTCTAGGTAAAATAATTACAATCACATTAAAGAGAGTTCCCATTTAGAAGTAAATATTTTTTGGTAGCTATTTTGCATACATTTACATATGCACACATACATACTACTTTTAATAATCCTATTTTTCAATTTAACAGTATAGACATGTTTCTGAATCATTTGATAGTTGGATAGTTTTAATAACAGCCTAGTGTTCTATTTCATGTATGCATCATAATTTAACCAATCCCTATTATTGAATATCTATGTTATTTTTAATTTTTACTATTATAAACAATACTGGAATGGACTTTCTTCTACTTAACTCTTCTTGCATTTTCATGATTATTTACTTTGGATTAATTTCAGAAAATGGAAGTTTTGGTTCAAAGGTAATGATTTTGATACATATTGTCAAATTGACCTTTAGAAATGTTGAACCAATTTTTATAACTGCTTCCTAGAAAAAAGTCAATACTATTTATCATTGAAAACATTTGCCAGCTTGATAGACAAAATGGTATTTCCTTGTCTTAATTTGCATTCATTGATTTTCTTTGAGGTTGATTTTTTAAATGTTGGAAAAAATCATTTATAACATGTTTATTATTGGCCACTTATATTTCTATTGATTTTGTGTCCTTTGCCCACTTTTCTTTTGGGGTGTTCATCTTTTTTATTGACTTGTAAGAGCTCTTTATATAGTATCACTGTCACATTCTAAATAATTTAATTCTTTAGAAGATCTTAAATAATATCTCATCAATACTTATTTTGTATTTTCAGTTTAACTTAATAGGAAGAGTTGCAATGTGGTTTTGGTTTTTAACCTTTAGCTTTTTTGTGTTGAGGTCAGCAACCTGAATATCTGGCATGGTAAGGAAGCTGCTTCATTTGCTTTGTAGCAGCCTGAACTAGCAGAAAGCTTAGGTTCCTCAGAGGTAACTGACAGTGATGAGATGGTATGTTCTTCTGGGTTGCCAAATCATTTAACCTTATCCGGGGACAGTGTTTTCCATTGTATCAAATTCTTCCTTTGTTCATATTTTCTGATAAGGACAAGTTTTAGAGTTCAGACTATCCTTAGGAATTGACATGTTGTCTTCTTTCAGAATAAAGGCCAGGACAAATATAAACTTTTCAGCTCTGCAGGTTAGCTGATTCTATTCAGCATGGATTCTTGCTAGTAGTAAAAATATTTTATATAAGCAATAGACAGGCCCTACTGGTTCTTCCAATATTAAAGGTTTTAAGCATACTAGTCAGACAGTTCCAACACTGTAATTCAGGCACCCAGTTTTCCACAGTTTTTTCTTTTCCCAGAATTTTGATGATTATAAACATTTTGCCAACTTTGTTTTATCCAACTTCTTTACTTTTTAAAAAGTAAATCCCTGATACCATTTTATCTCACCTGTAGATACTTTAGTATGCATCTTTAACTGATAGAAACCTTTCAAAATGTAACCAGCAAATATTATACCTAACACAAATAATAACTTTATATCATTTAAGTCTGTTATATCCATTTTTTTTCAGTTTTCTCAAAGATGTTGTTTTACATTTGATTTATTCAACTCAGATTTCATAAAAGGCCCACTCATTGTATTTGCCTGTTGTGTCTCTTACAGCTTTTTTTATTCTAAAGCAGCTCCCCTCCCTGGTTTCTTTTCATGCTATTTATTTTTTTGGGAAACTGGGTCATTTGTCTTTGGAATGTCCCAATTTTTAGATTGTGATATTTAACTTCCTCCTCTATTCCTCGTAGTTAGAACTAGAGGGTTGATTAGATTTAGGTTCAATATTTTTAGGCAAGACTATTTCTTAAGTGATGTGTGCACTTCTCTTTGCATTACATAATGAGACACCTCATGTCTGATTGTCCCATCTTTAATGTTATTGTGATTGGTGAGTTCAGGAGTTGTCAACATAATCCCTCCATCATTAAGTTCCCCACAGTCTTTTCATCTAATTGTTTTGGCACTCCTTGATATATGTTGTCTAAATTCATTATTTCATTAAGTGTTGCAAAATGGTGATTTTTTAATCCTATTATTTCATATGCAGTTATTACATGAAATTATTTTTAAAGAACTTATCAGCTATTTGGTTATGTAGGAATACAGTTCATGCAGGAAAGGCAAAATATATGCTTCATTCTTTTCCATTATTTGTCAAATTTCAGTAATGAGTTGGTGGCCTTAGCAACCTCTAGTAGTGGCCAGTGAGTCTTTCTGTTTTTAGTACCAGTATGAACTCACGGATTTTTATGTATTCGATATGTTTAAGTCCATTGCTATCATTATTCTTTTTGATGTTCACATTGTCCCATCTCAGGCCAGAAGGGGCGGTTCAAGTCGGTTCTCATATCCTTCTCACATGACCCCATTAGTCTTTGATGTCCTATATATTTTTAATATAACAACCTCATGCTTAACATCACGATTACTCCCTAATGTAAGAACTGAAGTTATTCTATGTCACTGAATCTGGACTCTTTGGAAGGGCGCTAAGCTTTACTTTCCTTAGAATTTAATTCTTCTCAGACTCAAATGTAACACTGAAAAATGAATTCAGGTACCAAGCAGGCACTCAATCAATGTGTATAGTTGAATTAAATTGTGCTTTGTAGAGCCATGTGTTTCTCATGCTAATGTAAACGATATATGGACCCAGGGTAATTTAGCTCATTTCTATGAACTTCTCCAAACCCACACAAATTGTATCTTTAGAAAGGAGCTTAAACACACACCTAGCAAGCTTAAAAAATATCTTTGTGCAATTGTTTCTGTCATTTGGTGTATTAGCATTCTTCTCACAGTGCTTTGCTTATATAAATTTAACAAGATGAAAGGTTGATCCTGAGAGAAGTCTTTGGACAGATTCGTTACCTTAGCAACCTTGCCCCAGACTTCAACGGCCCTGACCCAGCTACAAAGTCCTTCACTGGTTAACAAGACACTCTTAATGACAGCTGGCTGAAGCTCAGGCCTGCTGATAAAATGACTTGTTATCTGGACAGTAACCTTTGGGAGAATATTATCTTTATCAAATTTCTAAAAGAATCCAAACACTGAGTGAGGTTCCACTAATAACTATATTCATAAGGCCATCATGCTTAAGTGCTTCGGGGAAAGCATTAGTAACAGGAAATTAAGTGTTACAGAATAATTGCTAACCTCACTGCATAAAATAGAAGCTGGCCACCCGGTGATTTTGTGTTGGTAGCAGTCATTAGATGCTACTGTCCTGTATACTTGAAAAATTGTTTGTATAAGAAAATATTGTCTCTGCCTCATTAGTCCCAACATTTAATTGTACTGGGAAAATCGGAATGCCCTTTTGAGGTTCAAATTACATCTATAACTTTGTTGTCTATGTGGTTCAAAGGTTAAGAAAAGAAATCAATTTCTACCTGAGCAAAGACTTTAAATTCTGATAGCAATGTTCTTATAGCTGTTACTTCTAGAAAGGTCTGTATGAATAAAATCACAATTATTTATTTATTCACTGTCTACTATTTATCAGGTACAGTACTAGGCAGCAGGAGTGATACCTAATGACTAAAAGTCAGTTTTTGCCTTTAACCCAGTTTTTGCCTTATAGCATGGCAGCGAGTGTTCAGTTCAATGTCATCCAACATATAGCTATTGAGCACTTTGGGTTTTAAACCCATTGGTAACCCACAGATATTTCCTGACACATACCCAGATGATCATAGCACTTGTTTATAGCTGGTATCCATTCTGATTAGTTGGTGTCCATGTTGTGTAATTAACAAAGGTATGAAAATAGATTCTTTTACACATTCAATCATTGGATTGGTGATTGGGCTATATTTCTAAGACATTTAGATGCTTTTACCTTGACTCAGCAAATTTTACTTTGTAAATGAACCAAAGATCCACCACTAAAAAAAAAAATCTATGAATGTAGGAAGACTGCTGTTGCCTTAGTGCAAAATAAGAAAACATTTCTACGTATCTAGAAATGAAATTGTAGATATAATAAGCTCTGTTTGATGTGTATTAGCAAAGATAACTGCTTAAAAGACCCTTGGTGTTTTAGGTTTTATTGATAGTTCAAGTTAGATCCTATTGTGAATTGCATGTTTGTGTTCTCCAAATTCATATATTGAAGTCCTAAAATACCCAATGTGTTAGGGGTGAGGCCTTTGAAAGGTAGTTAGGTGTAGAGGAGGTCATGAGGGTGGAGCCCCCTTGATGGGATTAGTGCCCTTATAAAAAGAAGAAGAAGAGACATCAGACCCTCCTTTCCCCACCATGTGAGGATACACCAAGTAGGCAGCCATCTACCAGTCAGAAAGTGCACCCTCACCAAGAATGGAATCTGCTGACACCTTGATCTTGGACTTTCCAGTCCCCAGGACTGTGAGAACTAAGCTACCCAATCTATGGTATTTTGTTAGTAACAGCTTGAGCTGACTAAGACAGATCCCTACAGTTTACATAGCTGGAGTTTGTTAGTATAGGTCAGCAACCCCTCTTCATCAAAGTAATTCCACTGTATCACTTACTGTTGATAAAACTTAGCACATTTGGGAAGCCCTTGTATGTGCCACTGTGCTGGGAACTTGGTTTCTGTAATAAGTTACAGACCCTATTCTAGCAGAAAACAAAAGAATAGATGGTTTTATAAATATAGCAAAGATGGATGACAATACTAAGATTTAAGATTTTATTAAGGGTTGAAGCAAGAAATAGTTATAAAAATTTTACCTTTATTTTTTGAGTAAAAGGAAGCATTTTCATTTTAGGAAACATTGTGTCTTATAATAAGCCGTATCCATGAAATAAGGGCAAAAGTAATATATTTCTTTAATTTTTTTAAATTGGTGTCTGGAAGAACTGGCATATATTGCTTTTTTTTTTTTTTTTTTTTTCCAAAAAAGCTCTTAGTCATGTAATTTATTTATATCAATATTTCTTTTGAGTGCCAAGCAGCCCAGAGATAAAATTCAAAGCTCAATGTCTGATTTACAGTTAGGAACCTACATAAGTCTTGCACTAATTGCAAACCTCATGTGTCCCCCTGGAACTGCCCTTTGTCTTCATCAGTTTGGGCTGCTGTAACAGATTACCATAGACTTGGTAGTTTAAACAACGAACACTTGTTTCTCACAGTTCTGGAGGCTAGAAGATGGAGATCAGGGTGCCAGCATGGTTAGGTTATTGCTGAGGACCCTCTTCCTGGTTTACAGATGGTTGTTTTCTTGCTGTCTCTTCACATGGCAGAGGACACTAAACTCATTATGGGGGCTTCACCTTCATGACCTCATATTAATCTAATTACCTCCCAAAGGCCCAACCTCCTAATACCATCCCAATGGAGTGGGAGGTTAGAGTTTCAATATATTAATTTTTGGGAGGACATACCCATGCATCTCATAATACACTTCCCCATCCAGAAAGAGGTTCAGAAATGTAGGACCACAAATGGGGTCTTTAAAAATTACCACCAATGGGGCTGCCTTTCTGGGTACCTTCTTGGGTCCCAATAAATTTTCTTGATTTGTTACTAGACTGCATTCACCTTCTTTTCTTTCTACCAAGCTGACCATATCTGCTTAGGAGATTTAAAGAATTGTGTTATATTTTTAAACTCTGTCTCATCAGTCTCTCTCAATTGTTCTAAAATTAACAGTGGCTTCTAAGAGTCCACCTTATCCTGCACATCTGGCCAAACATCTCAAAATAATTAGGCCCTAAATTCTTGGTGCAAATATTTTTGCACAAAAATTCCCGCATGCAGCAGGTATAAATCCCAGTCCACTGTTCAGGTGGGCAAGAAAGAGAACTGTCTTTATTTCCCTAGAACAACTTAATTATAGTGCAAGTCCCCATTGACAAGGTGGTAGAAACTCAGTATCAGTGAATATATCATCACTGCCTAGATTCTGGGGTGTTTCACATAACAGCACCATATCTAGGGAGTCTTCGGTCTTTAATTTTATCTGTAGACAAAAGAGCCCAGTGAGATGTCTGTTGTTGGATGAGGACATGGTCCACCCCTTTGCTGCTGAGATGTCCCTTGTTTCTATCCATCTGACTCTTTCAGGCTGCTTGCTCTATTAGCTAGAACCTTGTTTGGACACAACAGTCATTTTTCTGCTTCTGGGCCATGTTAGGTTTCGGAATTCTGGAAGCTGCTCATTGCCCTGTCTGCCTGTGTTTGCTCTGCAGCCATTAACTTCCATTAGAAAGATCAGCAAAGGAGCCTGCTGGTAACATCTCCTAAGGTCTCATAACTTCCTTCAGCAAGCCTTTCTTTCTTCAGGAAGTTGTTTTTTTCTAACTTAACCAACCCCACCTCCTCTCTTTAATTCGAGTTTGTTTACTTTGTTTTCATTTTCTAAGAAAACAGTGCCAGCCTACACCATTTATTTGTGGCTGAGTTTTCAGAGGTTTTCCCCTTATATTATGTCTGCAAAAGTTATTTTCCTTTTAAAAGTTTGCCAACGTGGCTAAATAGTCCATTAAATGAATTCATGAATAACATGAATCATGATTTGAACACTTTCGCCCATGCTTAAACAAATTCCTCATTCCAGAACTCTTTATAAGATTTGGAAATATTAATATGAGTTTTGTGGGAATTAAAGAAATAAAAATGGTTTGCTTCTACTCTTCTGGAGTTTTAGTGTAATTTTGTTTACTGGAACTGCTTAATCTTATTTGTTTTATTAGATCATTTGTTACTGCTCTATGAGATTCCAATAAACTCTTTAATAAACATCAAAACTTGAGAGCTCATCACTCCCAGTTATCTCTCCATAAATACTTGTTAACCCCATCCTGCTATCACTTTTGTGCAAAGCAGATCACCTAGACATTAATTCTTGATTTCTTTTTCTTAAGTGTAGTAATAGGCTTTATTTGAAGAAACCAATTATAATGCAACTCAATACAATACCACTAATCAAATTACCCCTTCCAAGGATGGCAGTTGGGAATATTTATTATGGAAATATCTGTGTTTAGAGTGATTTCTAAAATCAAAGTGCCATAAACATAACTAAGAATTATAAAGACTGTCTCTGTCAGGAACACCTCTTGAGGTAGGAAAAGACAAGATTCCAAATAAGAGAATTCTAGCCCTTTCTTAGGACTAAATCATACCTTAATTGTGAGAATGCAGTATTTTTTCTGGTCAAAAATTATGCTTACTGAACGCATGACTGGTTAAGTTAGGCAGAATTTTGCCAGCTCCAAATAATTATAAATTTAGCTTGGGAATCTGCTCTAAGGCATCTAAGTATATTACAATAGTTTCCCTTGAGTTAGAAAAAGGTTGTGGAACTTGGGAATACACAAAGTAAAAATGTACATCTTTGATTTCTTTCTCTGCTCTACTCCTTATAAATCCAAGTGACTACCAAGTCCTACTACTTTGCCTCCTAAATACTGTTTCCCTCTCCCTTCATTACCTCATTGGAGCCCATTACCAGGTCTTGCCTGGCTAATAGCAATGTAGCTCCCCAGCTGGCCACCCTACTTTAGGTTTGTCCCTCTTAAAGCCTATATCTTATAGGCTTTATAGCTTATAGAATGACCGGCTCCCCTATAACTTTTGTGTAAAGTCTGAGATCCATTTCATGTGCTACAAAGACTTCAAGATAGTGTCCTAGCAGAACACTTCTTGGGTCATATCTCTGATCCAGACTATGCTGTAGCAACCATTCCCTATTCACCTCAAGATTTTACTCACTTCCACTCATTTACCTTCATACATAAAATGGTGCTTACTTCATGTGTGTTGGGTGCTTGGAAACTCCAAAAGGAGGAAAGTTAACATTCTATGGTCCTGAACCCAAGGAGCAGAAAGGTGAAGCAGAACACTGTGCTTTGCTGCTGGGTTATATCCAAGTCCAAATCCCATCTCTTCTTCTTACAGCCATATGATTTTTTGGGGGACTATGCTGCCGGTTTATACCCAGGTGCAAATCTCATCTCTTTTTCTTATAGCCATATTATTTTTTTCAGCATGGGCAAGTATACTACCTTTTCATTGGTTAAAATGAGGGTAAAATCTAGCTTGCTCCTGGCATGTAGCAAAAACTTGAGAAATGTTAGTTTCCTTTCTTTTTAAAATATGCCATCAAATTCCTTCAAATTCTAGCATTTAAGAGAGCAGCCAACTCTACTTACAAGTGCCTCAACTCACAGTTTCAGCTGATGACTTTGCTGGGACTGCCCCACGTGCCTATCTTAACAACAGAACACAGAAACATAAATCTTGAAACTCATTCCATAGAGGATGAAATACTAAATGTTTATTGTCTATGAGTAACATTTTGCTAGAATTTTTCTACCAGATTTCTCCTAGAAATGACGCAATGGAAAAAAGGACACTGGATATGGACTTCCTGAAGGATGGGAGTAAAGGGAGAAAATTGCGAAGTCCAATGTATGGGGTACCCCTGCAGAAGGGTGACAAAAGTGTATGAGAAAGCACTGAAAGTGTGTATGGCAGCACTCATATATCTGACCTACTTTACAAATTTGCCTAGGGCCAGCTTTTTCAGAGAGATTCAGGAAGGATGACTAACTTGGTGTCAGCAGCTCAGAAATGAAAAATTGGTGAAGTCCGGCCTGATGAAGTAACTGCTTGAGTTAGTGCTTGGCCACTGTCCCTAACTAGAGCCAGGCCTCATGATGAGAAAGTAAAGAGGAAGAGAAGCAGATGGGAGAATCAGGAGCAGATGCAAGTTATTTAAAAGTAATACAATAATTCAGCCGGAATGGAGTGGAGATTCAGGAACTTATTGGGTATGACATTTGGATAAATTAAACTGAACAGAACATCTAGGAAATACCAGATAGGAAAAGGAAAATAAGGGTGAAAGTTGGCAGGCGAGGGAAGGAAAAGTAGATGAAAAAAAGAGTTTAGGGCAAAGGGAAAGCTGTTCACATTTACTATGTATGCTTAACATCCAGATTTTCATTTTTAAATAAAAAATTCAATCATACATATTTGTAAACAACTAGAAATTTAGGACCAGGTAGCTAAAACACTGTCTGATTTACTGATTTTCTTCCTTTTTACCTTTTTGTGGCACATGTACAAATATAGACACAAAGGCATACATTCACACAGAGACACACACACTTATGAACACACACACATGCATACACGGACACATACACACAACTGCCTCGCTTTTCCTCGTCATGATTTTGTGAGATAAATTTTCAGATTTAGATTGGTTCACTGCAAAGGCAACAAAAACCTTATAAAATGTAAGTGTTCCCAGTCAAGAGAGATCATTTCTTCTTCTAATTGTTCATTCTTGATCTGTAGCTGCTCTAGATGTTCTGAGGTAATCGGGGTAGCATTATAGATGGATGCAAGAGGCAGGCACTGCCTGTGGGAAGACAGGCGGGTGAAAGATAAATTAAATGAGTATGAGCTCCAGGGAAAGAGTGTGAGTAAGCGGCTGGATCTGAAACACCAAAATGCCTATTAAATAGAGATGGGAACAACTATTTGTCAAAATTTCTAATATTGATTGTTGATCTTTCTGTCTGAGAATCATACTGTGACCACTCTTACTGATTTATCGAAGAGGTATCTTGCTCTAGAGATCTTTAAGGAGTTTGGGCTTGCTTCATCTAAATCAACATTAACAAACTTCAGGTGCAATTCTGAATTTCACTTACTAGTAAGCTGGTTTCAAGATAGAGACAGAGTTAATTTGTCAACTTTGGCTTCCTACAGGGTGATGCTCTCACTCATGCCTTCAGAGTAAATTTGACTGGGTCTATTGGACATTGAACCAGAATTCTGATTAAAGGAACCTGTTTTCTCGGCATTTCTATGTTCACCAAGACACATTTTTATATATGTTCCTGTGTAAATGTCATTATTTTTCATCTTCAAAGGTATTACACTTTGGAGACCAAAAAGAAAAAAAACAAATCAGGCCCTGATCCAGCCTTTTTTTTTTTTTTTTCCTCTCTCCAAATGTAATGTACTCTTTGGCACCTGTCTGCCACTTCCATGGAAGCGTGGCTGCGGTACTTTCCCTTTTCATTTCCTTGCTCGTAGGTCAGGCTGAAAAATAAAGACTAAGATGACAATAAAAGCTCCTGTGGAAATAAAACAAAAGGGAGACAACATGAAAAGGACTTAAAAATAAAAGGATACAAAAACACAGTGCATAAAGGATGAGGGAGTTGAAAGGATTATGGAATTAAGGAAAATGTGATAATGTAACCCTAAAAGAAGAAATGTTTCAAATAAAAAGTCAGAGGGAAGTAGATTACAAAGGAAAAAAATTATTGGTGAGGAAAGGATTTTTTTAAAAAGCGAGTTTCATCACCTAAGAAGATTTTTCAGGCAAACCTGTTACATTTTACTATAATTATGAGACAAAGTTTATAACTAAACCAAGACACTATAAAATAAACAATAGAGAAGGCAAAACACATTTTCTGTTTTCTCTTCAGAAAGTGTGAATTTGGAACTAGCTCCCAATTCAGCTTTAACGGATGCTGTAACATTAATGGATGCTGACCATTTAGTGAAGAAGTGAATCTACTGTCTATTCCACAGAATAAAGCTGTCTTTCCAGAGCAATGTAAACAATCAACCATGAATGTGTTTTATAACAACCATGTGGGTTATGGAAAGTGAACAGAACTTAGCACTGAAGTTGCATAAACTTTAGCAGGTTTTTTATCTGTGAGTTAGAGATATTGACATTTTCTCGAAATCTCCATATATGAACCACACTGTGCTTATGATAGAATGTGATTAGCTATAAAGAACCAGACATATATAAGATAATGGTGTATTGTAGTATGCATAAGTCCACTGATAATTCCAATTTCAGGACACTGAATAGTAGAATTTATGGTTAGGATAAGAGAGTCTGATGGAATTTTGTTGTGAGGTGATAATATCAGAACTACTTGGAATGTTGAAATTTATCAGTCATCGGAATTTTCCTCCCATGAATTAGGGAAACATGTATATGGTTCAAAATTCAACATATACAAAAGGATAATTAGTAAAATGTTCATGAGCTGATTTCCCCACCACCTTTTTTTTTTTTTTTTTTTTTTTTTTTTTTTTTTCAAAGACAGCGTCTCACTCCATCACCCAGGCTGGGGTGCAGTGGCACGATCTCGGCTCACTGCAACCTCCGCCTCCTGGGCTCGAGCAATTCTCCTGCCTTAGCCTTCCAAGTAGTTGGGATTACAGGTGCCTGCCACAATACTTGGCTAAGTTTTTTTTATTTTTAGTAGGGATGGGGTTTCATCATGTTGGCCAGGCTGGTCTCAAACTTCTGACCTCAAGTGATCCAGCTGCCTTGGCCTCCCAAAGGGCTGGGGTTACAGGTGTGAGCCACCGTGCCTTGTCAATTTTCCCCTTTTTGATTGATTGATTGATTGAGTCATTTGACACATTTATTTATTGCATCTACTATGTTTATGGCAACTCTTCTGGTGTTAGGGGCACTGCAGTCCTTACTCTGGAAGGTTTCATTTCCCAGAAGCAACTGTTGATACCTGTTTCTTGTGTATCATTCTAGATATTGCATATATCTACCAATACACAAACATATACATCCTCTAAAAATGTTATGCACTGAATGCTTATGTCTCTCCCAAATTTATATGTTGGAATCCTAACCTCCAACATGATGATATTAGGCGGCAGGGCCTTTAGAAGGCAATTAGGTCATGCAGGTGGGGCCCTCAAGAATGGAATTAGTGCCCTTATAATGAGACACATGAGAGCTTGCTTTCTCTCTCTGCTTTGCCATGGGAGCATGCAACCAGAAGATGGCCATCTGTAAACCAGGAAGTGGGCCCTGGTTAACAAGATACTGGATCTGCCTGCACCTTGCCCTTGAACTTCTTAGCCTCCAGAACTGCGAGAAATAAATGTTTGTTGTTGAAGCCACCCAGTCTATGGTAATTTGTTATAGCAGCCAGAACTAAACAAAACATTTTACACATAGTATATTTAGCAAGTGCCATGATAGTCGACATTCAGTATCCAGTGGGATTTTTTCTACTGTACACAGTGTTGCACTCAGACCCTCCCATAACAGTTGTGGTTTTCAGGGCAGGAATAGAAATGGAGCCCCCACACAAGGTGTCAGAGCTATGAATCAAGCTCAAAGTTAGGAATCAAGCTCACAAACTGGTAACTAAAATATGTCCTATCCTTTTACTTTGACAAATATATTTGTTAAAATGGAAATGGAAAAATGTGCATAAAGCTATAATTTTATACAACTGAACATTGTCAAAATATAGAAAACTAAACTTAATTGTTATTGTAGATGTCTGGGTATTCTGGCAATGAAGTACCAATATTTGGATTAACAATAGAGCATGTAATTAACAGTTTATTATATATTCTATAAAACTTCTCAACTTAATTTTAGGAAAATTATTACGTTATTATAGTCAAGATTTTCATATACTTGTGTTCTATTGACAATAATGATTTTTGGATAAAAAATGTAATTGAGGCCCACACAGTGGCTCAGGTCTGTAATCTCAGCACTTTGGGAGGCTGAGGCAGGAAAACCACTTGGGCCCAGGAGTTCAAGACCAGCCTGGACAACATAGGGAGACCTCATCTCTACCAAAAAAAAAAAAAAAAAAAAAAAAAAAGTTAGCTGAGTGTGGTGATGTACACCTGTGGTCCCAGTTGCTCAGGAGGCTGAGGTGGGAGAATTGCTTGAGCCTGAGAGGCTGAGGCTGTGGTGAGCCATGATAGTGCCACTGTACTCCAGCTTGGGTGACAGAGCAAGATCCTGTTTCCAAAAAAAAAAAAAAAAATGAAAAGTGTACAAAATTTGTATACATTTTTGTCAAAATGTAAATATTATTAAATAATGTAAATATTGATTACAATTAATCTTTATGTCTTCAAAAAGTTATTTTTTTTTACAATAACCATCTAAATAAAAACTTTTAATTTTAAAAAGGAAAATTTTAGGCTGGGCTCGGTGTCTTATGCCTGTAATCCCAGCACTTTGAAAGGCTGAGGCGGGCAGATCACCTGAGGTCAGCAGTTCAAGACCAGCCTGGCCAACATGGTGAAACCCCATCTCTACTAAAAATAGAAAAATTAGCCGGATGCGGTGGCACTCACCTGTAATCCCAGCTACTCAGGAGGCTGAGGCAGGAGAATCACTTGAACCTGGGAGGCAGAGGTTGCAGTGAGCCAAGACTATGCCACTGCACTCCAGCCTGGGCGACAGAGTGAGAGTCTGTCTCAAAAAAAAAAAAAAAAAAAAATTTGATGATGAAATATAAAAAATAAAAATTTAAATTAGTTGAATGCCTTAGATATTTATTTTTAAAATGTAATTAAATCTCATTTAATATTTTAGTTAAAACATTAATATTACATTACTAAAATGTTTCAATTTAAATAAAATCTCATTTAGTATAAAAATAAAACTGTTTAGTTCTGGTGTTCAGTGTTCATTCAGTGGCCCAGTTGTAAAGAATCCATATCGTGCTACAATTAGAAGTAATAAGTAACATTCACTGTTTACATTGGAAAATGTTCCTCAACCAATTGTTACTCAGCAGCTGCTGTGGATACTATCATAATTTGAAGAAAACCTCAAAAACAAAAAGCAAGAACATGTGTGATCAGCTATAAAGAAAGAATGGAAGACTCTATTGCAGGCTGGGTGTGATGGCTCACGCCTGTAATCCCAGCACTTTGGGAGGCCGAGGTGGGTGGATCATCTGAGGTCAGGAGTTCGAGACCAGCCTGGCCAGTATGGTGAAACCCTGTCTCTACTAAAAATACAAAAATTAGTCAGGCGTGGCGGTGCATGCCTATAATTCCAGTTACTTGGGAGGCTGAGGCAGGAGAATCACTTGAACCCTGGAGGCAGAGGTTGCAGTGAGCTGAGATTGCACCACTACACTTCAGCCTGGGCGACAGAGTGAGACTCCATCTCAAGGGGGGAAAAATCTATTGCATTCCTGCTGAGAAGGTTGGACAAGTTAATTAATTTGTCTTTGCTCTTGCCTGAATGTTTCCATAGCTTACATTTTTCCTGCTTTTCAAAGCAGTGGTTATTTCTTCCCTGCAGTGGCAAAACCCACAAATTTCCATAGTATTTGGACACAGTTGCCTTTCATTTTGAAGACATAGTGCAAAGAATGTGGAGAAGTTTTTCCTTGGGACCTGAATGGTGTTTGGCCTATGAATAGATGTTTGGGATTACAATTTGTGCCATGTTGTGCTAAGTGCCAGATCTTGTGTGACAAAGGTGCCTTGTGCTCTTTAATCGATTTACTGTGTGTGTGATAAATAGGGCCTTCTCAAACAGTCCAAAAGTACACTTTTTGCCCCTGTCAAAGGGATGATATTGTGGTGAATATCTCTGAACATATGGCATTTAATTTGTGGTGGCTGCAGGATCGATTCCTTAAAAATCCAATTGTGTTAAAGTGTGTAGATATTTTAACTGCTGATAGATGTTACCAGATTGTTCTCCTTAGTGGTTGTGGCAATTTACAATTTCATTAGAAATGTAAGAGAATGGCTATTTCCCCACATCCTTGTTAAGAGTGTTTTATCAAACATTACAGATCTTTGCCCATCTGTTAGGTGAAAAATAATATAGAGCTGCAGTTTGAATTTACGTTTTTCTTATCATGGATAAGGTGAGCAGTTTTTCATGTATTTACATTGCTATTTATATTTTGTCTAGTAAATTGTTCATATGTTTTGCTAATTGTTTTCTATTGGATTATTCATCATTTACTTATTTATTTGTAGATGCTCTTCATATACTACAAAAATTATCTTTTTGTTATGAGTTGCAAAAATTTTTCTCAGGTTGGTTTTGTAACTTGTTTTTTGTTCTATATGGAGACTTTAAATATTCTTATGTAGTCAAATGTATTAATAACTTTTGGGTTTTTTAAATAATCCTTAGAAATGCCTTTCTGCACTTGAAGATAATAAAAAATAAAAATAAAATGCCTCTTCCTTTTTTCTTATAATTCTTTTAAGGTTTCATTTTTCACCTTCAAATCTTTTATCCATTTGGGAGATATTTTTGTGGAAATTGTGAAGTAGGTATCCAATGTAATGTTTTTCTCTGATGGATATTTTGTTGTCCCAATAGTATTGGGAAGTGAAACCAGCTCCAGGTTTCACTTATCCTCAATATCTTATCTTTACCATTGATTCAAAAATATCTTTAGCATATATACATTTCAATATGCTTTTGAGTGTTTCTCAGGTCTTTCCTAGTCTTTCATTTATCTGCATATTTGTTTTATGTTTTTGTACCATATTACTTAGTTATTGTAGCTTTATTTTACATTTTAATGTTTGGTAGGGCTAATCTTACATCATAATTCTTTTTCCCTGCAGAATCTTCTACTATTCTTCCTTCTTTCTCCCTTATAAACTTTAAATCAGTTATTTTATTTCCAAAAAAATCCCCTTGGTAGATTTTTGGGTTTGTGTAAACTACTAATCGGAATGAGAATTAACATCTTTATGATGATAAGATTTCCTTCTAAGAATGTGGTTGCCTTTCCATTAGTTTAAATCACTTTTGTTTGGGCCTTTTTAAAGACTTTTTCTTTTTTTTAAAGGAGTCTTGCTGTGTTGCCCAGGCTGGAGTGCAGTGGTGAGATCTCAGCTCACTGAAACCTCTGCCACCTGGGTTCAAGCAATTCTCCCTGCCTCAGCCTCCCGAGTAGTTGGGATTACAGGTGCCCGCCACCAAGCCTGGCTAATGTTTGTATATTTAGTAGAGATGGGGTTTTGCCACACTGGCCAGGCTGGTCTCAAACTCCTGACCTCAGGTGATCTACCTGCTTCGGCGTCCCAAAGTGCTGGGATTACAGGCGTGAGTCACCATGCCTGCCCTTAAAGACATTTTAACACTATTTTATATAGCTCCTGCACATTTGTTGTAAAGTTTATTCATAAGTATATTACATATATTTTTGCTTTTGTAAAATGAGGGTCTTTCCCATTATTTCTTGTAATTGTTATGTGTATACATGAAGGCTATTGATTTTTATATATTAATTTTTTTAGCAGTACCATACTGAATTCTCTTAGTGTTTATAATAATTCCTCAGTTTATTTTCTTGGGTTTCTAGGCAATCATTTTATTTGCAAATCATTTTTTTTCTGTCATTTATTTCATTTACCTAATTTCATTGCCTAGCTAGATGCTCCAGGGTAATATGAAATATTATGGCACAAGTGAACTTGTTCTAGATTTAGTGGGAATCTACTAGTATTTCCCTATTAATCGTGATATTAACTTTTGTGTTAATATATATGTTTACGTATTTATCATATTAATGAGGTGTCTGTTAATATTTTATCAGTTTTTTTAAAGTTAAGAATAGAGATTATATCTTATCACATGACCTTTTAGTACCCATAGAGATGGTCATATGTTTCTCCTCTCATCTGTTTAAACAATTTTTACTTTTTAAATTTGAATTTTATAAATAGATTTCCTAATATTTAACCCTAACCTTCCTTCAATTCCAGAGTAAATTCCCTTTGGTTATGATGTTTTATCCTTTTACAATGCTTTCTGAATTCTGTTTCTCCATGTGTTACAGTACTTCTACATTAATATTTGTAAGAAGGATTGGTCTTTTGTTTGAATTTTTAAAAATTGTGGCATAAATGTTATGTTAGCTTCTTGAAGCTCTTTTTTTCTATGTTCTGGAAGAATTGTCATTCTTTGTCTTGTCTGGTGTTGTTTGCCCTGGCCATGATTGGATTTTTAATTATTTAGGGTATGATATTTTGGGGTCAATACGTGTTTAATTACTGATTTGCCTGGAGTGAATCACTCAGCCAAATATTTTGCCATACAGAATTTTTAGCCACTTAAAAATACAGCGTCATATCTCGGCACAGCCATGCTTACTCCATCCTCCTAAGCCAAAATGGACCACATATTGACAAATCCCTACCAGTCCTCCAAGATCCTGTTCAAATGGCACCTTCATGAAGCCTTTCCTGTTCTTCCAATTCTTAGATGGTCTCTTTCTTTGAGGATAATTTTCCGATTTTCTTTATAATTTTTTTATGACACATCCCATTTTTCACATATTTTTCAACAGATTCATTAAATGTCTGCAGACATTAGACAAAATGCTCCCATAATGCTATACTATTTAATCCTTCCCACAGTCCTAAGATTTGAACACTTTCCAGATAAAGGGATGCCAATCTAGAGAGAGTCAATAATTTTTTTTTAGGTTACAAAGCTGATAGGCTTCAAAGCAGAAATGTAGCCCAATTCTGTCTGATTCCAAACCATATACTGTTTTCACCAGATCATGTTGTTAAAATAGAAGATCATCTTTATGATTATTTTGGGCATGCTTCTTTCTCCTCTATGAGATTCCAAGGCCCTGGGTCTGGACTGTGTCTTATTTCTTCTGGAATTCCCTATGTCTTCTTGCACATGGGAGGAAGAAAACAAAAGCTGATCAAATTGCTAGAAGTGAACAGAGCGAGTATCTCAAATTTCGTTCCAATAAAGCTTCAGAATGAATTATGGAATTTTGCTCATGCATTTAATCCCTATTTATAGTCCATTAATCCACACATTTATAAGTTCTTGGTGAAAGGCTTTTCAGAAGGATTTTTGAAGCTATGGAATATGGGGTTTGCTTTCATTGCCATCCAACTGTGGAGCATTCTGGTGGATATTCTCTGGGGCTAGGTCAGTGGGCAGAATTTCCAGTGTTAATTATCTGCATCCTATCTTGATGCTGGAAAACTGCAAGGTGTTGCTTGTCCATCACCTCCGGGGTGCCTGATTGCTTTCCAGGCAAGCCAGAGCCTCATCATACTTTCATCTAGAAGCGACAGCTTCCTCTTTTCAGTTCTCATAGAACTCTATCTGCACCTCTCCTTTGACCATCTCTCACTTCCTACCTGGCATTACAATCGTGTATGTGGATCTCTTATTTCCCTGATGTGTGGTAAGCATCTTAAGGTCATGGACCATGTCTGATTCATCCTCATGTTCCCCACTGTGCTCACTGGGTGCTTGGCACATAGTAGGAGCTCAATACAGTTTAAAAAAGTGATTAAAGTAGGTTCTAAATTCAGCAAATATTGCTCCTCCTATTTTACTGGTACCATTTCAGCATTTTTGCTGCTGCCCACTATTCATATGGGTGGTATGAGCTGAAATTGCTGAAGAGAGATGTAATTTCCCTTGTTAATATAATTACTACCATATATTATCACAGCGCTAAAGTCATAACATTCTCATTTTCAGTGGCCTATACACATCACCAGAATTATCTCTGGAGGAGAAATTTATCATGTTTGTTTTCAGTCTCAGAGTGAAATGCTGCCAAGTTTGGTGAATACGTGCTCAGCCCCGTTTGAGTGACAAGTGAGTGAATAAATGGGGACATTTCACCTCTCATGAAAAAAAAAAAAAACAACAAAAACCGTCAGGCTCTTATTTGCATCCAGATAATTTATTAACTGTTTGGATTCCTAATTCAGGGCAGGGGGAGGGTAGTGAGCATGCTTTTCTCTGCGGGTCTTTCATAGTTTGGGAAAATAATAAACGAGGAGCTGAAGAACCTGGAGAGGAAGGGGGAGGGGAAAGAATATTTACATTTTGCTCATTATGAGGGCAGCAGGCCCATCTGGGGCAGGCTAATGGCCTTGTCAGCTAAACTGAGGGTAGACAAGGACAAGATTTTCAACTGTGAGTGTGTGATCAGCCTGTAGTAGTCAATAACTCTAAGACATGCTTATTTTTCGTTTTGGGGAAAGAGATTCTGCTTCTAGCAGTCTTATCTCAGCCTGGGACTTAAAGGGGTCTTTAGCTGAAGCAAGACCAATCTGGTCCTTGTCATGTTCTTGGGTGGATAGAAGTGGGGCATCTAGGCTGGGTGTGGTAGCTCATGCCTGTAATCCCAGCATGCTGGGAGGTCAAGGTGGGAGGGTCACTTGAGCCCAGAAATTTGAGATCAGCCTGGGCAGCATAGTGAGACCCCATTTCTACAGAAAATTGAAAAATTAGTTGAGCATAGTGACATGCACCTATATTCCTATCTACTTGGAAAGCTGAGATAGGAGGATTGCTTGAGCCTAAGTTAAGTTAATGTTACAGTGAACTATGGTTACACCACTCTACTGCAGCCTGGGTGACAGAGCAAGACCCTGTCTAAAAAAAAAATAATAAAAGGCAGGACATCTGTTCTGCACTTTGGTATTGCTACTGGAAGGTCAGCCATGAGGTGCAGGCCTGGCGCTTCTGTGGCCATCCACGTCCTCTACCCAGAACTAGCTGAAGACAGCACCAGTGACAAGGTGGGTCCCTGCAGGGAGTCAGGGCCTCTCATCAGGGAATCTAGGCTGCAAGAAAGTGGCAGAGGCAAGTTCAGAGTCCAGGAGCTGGGGTATGGCTAGGATTTTAATAAGCCAAGAGAGGGCTCCTACAAAGAGACAGAACCTAAAATAAAGGGTTCCCAAGGAACAGACTCCAAACTTGGGCACTAGAACTTGTAACTACTTTACGTCTCCCTCAGAAACATCCATTTCCTAGCTGCATCATCTCCAAAGTCCTTGGCCTTGACCCTTCCTAGCTGTTCTTCGACTGCAGTGGCTTTCAATTCTGCTGTGCATTAGGGTTGCGCTGCGGTGTGTTATGCTAGGGAACCTATAAAAGAGAGATGTCCTGTCTTCTTCCCTGGACATGTATGTGTTTGTATATACGTGTATGTACACACAGATACATATTTTATAAATATAATGCAGACGTACACAGTTATGTATTTACCCCTAGGAGATTTGAATGCATAGTCAGGTCAAGAACTGCTATTAGATGTTGTGAGAGGAGGAAGTAGAAGCTTGAGCATCCCCTGGAGGCCAACAGGAACATTACCGGAACAGAAGCGCTCATGGCAAGTTCATAGCTTACAGCTACTATTTATGAAATACGGACTCTGTGCCAAACACTTTCTTTATGAACTCATCTGATTTCATATGTCTCTACAAAGTAGATTTTATTAATGCTATCTTAGAGATGAGAACGCTAAAGACCAAGGTCCCACAGTTGAACTGGACCTTGAACCCAAGTTAGGATGGGACCATTGCTTCCTTGATCTGCCTGATTCATATGGTTATTGTAATGATTTCAACCTGAGTTATAGGTTATTATAGTTTTAAGTTTAAGAGTTTGGGCTCTAGAATCAGACTTAAATATATTCAAATTCTGGCTTTGCAATTTAAAGCTAGGTGATTGGGACAAATTACTTAACTTCTTTGACTGTATTAGTCCGTTTTCAAGCTGCTGATAGACACATACCTGAGACTGGCTAATTTATAAAGAAAAAGAGGTTTAATGGGCTCACAGTTCCACATGGCTGGGAAGGCCTCACAATCAAGGTGGAAGGTGGAAGGTGAAAGGCACATCTTCCATGGTGGCAGACAAGAAAGAAGTGAGAACCAAGTGAAAGGGTTTCCCCTTATAAAACCATCAGCTCTCATGAGACTTATTCACTACCATGAGAACAGTATGGGGAAACCTACCCCATGATTCAATTATCTCCTACCGGGTCCCTCCCACAACATGTGGGAATTATGGAAGCTATAATTCAAGATGAGATTTGGGTGGGGTCAGAGCCAAATCATATCACTGACCCTCAGTTTTCTCACCTGTACAATGGGAATAGAATGGCTGAGATGCTTAAATGAGATAATTCTTGTGAAGCTTGTAGGATACTGGCTGGTTCAAACTAAGTAACTAGTAAGCATTTCCTGTTATCATCAGAACTGTCTCAGGAACCAGAAGCAGGTTAGGAAATACAGGTGTCGAGCTTAGAAACCCAGCTGTGAGGAACTGGAAAACATATTTCAGAAAGATGTATGGGGCATGCTGGTGCAGGCTTGTATGAACTTTCTATGCCAGTCTCGATAGGTTAGGACATGGGAAAAATGAGGAAACCTGCAAATAAAGTTAATCAATGATGCTCTTAGGTGCCTCCTTTCCCAAATTCCTCCTCCTTGAAACCCCTCCCCCCATTGCTCCTCCATCCTTTCTGTCTAATATGCTCTCTGCCAGCTGTGATTGAATGCTTGGATCCAATCTCAGGTGATAATGGCTTAAGAAGGTACCTGTCCTAGGAGTATTTTACCTTTTTTAAGAGATTCAATTAACCTTCAAGACCTGAAAGAATTAATCTGTAATGATATAATTTAAGGCCCTGTGAGGGGTAATGGGAAAATAGCATTGGGCGGAGGCTTTTTCCTTTGGTCATTCGAAATGGAATGCTGCTTTACCTGCTCAAGGGACTGCCACCAGATGGTCATCTGGATGGCAGGGACCACCTCCAATTTATCTTAGAATCCTCCCAAGTCTTGTGTTTGGCCGTAGGGACACAGTAAATTCTCAAAATCTTTTTATTGAGTAAAATTTACAGAACATATTTAGTTGTCATCTTAATGTTGCTTCTGTTTAGGTATTCCTGAATGCTTAATAAACTTTACTACAAGGTTTTGAAATGTGAAAACAATTAGTGAAGTAAGTGATTAAATTTTATACCCTTAATCATTTTAACTTTTTTACTCTGTGTTCATTTTTTTCACATGCATTCATTCAGCAAATGTATATGGAGTGTCTATTCTGTGCCAGTCGCTGGAGGAAACGTTTTGGGTTGAGGGTCTTCTTTCCAGACTCTTTGGGCTGGTTTTCTCCTAGTCTTCTTGAAGTTGGGCCATCTCTTTTTCAGCTCTTTCTTCACCATGTGAATGCCTAGCTTTTTGGATCTAGCTGTTCAGGCACCCTCTTTCTTAAGCTCCTGACTCTTTCCTAGTCTCACTGTAAGTGTATCTTGGAAGGGTGTTTATATTCTATGTATTCAAAAAAGGAAGTAAAAAAAAAAATCCATCAACCCTCAGGTAACAGTTAAATCTGATGGAGATTTCACCAAATGAATTATGGAGTCCATCTCTTACTTTTATTATTTAGAACCTAGTCTTGCTGTGACTCTTGGTGAACTTGCAGCTCTGATGTTAATAAATAACTCATCCTCGGTCACTTAGCTGGCTTCCAAAGGAGATTGTGTGCAGAATGTCCCCCCCACACCCCGCAGCTGTATTAGTGTGTGTTGAGGCCAGCCCTACATTTGGAGTAAAGGGTGAAAAAAACGTTAGTCATTGAATTTTCAGTGATAGTAGACCAGAGAACAATAACTTTGCATTTTGACCATTTTCACACATGTAGTTTTCACTTTCGGTTGCATTCATTTTAGTTTATTGTTTCAATTTTTCATGTTGGACAATTTTGACAGTTGAGAAGGCAGTGACTCTGGGGACCAGCTGTGTGAGCTTTAAAATATGAAAAGGGGGAAGGGATGACTGCATGATGACAGAGAGCAGAATGAGAGTAGTGGGGCCAATGTGGGAGGGTATAAGAGGAGACAGAAAGGCAGAGGAGACGACAGCATGAGGAAAAATGCCAAGTATGGAAATAGATGTCACTTCTTCCAGGGCCTGGCCAAAGCTCATATGATACTCTGTTATAGCCTTTCTGCAGCAACAATGCTCATTCAACATTGATTTATGGTGTTTGGGTTTACATAGCCCTGGCCACATACTGCAGAAAAGCAGATCACATGGAGGGTGGGTAGGGGAGAAAAATGTTTTAAGGTGCAACCCCTCTCTTGGCTATTTCCTGATTCTCTCTTGGGGCTGCTTTGTGAAGTGAGGTGGCAGAGGTAGTCTTTTTGTGCTGAGTGGTAGTAGGTGGAATGGGAGACGCATAGACTTTGGAGCCAAACAGACCCAGGTTGGAGTTCCAGTTCTGCCACTCACTGGCTGTGCCACTTAGGCCAAGTGGCTTCACTTCCCTGACTCTTCAGTTCGAAATCTGTAAAATGGAGATAATAATAAACATCTTGTAGGACATCAGTAACTATTAGCATTGACTTATTGCTGTGGTGGTTAATTTTATGTGTCGACTTCTTCACTGAACCACAGGGTGTCCAGATATCTGATTAAACCTTACTCTGGGTGTTTCCAGAAGAGATTAACATTGGAATTGGTAGACTGAGTAAAGCAGATCGTCTTCTCCAATGTGGGTGGGCATTGTCGAATCTGTTGAAGGCCTCAAGAGAACAAAAAGGCAGAGGAAGGGAGAATTTGCTTTTTTCTGCCTGACTGTTAGAGATGGGGCATCAGTCATCTCCCTGTCTGGGACCAGGATTTATACCAATAGTGCTCCTGGTTCTCAGGCCTTCAGACTCATACTGGAACTACATCACTGGCTTTTCTGGGTCTCTAGTTTACAGATGGCTGATTGTGGGGCTTTTCATCCTCCATAATGGAGAATGAACTCTTCATAAAGGAATTGAGCATGAGTCAATTCCTTATAATAAATCCCTTTAAACACACACACACACACACACACACACACACACATACACATTCCAATGGTTCTGTTTCTCTGGAGGACCTTGATTAATACACTTACTAATCTATGAAAATGGCAAATAATCAGTAAACAGCAGCCATTTTTAAGATAAGGAGTCCTATAAAATAGAAGCAAAGGTAATTTAGTTTTACCTGAGCTGACTCTAATTATGGGTGTATGTGAGTTGACAAAATTTATGATCACCTATTTTTACATATCCTTGTGTAGGTGTATTTTGACAGTAAATTCCTTTCAACGAGGATCGATAGAGTACCTACACTGTTACAAGCACAGTGCATATAAACAATGGTAAAACAGAGGCTCATGCATTCTAACAGCCACAAATAAGCAAAGGAAACAGATTTGCATATAACCAACTGACCCAACCAACCGACCATCCAACCAACCAACCAACCAACCAACTAGCCAACAATAAGACAAATGTTAAGTTGGTTGGTTTGAATAAAAGACTAGGCAAGCTTGAAAATGGAGGTGATTAACTTTGTCTGTGTAAGTAGGGAGGACGTGAAGAGTAAAAATTTACTAGGGTTGAAGGAGGGTGGGTTATCTATTCAGAGATTCCAGGTTCAATTAAGACTTGGAGGACTAACTTGACGTAGTTTACGTGGAGGAGTGGCCAGTAGACTGGTGTGGTGGGATTGCTGGGCACTTGGGAAGGAGTACTGGGAAGTAAGGTTAGAGAGACAAATTGGGGCCAGAGTCTGAAGAGAAAGACAATGGGTTGCAAAGGTGGTGAATGAATGCAGAGTTGGAAAATATCCCCCAAAGGACAGGACTGCTGGAGAGAATTAGAGGAAGATTTAATAGTATTCAAATTCATGAGACTAGTTGTTATTCATCTTAGTACAAGATAGAAGGAAAGGAAAAGTTCAGCCTGAGAAAGTATATAACACTAGGAATTATATCCCGACTGTGAGGCTGGGCATCCCAGTGTTTTCTGGAGAAGAGTGGGTAGAGGATTCCCTGAGAGCAAGCTTGTGAAATACAAGGGGTCCAAAGTTTCCCAGGTACGTTGCCATCCCTGAAACACCTTAGACAGGTTTAACTACACTTGTTTTGCTGGGACTTCAGTGGCATGGATCAGGAAGAAAGGGGAAGCAGCTGAACCCAGTATGACAGGGGCTGCAGAAATGCTCTGATCATTAGCTAGTCCAGGGCACATGAACTGGGCCACCATGAAGGCATTTAGAGGAAGGGGACTGCCCAGTGAATGAGTGCCCAGCTTATACCAGGTGCACCATCCTCAGAGGCTAAGGCAGTTTGTTCAATTCCAGACAGTCCCCTGACTGGGAAGTCAATGTCCCTAATGATTTCCTTCTTTCGGTCTGGAATGATTCAGAACTGGGTTAGATTGAGCCTTTCTTTTTGGCAGACAGTCAGCAGTCATCTTCTTTCCCCTTTTTAAAATGCCTGTAGAATAGGAATACTGTTATGGAAATTAGTTAGCAGCTGCTCTACACGAATGTTTAGAAAATTAATATTACTCACATTATACAGTATGGAAGCAGAATTTTAATGAAGCACAGAAACTACAGGCACATTGACCCTTTCCCCTTATCAGAGAAATCTCAGAATGCCTCACTTTCCTTGAGAAAACTTCTCATTTCCACTAGGCTTCTATAGGCTTATTAGTGACAAAAATAGCACATTCACAACCCAAAGGAGCAAATATTTCAGAACATATTGTACTAAAATATGACAGTGTCAGCTAAACCATTATCTATACTTATTTCTCATTATTAATTCTTAACAGTTAGCTGTTCTTTGTTGCATGGTAACCGGATTTGCCATACTATAAAAAATGCTTTAAAGTCCTAAGTGTCAGACTTTGTTCGCACTAATTCTGTTAGAGATGATTGTTATTTGCGCTACAGACTGCTGGGGATGTGGCCTGCATTGAGTAAGAATATGGGATAGGAGGGAATTGGGGTGAAGGTGGGATGTCATAGGGAAGGAGAAAATAACCCACGAGTCAACTCAGAAAAGCCCGTCTTTGCAAAGTCGAACCTAGAACCACCTACCAAGGTCAATACATGTGGCCTCAGTCAATACTGAAAGACCAGAGGGATTTAGTTAATGGGGTCAGGAATGTTATCTGAGGTGTGTGAGACCCCTGGAGAAAGGCTGCAGAAGGAAATTTGAGTGAAGAAGGCAGAGAACAATTAGGGTTGAGGGATAAAAGGAATCCGGCTTGCAGGGGGTCTTCAGCTGGCATGATGAAAAGGAACACGCAGCATGAGTCAGGAGCAGCCCTGGGACATGTTCCAAAGGTGAAAGAACATCTCAATCAAAGGAAGCTCAAGAAGGAAAAAGAACGGCAAACTTCTCCAACAGGTTGTCTGCATTCTAAGTGATTTATGATTTCAACCCATGCAAAAATGTGATGTTCTCTGGTGCCAGGGAACAGCAAGGGTGTTCTTGCCAAAGAAAAGCATTGTTAATGTTCAGGGAGGTGTAGAAGTGGTGATTGGGGGGTGGGGGGCGGGCGGCGGAGGGGGAAGAACCAGAGCAGTGGATCAAGAGCTGGGAATTACATGGAGAAAGAGGTTTATTTGCATTTTGTGGAGAAGTTTGCTTTACACAAATGTGCTATATGTAGTGTCCTGTATTCATTATTCAAATATACTACTATCCACCTTGGGAAGAAAGCGTGTGTGTGTGTGTGTGTGTGTGTGTGTGTGTGTGTGTGCGTGTGCATGTATGCATGTGCCCAGATATCTGATGCTGGGTGTGGGTAGGAGGCTGCCAATCTTTGTCCTCACCACCACTGAAATTTACTGAGCATTCACTGGATATAGACACTGGGTGTTGATCCTGAATCTGGTGCTTGTTACTTGTTACAAGTGATACTTGTTAACTACAGTATGACACTGAAAAATCCACAGTGGTGTGCTGGTGCCAGCTCATACCAGCTTGCAACCTGACATCAGGTTGGTAGGTTGAAACCTGCCATGGTAGGAATGTTAATGCCACAGAAATTGGCAAATGTTGCAAACAAGGCTTTCCTTGTCTCTGCACCTCTATCCAAAGAGCTGGGTGGTAAACATTTACCAGCACGTCGCTGGGTTTTTGCCTTTCAGATGCAGAGGAAATAGTGAAAGGAAACAGCTTCCTTCAGAGACAAGTATAGCTACTCCCAACTCCTTGCCTGTTCTTCCACATTAATCCGCTGTTCGAGAGTGGCAGTTGGTTCACCATGGAAAGAATATGAGCACTGCCATCAATAGACCTGCACTGGAATCCCCACTCAGCCATGTGTTTGTGTTACTGCCTTAGCTGAGTTATTCAGCGTGTCTGCGTCTCAGTTTCTTTCTCTGTAAAATGGGGAGATAGTATCTACCTTGCAATGCTGTCAGGTTTAGAAACCGTATCTCCATAATGGCTGCATTTGCTAAATCTCTGCAATTTACTCTGAAATGCGTTAAAAACGATGGCTTGGTAAATGGATAGTGAGATGGATAGAGGGATGGATGCATGAAAAGGAAGTATTGCAAAATAGTAGAATCCAGGTGGTGAGTAGATGGGTGTTCACTGTAAAAAATTGGTAACTTTTCTGTAATTTTCATAAGAAAATGCTAAAACAAACGAAGCCTATTAAATAGTAATATTGACAAAAATAACAACAGTAAATCCTAACAATAGTAGATATGACTCATCCTGTCACTTTCCCTCTCCTTCACTCTGTTCCAGCCCCAGTGACCTTACTGGTTTGGAATATTCCTGTCCCTTCTGCACTTGTTTCCTCCCACCTAGACTAATGCTCTTCCTTCCCGGATTGCTCTTCAACCCCTTCAAGTCTTTGTTCACATTTTACCCCCTTGTTTGGGCCTTCACTGGCTACCTGTTTATAATGGCACACTTCACCCACTGGCATTCCCTATCTAGCTTGGCTTTATTTTCCTCTACTTATCAAAATCTGCCTTACAATATATTTTACGTAGTTTATTGTCTCCTTGCATGAGAATGTAAACTCCATGAAGGCAAAGATTTTTGTTTAGTTGGTCGCTGCTGGATGTCTAAAAGAACAATGCCTGGAATGTCATAGGTGCTCTAAAAATATTCCCTGAAAAAGGAATGAATAACAGCCTTGGCTGACTTACGGCTAAGCCCCAAATGAAGGCAGCTGTCTCAGTTTGGGTTCTCTCTGAAGCAGATTCTGATATAAGAGTTCAAATGTGTAGGAAAGAAAAATGATTGTTTCTTCAACCGTCATAATTTCTTGGTTGGAATAGACCCCTGTAACAGATAAGAGAAAAACAGTTTATTAACATACATATTTTATGTAGATGGGAGACACCCAGGAAATGAGTAGTTCTCAAAGAGGTGGCTTTGAATTCCAGCTTAGGTAACATCTTCAACAAAGAACAGTTACCTTTTTAGAGAAGGAACAACACAAAGGAAAGGATTTTGAGTTTCTGGGGGGCAGCAACTTGGGGAAGGCAAATAACTGGCAGATAAAGGCTTGTTAGTAAAGCTGGTTAATAGATATTCCTCTGGTACCATCTCTAGGCTGATAAGGGTCTAAAGTTCTTCAGTGGCCAACGTTTGTTCTTCCTGGTAGAAACGGGGGCCAGGACATCTTTTGTCTTTGTAAATCTGTGTCCTGCTTTTACGCAAATAGAGGGAGAACAGAGAGCTTTCCTGTATTTGTTGCTTCGAATGGTCTCAGATCATAATCCTTACACCAGAAGAGGCGTATTTTGGGGTGGCATGTTTCTGGTCTCCTGGAAATGCAAGTAGATTACTTGGAAGGTGATCCCAGGGTACACTGATTAGAGAGTAGAGAATTGAGACACAGCTAATAAAGAATATATTGTCAGGCAAGTTACCACTGTGAGAACCTGGAACATCCCCGGGCCACGGTAGAAGCCAGTATAAGACATGCACCTCAGAGTCATCCTGTGGGGTTTTGGAGTTGGGGTATTTATGTACCAATTCCTATCCTTAGTTGAGGGCTGCTCCCAGAGGTGTAAATTTCCTGACACTTCTGTGTGTTCGGGGAGAAAAGGTATAGAAAGCCAAAGAAAATTCTTAGGCAGGGGACGCAAATGCCAGCCTTTAGAAATCAAGCTGGTACGTAAGGAAAAGGTATGGCGTGGAAGGATATGGGTGGAGCATCCACAGAATCTGCCTTGTCACCCAACATTTTAATGCATTGAGGTCTCCAAATCAGCATTATGAGTTCGTACTTCACATTAACATCACTGATCCTAGAAAAATTCTACAAAAAATCTGTGCATTTCCTCCTTAAAACATTCCAACTTAATTTTACCACTTAGATCCTAGATGTTTTGTCAGTTAATTAAAAAAATCAGAGCTTGTTTAGTATATGGAGGAGAAATTATTGTTTTTTGCCTATTATATTAAGATAGTGTGTTCTTCTTTGGCAATGCCCTAACTAATATTAATCTCACACATTAAATAGGAGCTTCCAGAACAAAATAATATTCATAGATCCAAAAGCAAATGTGCTGACATTTTAAAAATTTCCCAAAATACCAACGAGTTCCAAACTGGAATTAACTATCTCATAACAAAACCTCATGTTTCACTGATTGCTGCTTATGGCTAAAACTAATAAGTTGGGCCAAAGGGAGAGATACAGATCCTCACAGTATAAACAAACAAACCAAATTACCACTCCTAGAGACAAAAGGTTATTTGGAACTTAATGATAAGGTCACAAGGCTTGAAAGAAACATAAACACTTATGACCTTATCTGTCATTTTACCTAAGACCACACTTAATTTTTATGTATATAAAGTTAAAGCACTATTCAGTTGAGTGACCTTCATCTGAATAGTTTGCATTGTGGAAATCTAAAAAAGGATAGAGTGGCTGGGCTCGGTGGCTCACGCCTGTAATCCCAGCACTTTGGGAGGCTGAGGTGGATGGATCACGATGTCAGGAGTTCGAGCCCAGCCTGACCAACATGGTGAAACCCCATCTTTACTTAAAAAATACAAAAATTAGCCAGGTGTGGTGGCGCACACCTGTAATCCCAGCTACTCAGGAGGCTGAGGCAGGAGAATTGCTTGAACCCAGGAGGCGGAGGTTGCAGTGAGCTGAGATTGTGCCACTGCACTCCAGCCTGGGCGACAGAGCGAGACTGTCTAAAGATTAAAAAAAAAAAAAAAAAAAAGGATAGAGCAAGATGTTGAGCGGATATGTAGCTTTTAACTGGTTGTGTTAAGAGGAGCAGTAGGGAAAAGATCTCCTTTTTAGTAGGTAGGCAGATTTGCATTCAACTTCCTTTCCTTCCCTTCATTCATTCTGCTGCATACTAGAATGTGACCTTGGTGAGTTATTAATCTTCTGGTTTTTCAGTTTTCTTCAGCATGAGAATGGGAACTGTAGTACCTCACTCCCCACCCTATCACCTGCCTTTCCTGCTCTTCCTACCATGGATGAAATGAGATCATATATGCAAAGTACTTAGTTGAGTGCTTATAAGAATATCTGTGCTTAATAAATACTAGCTAATTTTATCATGTCCATTCACTCATTTGTTCAGCTATATATATATATATATATATATTTTATTTATTATTATTTTTTTTAATTTTTTATTTTTGAGACAGAGTCTTACTCTATTGTCCAGGCTGGAGTGCAGTGGCATAATCATGGCTCACTGTAACCACCTCTTCCTGGGCCCAAGAAATCCTCCCATCTCAGCCTCTTGAGTAGCTGGGACTACAGGCATCTATCACCACATCTGGCTAACTTTTTGTATTTTTTTTGTTTTTTGTAGAGATGGGGTTTTACCACATTGCCCAGGTTGGTCTTGAACTACTGGGCTCAAGGGATTTGCCTCCCTCAGCCTCCCAAAATGCTGAGATTACAGGCATGAGCCACTGCATCTGGCCCTTAGCAAATTTTTATTGAGTGTCTACTATGTGCCATGTATTGCTCAATGTTCTTGGGATACATCAGTGAGCAAAAAGTCACAAAGATCCCTGCTCTTAGGTGTTTATGTTTTAGTGGGGAGAGGGGATATAGCCAATAAGCAACTGATAGAGCAGATAAGTAAATGATGCAGTAGATTAAAGAGAATAAGTGCTATGGGAGAAGGAAAAAAGCAAGGAAAATGGGATCAGGAGTGTCAGGAGGAGGACATCTTGTAATTTTGCATATGGTGATCAAGGTGGGCCTTACTGAGAAGGTGGCACTTGAACAAAGATTTGAAGGAGGTGAGGAAATGGGCTGTGGGTGTCTGGGGAAGAGTGTTCCAGGCAGAGGGAATGGCCAGTGCAAAGACCCTGAGGACTCTGCATGACTGAGAAATAACAGGAAAGCCAGCTGGGTGAAAGCAGAATGAGTAAGGGGTGGGATGGGGGAGCAGGTACAGGAATATGAAGTCAGAGAGTAATTGTTGACTCAGAAAGAGTGAGTTGATCATATAAGGCCTTGTATACCATCGTGAGGACTTTGGTTTTTAAAGCTAAGTAAAATTGGAAGTCACAAGGTCACTTTCATTGCTGTATTGAGAATAGTCCTTTTGGAGAAAAGGTAGATGGTTGAAGGCGATTGCAGTCATTTAGGTGAGAGATGGTGGTGGCTTGAATCACAGTGGTAGCATGGGCAGTAGTGATAAATAGTTGGATTCTGGTCCTAGTATTTTAGAAGTAGCCCAATAATATTTCCTAATAGGTTGGATGTGGGGTACTAAAGAAACGAGGGCATCACGGACAACTAACCAAAGGTTTTGCTTGAGTAACTGGAAGTATGGAATCAGCATCAGCTGAGAAGAGACAAGCTGAAGTGGAGAGCATCTGGGTGGGGGTTGCATCTGGATATGTTTTTAAACATGCTGAGATTAAGATGTCAATTGAACATCCAAGGGAAGTTGAGAGTTTGAGTCAGGAGTTCAAGGGAGAGACCTAGGCTGGAGGTACGTATTTGGGAGCTGAGGGCATCTATGTGGCAAGTCAAGAGTTTAAGATGGACTGGGATTGCCAGAGGAGTGAGTGCAGTGACAGAAGAGGTCTCAGAACTGCATTTCAGGGCACTCCAATCTCGAACAGTTAGGGAGAAGAAGAGGAACTAGCAAGGGAAACAGAAGGAGCAAGCAGTGAGGTAAGAGAAGAGCTCAGAAGGTGTGGGGTCCTGGTTGCCAAGTGAAGACAGTGAATAGAGCAGGAAGGGTGATGACTGGGTGAGACCTTGACAGGTCAAATGAGAGGAGGACCAAGAGCTGCCCGGCAGGCCAATGGAGGTGTTGAGAGAGCAGACATGGAAGAGTATGAACTGAAATCTGGGTCAGAGTGGGCTTTAGAGAGGAATCAAAGATAGTAGTGAATAGAAACAGAAGGTTCAAGGGGTTTGCTTCTGAGGAAAATAAAGAGAGCAAGGGGAGAACAGGCAGTGGGGAAAGTGGGGTTAGGAGAATGTTTGTTTATTACATGGAAGAAAAGCAGCATTTTCATCTGTTGAAAATAATCCAGTAGAGAGAGAAACTTTGATGATGTGACAGAATTGCTGGAGCAAGCCTGGTTCTGAATACTCGGCATCGGGAACCCATTCCCTCCTTCCAACACCTCTAAGGGGAGGGTGATATTATGACCCTCTCAATTTTCAGACAAAAATCTAAGTGCCGTTCTGCAGCCTGCTTTCTTCCACTTACAATATAGCATGAAGAACTTACCATGTCATTGCATTGGGAAGCTCATTCTTTGTTAGCGGCTGCATAAAACACAATTTTACAGATGTATCAATGTTTTTAATAATTCCTCTTTTAATGGAAATTAAGGTTGTTTATAATTTTAAAATATGTTTGATATTACAAGCAATGCTGCAATGGACAGTCTTTTGTGCCCATGGATAAATAAATATACCCATAGGAGAAGGGTTCTAGAAGTAGAATCACTGAGTTGAAGGGGTATGCATTTGAAATCTTGATGGATTTGGCCAATTGACCTCTCAATGCTGGTACCAATATACCTGCCCAGCAAGAGGGCATGACAGTGAGCAGATGTCTGTGTGGACACAAAGTACATTATGGTTCTAGGAGTTTTTGACTCTAGCTAATCTCCTCTCATGTGGTAAGTTATGATAGAATTATTTAAAAAATTGCTGCTGGCAAAGTCACCTGGTGTGTCTGGGTCTTTTATACTCGTCTAGATTTGTTATTAGATACTGAACATTAGCAAACTTTGGAGACAGTTCTAAAATGGAATATTTAGGTAGCATTTCTTTTAGAGAGAAGGCTGATGACATTCTAGTGACAAAGCTGAGGAGTGTTAATAGCATTATTTAAAGGTCACCAGATGTAGGATTAAATTGTCACTAATCTATTTTTTATGCCAATGTGAAATTGATAATTCAAGGAAAGCAGGTATCTTTATCAGTTAATGTCACAGTGTTCAATAATTATTGTATTTATTATTTCCCCATCCAAAATTAAAATCCTGATTGGCAAGGAAGCACTTTATGAGTCTGGGGAGATCTTCTGACATTTAATACAATTTCCCAATCAGTCACATGGGCAGTTGTTTTGATGAAAGCTGTGGACAAAGTGCTATTAAACCAAATGCAAAGAAGACGTTATTTTGTAAAAAACTATGGTGATTAAAGCTTTGTTTCACATCATTAAAAATGTGTTACTCGATCCAGCATTGCTTCTTACTAACACTGTTCAGCAGAGATGCCTCAGTTCGAAGAAGCAAAGAGAAAGAAAAGACATACATGTAAAGAAGGACCTAAATAGAACCAGAAATCTGATAGATACCTTATAAAAGGCTGAACTAAGTCTGCCTGCAGGTCCTTTAGGAGTGGCCTTGTGCCCTTTGCTATCATGGGCTTCTGGAACTTTCTAGTGGAATCTGCTCTATGGGCTGAATATTTATGTAAACGCCATTTTAGCATTGCCCCCTGTCCATGGGCTGATCAGGTCTTATTGACCAAGTGTGAAGTTTAAAAACTCGAGGTGGTCTCATTTAGGCAACATTCGACTTCTGCCAAGCCTCCAGCCTCCCATGGTGTCAGCTATTGCTCATACAATTAGCGATGGTTGCCTGGGAGGGGCTCCCTGCAGCAGCCACTCTCTCCAGTCCATCCATTTCCTCTCGCTCAGCATGCCGGCCCCTGGCTCATTTCAGCTTTCATTAGCCTCTGCAGCTCCTGGGTGTGAAGGTGCAGCTCACCTAATCTCAACCATTCTGGAGTGCAAAATAGAACACCCCTGCTCTTGCCACTGGAGTATTTAACTGGAGGTGGAAAAATCTTGGTTTCTATATGCAGGTCAATCCCAGCAGGAGGTAATAATCAATCACCTGATGTTCTCTGTGCCGAAGTTTTTCTCTGTGGAAGAAGATGGGATCCACCTGACCCCACCTCCACATACTTAAGGATAGTTAATGAAGAAATAGGCAGCAGCTTGTTTTAGGGTCAGTTTGGACTGATCACATGGGTGCACGACCAACAAATGATGGTGAACACAGGGGCAGTAACTGGTCTGGGCCAAGGTGTTGGGTTGTTATGGAAGTCACCACTCTTTAACTGATTTAAATCACTGCTTCAGTGACTATTGTGGATGAGCGTCTCCTATGTCACATATTGGCTTAGGTAAAAATAAATTGTTTTCTGTAATTTAGAAGTCCAATTTCTGGCACAGATGGCTCCAGAAGTGCACACAAGGTGTTTAGGAATCTTTCTCTCCCAGCGCCAGGTCTGCTTTCTGCAGGCAGGGTCTTTCTGCATGTTGGTAAAGTCTGCATGTTGGTAAAGTGGCCACACAGCAACACCTAGCTTGTTGTCATCCTGTGCAGAAAAAGAATCTCTTCTCTGGTAATTCCAGCTAGTGGGCTGGAACTGCGTTGCCACCATTCTGGCTCCAACTGCATGCACAAGCTGGGACAATCACAGGGGGTAGGAAGATGTGGCACCATTCTGACTGGCCAGACTTAAGGCCCGTACTCACCTCTGACACCATAGAAGGCTCTGTTCCACCCAGTGTACATGGCCTGAGATAGGTGGTTTCTGAAGGAAAATTGTGGCATTGTTTCCAAAAACAGGGGAATGGATGCCAAGTAGGAAAAAATAAGATATCCACTCCAATGTATAACTAAGTCAGGCCCCAGCTCCTAAGAGCATCAGAGTAGCCCTGCAATGCATGCCTTCAAATTTAGAGAAGGTTTATCACACAGTGTAAGCTACATGGATATGCTTTGGTCAAGGATAGGCCGAGGCAGACATCCCGGCCAGAGTGACTCAGTGAGTTTAGGGCACAGACGCATACTCCACTTGTTATATAATCTGTTTGTGTAAGCTCATACTTGGCTCTATGCCACTATTGTCTGTAGAAGGTATAACTGCCCTGCTGACGCTGTGCACAGGGCTCTTGGGCATGGCTTGGCTTGGTTCAGCATGGCACAGCATGGCATGGCATGGCTCTTGTGCAGCCCTGGCACACAGAGAGAGAGAGCAGAGCTACTGACCCCTGTAAGGGAGAATGATCAACTGGCAGACATACAGTGGGGAGCCAGGAACCAGCTCGTGCCCAGAGAGGGGAAGATTTAAGCTGCTAACACTATAATGGAGAGCTGGCCTCACAGGCTGGCTGTGCAGCGGTGTGTGGGAGCTGACTGCTGAGAGAAGCCAAGCCGGAGCAGGCTGCTGAGACAGAGGCAGACAGTGTGAGAAAGCTGCTGATAAGAGAGCTGCTGAGGAGAGAGCTGCTGAGGAGAGAGCTGCTGAATAAAACCACATTTCACCTGCCTACAGCCCCGTGGGTGTTCTTTCAGCTATTGCCCATCCACCCACTCCCCTGGGACTGCAGCATGGGCTCAAACCTGACCCTGAGCATGACATTTGGTGTAGTCATGAACCCAACACACAGCACATTTTATAGGAGCAAAAACTGAGTTCATCAGTGGCAGGACAAACTGAAATAAGGTCTGGCACATAGCAAATGCACAATAAATGGTTGAGATTTTTGTGGTTTATCATCGTCTAGATGTTTTTTCATATATGCACATTTAATCATGTGCATTGTACTTCTGATAAAATACTAAAAATTTTTAACACATGATCTTACACTGGAAACAAATTTCATGGTTGCAGTTTTGTGTCTAAGGGCAGATAATTCCACTAAAATGGGAAACGAGGGATGGATTGGAGGCCCATGTCTCCAAGGGAAGAAATCTAATGGACTTGAAGGAGGAGGCTGGAATTGAATGAAGGGTTACAGTCAAAGGGAAATACAATTTTTTTTTTCTTACAGAAAGATGTCTGTTGTGCAAGAAATGCTCCTGGGGGACAGAGAATAAAATCCCACAGGAGCATAGGGCTGATTGACTCTTCCTGGAAATCATTCGAGGGAGCAGGCGGAAGCAGGGTTTATAAATTAATAAATGGGAAACTGAGCCCTGGGACCTGTTTCTTTCAGTTCCCTGGTTAGCCTTATATGTAAGGGCAGCAGATGTTTCTGGCTGGATTTGAGTTTTGCAATTAATTCTGAAAACCAATAACTCCATGAAACTTGGAGGAAGAACTTTTCGCAGGTGAGATAAACCTGAACTGCTGTTTAGATTTTCAAAAATGGCTACTTTTGGCATTGACTTTTGATAAAGCACGTTCCTAAGATTTTTCTGGTCTCAGAATCTTCCCATGAGTACCGAGGCTGGCAAAGGTTGCAGTCATGTCTGTGGGCCCAGGGCTGGGGCTTTGGATGAGAGAACAGTTGGGGGATTCTGTGCTTCCTTCATTCAGTTATTCATGTCATTTTGATGAAGTATCTGTTCTAAGCAAAGTCAGGACCAGGCAAGGCAGGCAAGGCTCCTAGGGAACAAGATTTAAGGAAACACTAACTCTCAGGGTTATGAAAGTGTCGAGTTGGTGCCTGAGACTGATCGCCTCCCTAGATTTTATGCCTAGGGAGCCTCACTTGTCTTACCCTCGTTTGGGGCCTGCTTTTATGGGCCAAATTCTATGTAAGGTGTCAGAGGTCTAAAGATGAATGAGACATCATCTCTGCCTCTAGTAACTTCCCTGCCTGGGAAGTCCATGAAAGGTCACAGTAAGTGCTGGGAAGTATTAGGTCTGACTGAAGCTCACAAGGATGTAAAAAAAAAAAAAAAAAAAAAGGGAAACTTGAAGTTCAAGGCCTCCAGATTGGGACTGAAGTTGGAAGAGAGAAGCATTAATGTCTAGAATGTACTGAGGGGCCACTTTCTGTTACTTGCTTTGGAATTGTCCTGGCCAGTCAGTTTCCAAAGTAAAAAACTAGATGTCTTGATCCTGTTGTTGTTATTAGTGTCGGTAATATCATCTAATAGAACAAAGCATGATAACAATGGTAAGAATACACATATAATGATAAATATAGCTGATATTTGCTTAATGTATCCTAAATATATTATTCTTTTATTTATTTATTATTTTTGAGACAGGACAGTCTTGCTCTGTTCCCCAAGCTGGAGTGCAGTGGTGTGATCTCACTCACTGTAACCTCCACCTCCTGGGTTCAAATGATTCTCCTGCCTCAGCCTCCCGAGTAGCTGGGATTATAGGTGTGTACCACCACACCTACATTTTGTATTTTTAGTAGAGATGGGGTTTTACCATGTTGGCCAGGCTGGTCTTGAACTTCTGACCTCAAGTGATCACCTGCCTCAGCCTCCCAAAGTGCTGGGATTACAGACATGAGCCACCACGCCCAGCCATAAATGCATTATTCTATTTATCCTTCACAGAAACTCTTTGAAGTAGGTAGTATTATTATTTCCATTTTATAGAGGAAGAAATTGAAGTTCAGAGATAGCAAGTCATTGTCCCTAGGTCAGACAGCCTCAGGTGCCAAAGCCAGGATTTCACACTCATGCTCCTCCACTGCAAAGTTTTGTGAGGGGTCAACGGAAGCCAGTATTGGTTGGGAGTTTTACTGGTAACTTCTTTAAACTCCTAACCCTGAATGAACTTTTAAAAAATATTTCTTTCTTTCTTTTTCTCTTTCTTCCTTCCTTTCTTTCTTTCTTTCTTTCTTTCTTTCTTTCTTTTCTTTTCTTTCCTTTCTTTCTTTCTTTCTCTTTCTTCCTTCCTTCCTTCCTTCCTTCCTTACTTACTTCCTTCCTTCCTTCCTTCCTCCCTCCCTCCCTCCCTCCCTCCCTCCCTCTTTCCCTCTCTCTCTCTCTCTCTTTCTCTCTTTCTCTCTTTCTTTCTTCTTTCTTTCTCTCTTTCTCTCTTTCTCTCTTTTTCTTTCTTTCTTTTTTTTTTTTTTTTTTAAAGAAAAACCTAAAGGCAAACCAGATTTCTTTCAATAAAGGTTTTTGGCTTTCTGAGGTGAAGACTGAGAGGAGAATCACAGCCATCTGCACCCTGAAATCCTCCATCCCCTTCGCCACAGCTCACCTCTCATGCTCTCTTCCTCCTCTGCTGCAACACAGAACCAACCTGGGACAGAAAATAGACAGTGGGAATCGCTGTCACCTCTCCACTGCCCTCAGAGACCAGGAAAGCGGTTATGCCACGCTGGGTCAGACAGATAGGCCCTGGATTTCTGTTCTTCTATGTTAATTAGAAAGCAGAATCTTAAGAGCCAATTTTGACTAAGAACTCTGTGTCCAATTTTCTCCTGGCCCTGATTGTGAAGGGCCTGATCAATATTAAATCTAATTTACAATGATGGCCCCTGTGAAGCTGGCAAATGTTATGTCAACACACCGTAATGACTTGGGCTTCCTGAGCACACTTGTTAGCCGGGGCCGCATCTGCCGCGACCACTCTCATACCCGCTCCTGCCTCTCATGCCACATCTGTGATAACACCCCCCCAAGTTCTCCTGCCTCCAGTCCTGTCAATCCTTGTTGCCTTATTGCTGTCTGATGAACTCCAGAAAAGAAGGAGAACACAATTAATTTTTCTCCCACAACTGATGAACCAAAGAAAGAAATAATTGCTACTCAGTTTTAATAATGGCAAATTTTATGAAATTTTCATGAAGACAATTTGAAAAGGAGTGCGGGGGAATTATTTCTCTGCAGGGGGCCCAACTGGTTTGCATTGTTTCCTAATGTTTATGTTATTACAATTCTGTGTCACTTGCATTTGCATCCCCTTGTCTGCAGGGCAAGTTCTTGCGACTAATTTGTGAGGCAATGAATAAAAGACTCATAACGGAGTGAGACCCCGTTCTGAAGGCTTCCAGTCTTTCCTTGTCTCGGGGGAGCATCTCTACTGAAGAGAGGTGCTAAGGTTACACGGATGTTTCTGAAAGCCAGGAGGCAGATACCTTTCATGTCACTCTGTTGCTTGAAACATTTCTTGTCAGCTACTCAGGAGGCTGAGGCAGGAGAATCGCTTGAACCCGGGAGGCAGTGGTTGCAGTGAGCCAAGATTGTGCCATTGCACTCCAGCCTGGGTGACAGAGTGAGACTGTCTCAAAAACAAAAACAACAAAAAAACCACTTCTTGGGCTCGCGTTGTTTGTGAGAAAAAATAAAAACTCCTTAGCTCTAGTTTTGCAGCCACTCAGGATGTGCACTCCCACTGTCTGCTCCAGCTGATAGGCCTCCCGTGGGCTCTTCTATATGCCAATCTTCCTCCAGAACAGGGATTTGACATGTACTAGTCCCTCAGTTTGGAAGAGTGTTCTCTCTCCTTCCCTAGGTAAGGCTTCTTCACCTTTTCTTTTTCTTTTTTTTTTTTTTTTAAATTATACTTTAAGTTCTGGGATACATGTGCAGAACATGCAGGTTTGTTACATAGATATACACGTGCCATGGTGGTTTGCTGCACCCATCAACCCGTCATCTACATTAGGTATTTCTCCTAATGCTATCCCTCCCCTAGTCCCCCACCCCCTGACAGGCCCTGGTGTGTGATGTTCTCTGCCCTGTGTCCATGTGTTCTCATTGTTCAACTCCCACTTATGAGTGAGAACATGTGGTGTTTGGTTTTCTGTTCCTGAGTTAGTTTGGTGAGAATGACGGTTTCCAGCTTCATCCATGTCCCTGCAAAGGACATGAACTCATCCTTTTTTATGGCTATGTAGTATTCCATAGTGTAGATGTGCCACATTTTCTTTATCCAGTCTATCATTGATGGGCATTTGGGTTGGTTTCAGGTCTTTGCTATTGTGAACAGTGCTGCAATAAACATACGTGTGCATGTGTCTTTATGATAGAATGATTTATAATCCTTTGGGTATATACCAATAATGAGATTGCTGGGTCAAATGGTATTTCTGGTTCTAGATCCTTGAGGAATCGCCACACTGTCTTCCACAATGGTTGAACTAATTTATACTCCCACAAACAGTGTAAAAGTGTTCCTATTTCTCCACATCTTCTCCAGCATCTGTTGTTTCCTGACTTTTTAATGATTGCCATTGTAACTGGTGTGAGATAGTATTTCATTGTGGTTTTGATTTGCATTTCTCTAATGACCAGTGACGATGAGCTCTTTTTCATGTTTGTTGTCTGCATAAATACCTTCTTTTGAGAAGTATCTGATATCCTTTTCTGATACCCTTTGCCCACTTTTTGATGTTTGTGTGTGTGTGTGTGTGTGTGTGTGTGTGTGTAAATTTGCTTAAGTTCCTTGTAGATTCTGGATATTAGCCCTTTGACAGGTGGATAGATTGCAGCAATTTTCTCCTATTCTGTAGGTTGCCTGTTCACTCTGATGACAGTTTCTTTTACTGTGCAGAAACTCCTTAGTTTAATTAGATCCCATTTGTCAAGTTTGGCTTTTATTGCCAGTGCTTTTGGTGTTTTAGTCATGAAGTCTTTCCCCATGCCTGTGTCCTGAATGGTATTGCCTAGGTTTTCTTCTAGGGTTTTTATGGTTTTAGGTCTTACGTTCAAGTCTTTAATCCATCTTGAGTTAATTTTTATATAAGATGTAAAGAAGGGGTCCAGTTTCAGTTTTCTGCATATGGCTAGCCAGTTTTCCCAACATCATTTATTAAATAGGGAATCCTTTCCCCATTGCTTGTTTTTGTCAGGTTTGTCAAAGCTCAGATTGTTATAGATGTGTGGCATTTTTTCTGAGGCCCCTGTTCTGTTCCATTGGTCTATATATCTGTTTTGGTACCAGTATCATGCTGTTTTGGTTACCGTAGGCTTGTAGTATAGTTTGAAGTCAGGTAGCATGATGCCTCTAACTTTGTTCTTTTTGCTTAGAATTGTCTTGGCTATACAGGCTGTTTTTTGGTTCCATATGAAATTTAAAGTAGTTTTTTCTAATTCTGTGAAGAAAGTCAATAGTAGCTTGATGGGTATAGCATTGAATCTTATAAATTACTTTGGGCAGTATGACCATTTTCACAAAACTGATTCTTCCTATTCACGAGCATGGAATGTATTTCCATTTGGTTGTGTCCTTTCTTATTTCCTTGAGCAGTGGTTTGTAGTTCTCCTTGAAGAGGTCCTTCACATCCCTTGTAAGTTGTATTCCTAGGTATTTTATTCTTTTTGTAGCAATTGTGAATGGGAGTTCACTCATGATTTGGCTCTCTGTTTGTCTATTACTGGCGTATAGGAATGCTTGTAATTTTTGCACATTGATTTTGTATCCTGAGACTTTGCTGAAGTTGCTTATTAGCTTAAGGAGATTTTGGGCTGAGACGACGGGGTTTTCTAAATATTCAATCATGTAATCTGTAAACAGACGATTTGATTTCCTCTCTTCCTATTTAAATACCCTTTATTTCTTTCTTTTCCCTGATTACCCTTACCAGAACTTCCAGTACTATGATGAAAAGGAGTGGTGAGAAAGGGCATCCTTGTCTTTTGCCAATTTTCAAAGGGAATGCTTCCAGCTTTTGCCCATTCAGTATGATATTGGCTGTGGGTTTGTCATAAATAGCTCTTAATATTTTGAGATATGCTCCATCAATACCTAGTTTATTGAGAGTTTTTAGTGTGAAGGGGTGTTGAATTTTATCAAAGGTCTTTTCTGTATCTATTGAGATAATCATGTGTTTTTTGTCATTGGTTCTGTTTATATGATGGATTATGTTTATTGATTTGCGTATGTTGAACCATCCTAGCATCCCAGGAATGACGCTGACTTGATTGTGGTGGATAAGCTTTTGATGTGCTGCTGGATTCGGTTTGCCAGTATTTTATTGATGCCTCAATGTTCAGCAGGGATACTGGCCTGAAATTTTATATTTTTGTTGTGTCTCTGCCAGGTTTTGATATCAGGATGATGCTGGCTTCATAAAATGAGTTAGGGAGGAATCCCTCTTTTTCTATTGTTTGGAATAATTTCAGAAGGTATGATACCAGCTTCTCTTTGTACCTCTGGTAGAATTTTGCTGTGAATCCATCTGGTCCTGGGCTTTGGTTGGTTGGTAGGCTATTAATTACTGCTTCAATTTCACACTTGTTATTGGTCTATTCAGGGATTTGACTTCTTCCTGGTTTAGACTTGGGAGGGTGTATAAGTCTAGGAATTTTATCCATTTCTTCTAGATTTTCTAGTTTATTTGCATAGAGGTATTTATAGTATTCTCTGATGGTAGTTTGTATTTCTGTGGGATCAATGGTGATATCCCCTTTATCATGTTTCATTGTGTCTATTTGATTCTTTCCTCTTCTTCTTTATTAGTCTGGCTAGTGGTCTGTCTACTTTGTTAATCTTTTCAAAAAACTAACACCTGGATTCATTGATTTTTTTGAAGGGTTTTTCATGTCTCTATCTCTTTCAGTTCTGCTCTGATCTTAGTTATTTCTTGTCTTCTGCTAGCTTTTGAATTTGTTTGCTCTTGCTTCTCTAGTTCTTTTAATTGTGATCTTAGGGTATTGATTTCAGATCTTCCCCATTTTCTCCTGTGGGCAATTTAGTGCTATAAATTTCCCTCTAAACACTGCTTTAGCTGTGTCCCAGAGATTCTGGTACATTGTATCTTTGTTCTCATTGGTTTCAAAGAACTTACTTATTTCTGCCTTAAATTCATTATTTACCCAGTAGTCATTCAGGAGCAGGTTGTTCGGTTTCCATGTAGTTGTGCAGTTTTGAGTGAGTGTCTTAATTCTGAGTTCTAATTTGATTGCACTGTGGTCTGAGAGATTGTTATAATTTCTGTTCTTTTCCATTTGCTAAGGAGTTTTTTACTTCTAATTATGTGGTCGATTTTAGAATAAGTGCGATGTGGTGCTGAGAAGAATGTATATTATGTTGATTTGGGGTGGAGAGTTCTGTAGATGTCTATTAGGTCTGCTTGGTTCAGAGCTGAGTTCAAGCCCTGAGTATCCTTGTTAATTTTCTGTCTCATTGATCTGTCCAATATTGACAGTGGGGTGTTAAATTCTCCCACTATTACTGTGTGGGAGTCTAAGTCTCTTTGTACATCTCTAAGGACTTGCTTTATGAATCTGGGTGCTCATGTATTGGGTGCATATATATTTAGGACAGTTAGCTCTTCTTGTTGAATTGATCCTTTTACCATTATATAATGCTCTTCTTTGTCTTTTTTGATCTTTGTTGGTTTAAAGTTTGTTTTATCAGAGACTAGGATTGCAACCCCTATTTTTTTTTGCTTTCCATTTGCTTGGTAAATCTTCCTCCATCCCTTTATTTTGAGCCTACGTGTGTCTTTGCATGTGAGATGGGTCTCCTGAATACAGCACACTGATGGGTCTTGACTCTTTATCCAATTTTGCCAGTCTGTGTCTTTTAATTGGGGCATTTAGCCCATTTACATTTAAGGTTAATATTGTCATGTGTGAATTGGATCCTGTCATTATAATGCTAGCTGTTTATTTTGCCCATTAGTTGATGCAGTTTCTTCATAGTGTCAATGGTGTTTACAGTTTGGTATGTTTTTGCAGTGGCTGGTACTGGTTTTTCCTTTTCATATTTAGTGCTTCCTTCAGGAGCTCTTATAAGGCAGGCCTGGCGGTGGCAAAATCTCCCAGCATTTCCTTGTCTATAAATAATTTTATTTCTCCTTCACTTATGAAGCTTAGTTTGGCTGGATATGAAATTCTGGGTTGAAAATTTTTTTCTTTAGAAATGTTGAATATTGGCCTTCACTCTCTTCTGGCTTGTGGGGTTTCTGCTGAGAGACCCACTGTTAGTCTGATGGACTTCCCTTTGTGGGTAACCCGACCTTTCTCTCTGGCTCCCGTTAACATTTTTTCCTTCATTTCAACCTTGGTGAATCTGACGATTATGTGTCTTGGGTTTCCTCTCCTCGAGGAGTATCTTTGTGGTGTTCTCTGTATTTCCTGCATTTGAATGTTGGCCTGTCTTGCTGGGCTGGTTAAGTTCTCTTGGATAGGATTCTGAAGAGTGTTTTCCAACTTGGTTCCATTCTCCCCATCACTTTCAGGTACACCAATCAAACATAGGTTTGGTCTTTTCACATAGTGCCATATTTCTTGGAGGCTTCGTTCATTTCTTTTCATTCTTTTTTCTCTCATCTTGTGTTCACGTTTTATTTCATTAAATTGATCTTCAGTCTCCAATATTCTTTCTTCCACTTGATCAATTCAGCTATTGATACTTGTGTATGCTTCACAAAATTCTCATACTGTGTTATTCAACTCCATCAGGTCATTCATGTTCTTCTCTAAACTGGTTATTCTAGTTAGCAATTCCTCTAACCTTTTTTCAGCGTTCTTAGCTTCCTTGCATTTGGTTAGAACATGCTCCTTTAGCTTAGAGGAGTTTGTTATTACCCATCTTCTGAAGCCTACTTCTGTCAATTCGTCAAACTCATTCTCCATCCAATTTTGTTCCCTTAGTGGTGAGGAGTCATGATCCTTTGGAGGAGAAGAGGCATTCTGGTTTTTGGAATTTTCAGCCTTTTTTTGCTGGTTTTTCCTCATCTTCATGGATTTATCTACTTTGTTCTTTGATGATGGTGACCTTCAGATGGGGTTTCTGTGTGGATGTCCTTTTTTTTTTATCTTGATGCTATTCCTTTCTGTTTGTTAGTTTTCCTTCTAACAGTCAGGCCCCTCTGATGCAGGTCTGTTGGAGTTTGCTAGAGGTACACTCCAGACCATGTTTGCCTGGGTATCAGCAGCGAAGGCTGCAGAACAGCAAAGATTGCTGCCTGTTCCTTCCTCTGAAAGCTTCATCCCAGTGGGGCACCTGCCAGATGCCAGCCAGAGCTCTCCTTTATGAGGTGTCTGTCAACCCCTGCTGGGAGGTGTCTCCCAGTAAGGGGGCACAGGGGTCAGGGACCCACTTGAGGAGGCAGTCTGTCCCTTAGCAGAGCTCAAGTGCTGTGCTGGGAGATCCACTGCTTTCTTCAGAGCCAGCACGTAGGAATGTTTAAGTCTGCCAAAGCTGAGCCCCTTCCCCTAGGTGCTCTGTCCCACAGAGATGGGAGTTTTATCTATAAGGCCCTGACTGGGTCTGCTGCCATTCTTTCAGAGACGCCCTGCCCAGAAGGAGGAATCTAGAGGGGCAGTCTGGCTGCAGTGGCTTTGTGGCACTGTGGTGGGCTCTGCCCAGTCCGAACTTCCTGGTGGCTTTGTTTATACTGTGAGGGGAAAACTGCCTACTGAAGCCTCAGTAATGGTGGACACCCCTCCCCACACTAAGCTCAAGTGTCCCAGGTTGACTTCAGACTGCTGTGCTGGCAGCAAGGATTTCAAGCTAGTGGATCTTAGCTTACTGGGCTCCGTAGGGGTGGGATCTCCTGAGCTAGACTACATGGCTCCCTGGCTTCAGCCCCCTTCCCAGGGGAGTGAATGGTTCTGTCTTGCTGGTGTTCCAGGTGCCACTGAGGTATGAAAAAATCCTCCTGCAGCTAGTTAGGTGTCTGCCCAAGTGGCCACCCAGTTTTGTGCTTGAAACCCAGGGCCCTGGTATTATAGGAACCCGAGGGAATCTCCTGGTCTGTGGGTTGTGAAGACCATGGGAAAAGAGTAGTATCTGGGCTGGAATGCACCGTTCCTTATGGCACAGTCCCTCAGGTCTTCCCTTGGCTAGGGGAGGGAGTTCTCTGACCCCTTGCGTTTCCCAGGTGAGGCGACATCCTACCCTGCTTCTGCTTGCCCTCTGTGGACTGCCACCCACTGTTTAACCAGTCCCAGTGAGAAGAGCCAGGTATCTCAGTTGGAAATGCAGAAATCACCTGTCTTCTGCATTGATCTCGCTGGGAGCTGCAGACTGGAGCTGTTTCTATTTGGCCATCTTGCCAGTCACCACTGTTAGAGAATATCTTACTGGGATGATGGTGTTTGAGTAAAGACCTGGAGAGAGTGAGAGAGTGAGCCATGTGGTTACCTGGGGAAAGAGTGTCTAGCAAGTGCAAAGACCCTATGGTAAAATCATGTCTGGCTTGTGCAGGAACAGCAGAGAGGCCAGTGTGGCTGTAGTGGAGTGATCAATGGGGAGATGGGGGAGTGGAGGTAACAGAGGTTATGCAAGGTTGTGTAGGGCTTTGGAGGTCTTCTTAGGGACTTTGGCTTGTTGCTTTGTTCTTCTTACTCATGACTTGCACCTTGCAGTCTAAGACGGCTGCCTTAGCTCCTGGCATTCCATCCAGCAGCAAAGGAGAAGAGGAGAAGGTGGGTTTGAGCCTTTCCTTCAAGGCACAAGCTGAAAGCTGAACCAATCATTGCCTCTCCCATCACCTCAGAAGGAGTTAGTCACACAGTCATGCCTAACTGTGAGGAGGCTGGGCAGTTTGTCTCATTCTTGGGGGCCAAGAATACAGATAAATTCAGATTCTAGTATTTATGAAAGAAAGGGAGAGGGATCTTGGAGGACAGTAACAGCATCTGCCAACAAACCTGTTCTTTGAAAAAGAAAAAAAACCCCTTGAAATTAGATATCTGATTATCCTTTAATAATGGAATCAGCTTTTAATGAAAGGAAACCACAATGCCAATCTTTTAGCCATGAAAGTACTTTAGTTTTGGGAAACGTGCTGAAAATCTTTTCTTGTTCCACTGTGGAAGCTCTGTTTATGATCCAATGAACTAAACAAAAAGCCTTGTTGGACTGACCCATGAACCAAAGAGAAAAATCCAGGTAGAATTAAGTTTAATCATTTCTCTACTCTATCATAAGTAATAATTTTCTTTTATAATATATCTATTTCTATGCAATGTAAAAATATGCAAATTCTTTTGTTAAGCTGTTTTATGATTGTCTTTACCCATCTGAAGAATTTGTATAGACATCAAGTTTTGTGAGGCATGTCTGACTTTGATAATGATAAAAAGACTTAAAACAAGGCTAATGCAGAAAACAGTTATAGTCATAAATTGAACTTATTGTCGATCACACCAGAAATAAATAAATGAAGAATGAACTCACTAGGCTTTTATGCTTTGGCCATTCAGAGAAAAGTCCTTTTATTCTCTAACACTATACAAATCATAGTTTAATTTCTGGTGTTTGAGACAGAGACCATCTGCAATGGTTTGGAAAAAAAAGTGTTTTTGACATCTCCAAACCAAATCACCACTTGGAGTCACGTATTTTTTTGATAGTTAAGGCTGAATGAATGAATGAATGAATGAATCCTGAGAGGTTGCCTTTTTCTACATATTAGAAACTCGGAGTTGGAAAGAAGCATAAGGATTGGGCGGTCAGTTCTCAATCCTTCTACAGCATCTGGTCTGCCTTGAACACCTTGAGTGACAGAGGACTCATCTTCCACAGCAATCTGTTCCTTTGTCTTTTAGCACAGATGATTAGAACTTTCTTGTTTTCTTAAGCCACTTTCTGTTTTCCTTCAATAGATGCAAGTTGTCCTCAGTATGACCAATACAAGGTAAGTTTTATTACTCTTTCTCATGACAACTTTTCTCCTGAGAAAGGGAAGGGGGACCCAGAGCTTGCCCTTGAAAAATCCATGTTGTGCCACAGTGATCAGTGGGTTCCAAGACTGAGAGCTTTCTATGTTGGGCAACAGATCAACACTACCGGATCAGTTCTGAAATGAACCAGGGAAAGTTGGTGGCTTAGAATTTTATCACCTGCTTGCTCTCTGTGTTTGGGCAAATCACCTAATAATAGCTGTTAATCATTGCTACTGATTAAAACATAGAGTATTTAGTATGACAGAAAATGTGTTTAACTATTTGCTTTTTACACTGTTGGTGGGAGTGTAAATTAGTTAAACTATTGTGGAAGACAGTGTGGCTATTCTTCAAGGATCTAGAACTAGAATTACCATTTGACCCAGCAATCCCATTACTGGGTATATACCGAAAGGATTATAAATCATGCTACTATGAAGACACGTGCACATGTATGTTTATTGCAGCACTATTCACAATAGCAAAAACTTGGAACCGACCCAAATGTCCATCAATGATAGACTGGATTAAGAAACTGTGGCACATATACACAATAGAATACTATGCAGCCATAAAAAGGGATGAATTGATGTCCTTTGCAGGGACATGGATGAAGCTGGAAACCATCATTCTCAGCAAACTATCGGAAGGACAGAAAACCAAACACCACATGTTCTCACTCATAGGTGGGAATTGAACAATGAGATCACTTGGACACAGGGCAGGGAACACCACACACCAGGGCCTGCCAGGGGCTGGGGGGCTGGGGGAGGGATAGCATTAGGAGAAATACTTAAATGATGAGTTGATGGGTGCAGCAAACCAACATGGCACATGTATACCTATGTATCAAACCTGCACGTTGTGCACATGTACCCTAGAACTTAAAATATAGTAATAATAATAATAAAAAGAATATGTGTTCAACTAGTTATGTATTCTTATCCTCCTATAATGCTAATGGTAGTTACTACTGTTATCTTCATTTTATAGATGAAACTAAAGTTCAGAGAAATAATAGCCTACCCAAATATGACCCCATTCTTGTGAATTATATCTGTGCTTTTGATCCCCTATACTGAGGCCCCCCTACCTCAGCTAACTCATGAAACAATGAGTGAGCCTTATAAACAAGGCTGTCCACAGTGAGATGGCCAGTGTGGGTTCTGGAAATCCAACAGCACAAAGCCAAGGATGGGGCTGTGGTGACCCATCAGTAGGAAGTAGGGGAAAGCCAAGCAGGAGGTCAGCAAAGGCTGTGTGGTTGAGATGTGGCTAACGGTGAGTGCCCCCAGAGGTTATAACTGGAGATGTCGTGAAAATTTGGCAACAGGCAAAAGACAGAGGGTAAGACTTAAGAGGTGTTCTTAAGAGGTTATACATGCTGTAGAGATTATAATACCCCAGTCATGTCAACTTAAAATAAAATCAAGAGAAAACATCAAAAATAAGTTTAAAAAAGTTCAATGAAGTTATTCTTTCTCCATGCCTAGAAATACTCAGCAGAACATCTGACAGGTAATGGATATTCAGCAGAGATGAAGTGCATTTACTGACTCACAGGAACCACAGAACAAACAGGTGGGGGTAGGGGAACACTGCCAGAGGAAACAAGATATGACAAGAGCTCAGGACTGTAAGCTACCCTAATAGGGTGTTGAAATGGCCCGTGTTTGCTGAGATTTTGGAGGATGGAGGGAGCTGGATTGGGCATAGAGTCCAACTGTCAGATTGAATTTATAGAGTGGTTGAGTGAATTTCTCATAGGATTGTGGAAGGCATAAACATCCTCGGAGATAAGCAGAGCTTTGGGTGTTGATCCAGATGGCTCTGAGGTTAGTCAGAAGAAGATATGATTTCAGCCATTTTAAGATGGTAGATTATAAGGCATTCCTTGATTTAATAGCAGCCTTTTAGGAAAGAAAGAAATACTATATCAATGGACATGTTCATTTTTAAGCACTTCAAGAATTCAGAAATGTTAAAATATAAAAAGAAAAAAAAGTATAGCAGATACTGTAGTAAATAGAATTTTAACCCAGCTCCATAGTGAATGATTAAGACAAGAACTTTAAAAACAAAAGTGGGGTGAGGGGAAGCCCATTCATGGAATATTGTGGAAAAAATAAGCAGCTGGCACCAACTCACCCCTTTCATGGTTCCACTTCCATCTCCAGCCAGGACATGCTTCTTTCTGGGGCAGATGTCTGATGGACAAGGTGGTAGAATTGAGCACTGAGCTTCACAGCCTTGGGTCCTGGGTTGGGTCTTCAGACACATCACCTGAACCAGATGGATGTGGTCAAGTTCAGAGGTCTTACAGAGAAGAACAGGCCCCCCAGTTCTGAGCTCTATTCAGAAGTGGGGCTATCTCTTCAGCCCCACTCAGGAAACTGGAGGGTATAGTCACTGCAGGCTCAGTCACTTTAGGTGCTTATGGTGACAAAACTGGGCTAATGCTAGCAAGGTATTTGGATTTTCAACCCATTGTAGCAAGTCTGAAGCTCTCCCAAAAGCTTGTAGCTCACTGAGTAGAAGTCAATGACACAAATTCTCCATTTCTGAAGGTTCCAAAGGGGAGAGGCAGAGAAAGTGACATGAAGACAGGAGACTAAAATGAAAAAATCAAGCTTTCCCTAGAGGTCATGGCCATTACCACCACTTCCATTTTATTGTGAACCTAAAATAAACATTCTAATCAAATGGAAAAAGTGTGTCAGTAGAAATACCACTCTTTGGCACTATCCTGTTGCTAAGGTTACTTCAGAGATAGAAAAATTTCAGCCAAATTAGTGGTATGTGTCCCTGAGGACCATAAACTACAAACAGAAAACTTAACCATTAGGATAGTACTGTATTACATTGTCATTTTACAGAGTTCAATTTTCTTAATAATCAAGGGCGTAAATCTCAATTATCTTAAAATTAGTGTTTGAGTGGGCAGGAAACACATCTCTTTGCAAGAAAATGTTGGTGCAATGCTTGCTAACATAAAGGAGGGTTTCAAGCTCTTCTGTGTCACTCCAAGTTACCTTCCTTTCAGAGATGAAAATGCTGAGTGGGTTTTCTTACTAAACCTTATCGGCCGGGTGTGGTGGCTCATGCCTGTAATCCCAGCACTTTGGGAGGCTGAGGTGGTGGATCACCTGAGGTCAGGAGTTCAAGACAAGCCTGGCCAACATGGCAAAACCCGTCTCTACTAGAAATACAAAAATTAACTGGGCGTGGTTGCGGGCGCTTGTAATCCCAGCTACTTGGGAGGCTGAGGCAGGAGAATTGCTTGAACCTGGGAGGCAGAGGTTGCAGTGAGCCGATATTGCGCTGCTGCACTCCAGCCTGGGTGACAAGAGTGAAACCCCGACTCAAAAAAAAAAAAAAAAAATCTTATTAAAGGCTGGGCATGATGGTTCATGCCTGTAATCCCAGCATTTTGGGAGGCCAAGGTGGGGTGGATCACCTGAGGTCAGGAGTTCAAAACCAGCCTGACTAACATGGTGAAACCCCATCACTACTAAATACAAAAAATTAGCCAGGCCTGGTGGTGGGCTCCTGTAATCCCAGCCACTTGGGAGGCTGAGGCAGGAGAATCGCTTGAACTTGGGAGGCGGAGGTTGCAGTGAGCCGAGATTGTGCCATTGCACTCTAGCCTGCATGACAGAGTGAGACTCCATCTCAAACAAAAACAAAAAACAAAATCAATAAATCTTATTAAAATAGGAAAACTAAACATAAGGTCATGTCATGGTTGAGGCACTAGACATGGGTGAGGGGCGCCTGGTCACTTTTTTAATGTGGAGGAGCCAGAAACTTGTTTGATGAAGTTGAGCATTCTAGCTTATTTTTAGTGTTTTGAGAAGCATTCTTATCAAAAGGGTCTCCATGTATCTGCAGCAAAGTTTATCTCAAAACCAGGATGATGAGGTTAAGACATGGGGATTATGTTGAGGTCCTGGCATTGTAATGGCCACAAAAGAATGAGCAAAACGGACCAGGTGCAGTGGCTTATGCCTGTAATCCCAGCACTTTGGGAGGCCGAGGCAGGTGGATCATGAGGTCAGGAATTTGAGACCAGCCTGACCGATGTAGTGAAACCCCGTCTCTACTAAAAATACAAAAAATTACCTGGGCGTGGTGGCAGGTGCCTGTAATCCCAGCTACTTGGGAGGCTGAGGCAGGAGAATTGCTTGAACCCAGGAGGCGGCGGTTGCAGTGAGCTAAGATTATGCCACTGTACTCCAGCCCAGGCAACAGTGCAAGATTCCGTCTCAAAAAAAAAAAAAAAAAAAAAAAAAGAATGAGCAAGAGCAAGACTTTCAGCATCAATCCAATTTTAATTAGGAGGGAGAAATAAAGGAGAAAAAGGTACAGAGGGGAGAAGAGAGAATGGAAAGAATACAGACGATATGCAGAAGTTGAGTTCAGATAAAGAACAGTTATTAGGTCTTCCTACCTTTACCTTAGGAGCAAAATCTACAAAATCACAAAATCTCTCTTGTTCTTTTTGAAAGTGCAATCAGATGTCTGTTTTTGCCGATCAACAGCACAAGCATCTTATATTTCACAAGGTCCCTAAAAGTCTTCCTTAATTCAAGGTAAGATGCGAGAGACACAGAAGGTATTCTCCATAGGGATTCAAAAAACCTGTGCGCTCATTTAAAACACAATGAGCTTAGGCAGAACGTCATCCTACAATATCAATTATCCTCACTGAATAGCATTTCTGCCCCCTTTTTGTATGTCTTTTTGGAATAAGAATGTACGTTGCCCTTATTAATCCTATGGAATTACTTTTTTCCTGCTTCTTAGGAAATCTAGCAAATGCAGACAGTTTCAGCGAGTTAACGAAAAAAAAAATCTAATTTCCACTTGAGCAGCTCTGAGTTTAGGTCAGCAGAAAAAAAAAACTGCAGTAGCTTGTGTTGATGAATATTTTATAAGCTCTACCATCTAATAAAAGATGTATTTAAAAATGGGCAGGATGCTGGTTAAGAAAATATACTATTATTTAATCATCATGTAGATGAAAGTTGAGTTTCGGGTATAATGAAAGAATGAAACAGCCCACAGACAAGCTCAATTTTGGGTCTTTGGATGCTTTTTGTTCTGTTCACCATAGATCTTCCATCATGGCTCCAACTGCTGACTTATACAATCAATGAGGCAACGGGGGTGATTACAGAGCTTGACCCATGTGGAGATTATTTAGTGGCCTCAATGGACAAGAGAAATCTTTAAAAAGCTTCTAATTAGCACACCCAGTCAATGAAATTGCAAACCTCATTATTTGAGTCAGGGCCAGGAAAGTACAGGCCAATAGGACCCCCAAATGACACGTTAGCAGTGTGTGGAGCTTATTACCCACAGAGTTCAGAATTACACTCAGCATGATCTATAATAAAAATAATAACGATGCTGATGATGACAACAGCAACCTTATGCAGAGCAGCAATCATTTATTGTGCACTTAGTATGTGCCAGGCATGGTGCTAAGTGCTCTACATGCATCAGTTTTGTCCTCACAATAACTCCATGAGATAGGTACTAGTATCATATTTATAGCTAATGAAAATGAGGCTCAAAGTCTCATGGCTAGCAAGTGATTGAGTTAACTCCAAGACTATCTGACTTCAAGGCCAATAGGCTTTTCTTGAATAGAGGCCCACAACCCCACTCCATGTCTCTTTCTAGTAAAACCATAGTTTTCTGATGTGTCTTATGGAAAGAAGAGAAATGCTCATAAAAGAAATTAACATACCAATTTGGCCATCAACTCATAAGCCTTAGACCTCTAAGAGGAGCCATACACAGATCTTTCTAGTTAGCTCTATAAGGAGGGGTGGAAGAAAGAATATTGGGGTAGAAGTTAGGTGTCTGGAATCTTAGCCCTAGCTCCATCCCTAACAAATTGTGTGACTTCATCAGATCACTTTACCTCTCTCAATCTTAGTGACTTATTCTTGAAAGTGATGATTGTAATATTTGCTTTCTCTCCTTGCAGGGTTTTGCTGAAGAACAAGTGTGATAATGTACCTGAAAGCTCTTGGAGGAGCTTCAAGTGTTATGTAAATGAAAGGTGGTAATTAAAAACCTCTAGAGAAGGGCAGCCTATCTCAGTCATCAATTATCATGTTTTCTTCCTTGTCAGGAAACCTATATTTTTCTTGCTTCTTGGGGGTACAGATAGCTTTGCACACAATTTTTGTCTGGGAAATGTGTGAGAAAAGGATCATCCTGACAGTTGAAAGCCTATTTATGATAAGAAATAACCACATATAAATTGATGGAACCAAAGGCAGATGCATTCTTATGTGAAATTGTGGAAATTCATACCTCCATTTATTGGTTTTTATATCTAGTTGTAAGAAGATGGAATATTTAACTGGCATAACACACACAAAGCCCAACTCTTGAAATAAGAAAGTGGTATAGAAATTGACTTGTTACCTAGAAAAACAGAAAAAGACTGGGGGAAAGACAATGAAAAAATATGAACACCACAGTGCTTAGTACGTTCTTAAACTTTGGGAACTTGGGCGTAGGGACACACCTGGGAAGTTTGAACCCACTCTTTGCTCATATTCTCTTTTTTATGAAATCTATTTATATTCCTGAATGAAAGCCAAAACAGAATTAGGAAGGAGCATTACTTCCCAGGTGGTGGAATGTCCTAGAGAAACATCCCAGACGTTAGCTTCAAGAAGACCTGGGCTAGAATTCCAACTCTGCTGCCTACAAGGTGCTAATTAACCTCTCTGAGCTTCTATTTCTTTGAAGCTCCTGCTCATAAACCACCCACCATCCTAGGTATGATATTACTAGACGGACCAACAATATAATCTGAGTAATAAAGACCTGGTTAAGGTGACATTCATGGAAGTTCTAAACTTTCCCTTACCTAACCTGCTTTCAGCACAGATAAATAGGGACATGTATAGTTTAAGCTTTATCTCTTTATATTTTTCTTGCTTTTTCCTGCCAAAGGTGCTCAAGGAAAGCAAATTGGACTGATACAGTTATTGAGAAGTCGTTGTTGGATAAAGGCAAGATAGCACCTGGATGATCAGGATTTGACAGTGAAGGAAATCTAGAGTTCACAACTGAAGCATGTTGAGGGGACTACTGAGTTACAGTCTAACATGACTGGGGAGGTTAGATCTGTCAGAGATAGCATGGCATGGAAGTGAAAGCACGTGGATGTTCTTAATCATCTACAAGGAATCCATGTGTGCCAGGAAAGTGTCAGGGATTAGAACCTTTGACTCACAGCTGTCTAAAATTTACCAAAAGCTTGACTTAAGAAATAATGTTTGTGATAATTGACTGAGAGTTCCAGTTCTACAATTTCATCTGTGATTTAAACTGCACCATTAGAAAGCCTGAATATAGACCAATTGGCTTGCTCATAGCATTTGCTTTTAGTTATCTAGGCTGTTTCTTGTCATCACCCTCTACTGGGGAATGCTAACAGACATGGTCCCATGAAGCAGACTGTTATATTTGTGGTAGGGACCCTGTCCTTCCCAGGGGTCTGCCTGACTGTATTTTTGCGACTATCACATCTTTGCTCCACACTGTGAACAGAGAGATTTTTCTAATAACTAGGTATAATTATGCTGTTTCGCTACACAACAATCTTAACTGGCTTTAGATTAGCTGCAGAGCCAAATTCAAGTTTTTTTCAAGGCATTCAAGGTCCTTCTTGAGGCAGCCTCATGTCACCTGCCTAGCTTCACGTCTTCCCTTTAGCCTCCCAAACCTCTGCTTTTGCAACACTAAATATACACACACGCTGCTCCCTAAGCCTACCATGCCCTTCCTGCATTTGTCTTCGTGAATCACTTATTCTTGAAGCTTCATCTCAAACTTTACTCTTCTGTAAGATTTTGACTCCCCTAAGCTGACTTTACAGATTCTTCATTTGTTTAAGTCCCAATGCAAACAATGCTTCCATGGTTTTATAGTAGCTCTTTTGTTTTGGGTCGTTTATTGATCTGTCTCCTCTAAACTGCAAGCCCCCCTGGAGGGCAGAGTTAGTTTCCCATTCACATCTGTAACTTCAGTGTCCACTCTAGTGCCTGGGCCATTGTTACAGTACTTTTCTCTCTGTTGCATGCATGGTGCCACCTTCCCCACTTTCTTTTTAATACTTGTCCTCATCTTAAAAATGGCTTGTTAAGGCCAGGCGCGGTGGCTACACCTGTAATCCCAGCACTTTGGGAGGCCGAGGCGGGCGGATCATGAGGTCAGGAGATCGAGAGCATCCTGGCTAACACGGTGAAACCCCGTCTACTAAAAATACAAAATATTAGCCAGGCGTGGTGGCGGGCACCTGTAATCCCAGCTACTCTGGAGGCTGAGGCAAGAGAATGGCGTGAACCCGGGAGGCAGAGCTTGCAGTGAGCCGAGATCGTGGCACTGCACTCCAGCCTGGGCAACAGAGCGAGACTCTGTCTCAAAAAAAAAAAAAAAAAAAAAAAGCCTTGTTAAAACAACCTGAGTCAAGTGCTGGGAAGACTTGGAAGATCAGCTTTGACACATCTTAACCTCTTTTTTGGAAGATGATACAGTCCTGTGATAGACATACTTGTCCAAAAATTCACCTCCATTCTGATTTTGTGTGACATTTTCCATCATGTAGAACATGACTAGCTGTCTTTTCAAGTGCTTCTTTAGGCCAAGTCTATTAATGAGATTTTGTTTAGTCCAGTGTGAGTCAGAGCCAAGCATATTTGCTCATAGATGTGCATTAGAGGAACAGAGTTTGACTGGTAAGTGGCAGTCCAATCTTTAGAGCCGAGGTAATTTTCCAAAGCCGATTTTCTTAGTGTTCAGCAAAGTGGAATGTAATTTTAATTTGCAAGAAGAACTTTGGCTTCCATGAAACATAACTATCAGCTTTTTCTGAAAGCGTTTCTTCACAATGATGCCAGGGAGGTCAGAATGAAATAGTTAGAGATACAAACAAATTTAATAAAAGGGGGACTCAAAACAAATTAAAAAGTCTGTCTTGGAATTTTATTTTACAAAAGGGGGGCAAAAAAGTTCAGTAAGTTGTTCCTGTTTAATGATGTCCAAATATTCATTTAGTACAAATGCAAGAGCAAAACATCACAGGAAAGTATATTTAAAGATATTACACAGCCAATTTGAATAAAGTTTTAGCTCACCAAACATTTAAAGGCATCAAAGACATTTATCTTCTTGCAGAAGATACTTTATGCAGAGGGCCCAAATTGGCAAAACTTTTTAATTGGTTCACTTCTGCAGTGCAACACATAAAAAGTTTATAGAGGCAACAATTCATTAGATATTGCAGCATCAGACCAGAGCATCAACTATTTATAATTCAGTCTGCCATTCAGACATGCGGCCACATCAGAATGGAATATGAAAATTCACCAAGTGGGTAGATTCTCATTAACCATTCATTTCTCTTTGTAAAGTTGAGGACCATACAAACAATTCTTTCACCTTGGTCTTCCTACATAAAGTAATAAGTATAAGTAAGTATACTAGGCAGGTACCCAATGTGATAGAAAGATGGCTGTCACCAATGCAAATGTGTGAAATGATAAATTCATGGATGACATGATTTTCCATTGTCTGCCCTATTTTCTCTTCTTCCTGCAATCCTACCATTCCTCTGAAATGTCAGGAGTACAGCTCATGCAAGGGAAGAAGACAGCACATTGCTTTCATTTATAATTCTTCTCTGAAATATTAATTTGCAAGTACAGAGTTGGAAGGAACAATTTAGAAATATTTACCTATGTATACAAATAGAAGTAAGGGTCATATTTTCTGATGGCCTATGGAAATGAGGGCTTTCTTGACACTCTGCAAATGGTAGCAGAACCCGTATACAGGGAGACACCGTTTGGCTAAAGAGTAGCCTTGGGAACATAGACCGTTGACTTTTTTTTTTTTTTTAAACAGAAGAAACAAAGTAAGAGCAAAATATGAAAAGCTAGGCATTATCAAAAAATCAGCAAACACTCACTAGAACTTAGAAGCAGTGTTCCTTTTATTTAACAGACAGGACTACCTGATGATAGCTACTGTTCTTTTTCACCTTATAGAGACAATGGTCTGGAAGCTGGGACAATAGTGACTGGTGCAATTAGAGCTGTTGTTACCATTGGCCTAAGAGGATTGCAGCTTTGCTGGAGGAGTAGAGAAGAGAGTTTTACCTTTAACGATAATAGAAATCAAAGTCAGCTTCTCCCTTAGATAATGTCAACATCGCGGCCCACAGACTTCATCATACGACATTTTTGTTTTGGATGTAACAAGGGATTCTGGTGAGTTAAGATGGAGACAGAAAGAGAAAGAGAGAGCGATGGAATTGTTTCTCTGTTGCACGACCTGCTGTGGTAACTTGTGTAAGTCATGCAGTGGGTGAGGGGGTAGCCAGATTTCAAACCCACATCTGGCATCCTCCTACCAAATCCCAGCACCATAGCACTTGCTCACCGTCTCTGCCATATTCCTTTGGCCTTCTTGGATGTCATCAGCATAGAAATTCCTTTACTTACTGATGGCTTTTGCCTTGCTCTGCCCTCAGGTGTTCTCTGGCTACTGAGTGCTGACGAGTTAAGGCCCCCAAGAGTAACTTACTGCTACTAAAGTTGGAAGGGGAAAGACTAACACCTCATTTCTTCATACTTCAACAATTCTGAGGTGTTGTCTACTCAGCCTCTCAGAGGGGCCCCCAGCGGGACAGAGCCACAGCTGCCCCCTGTGTAGCCCCTTACTAATCCACCCTGTACTGGTCTTCCTTCCTTCCCTCTCGCTCTCCCCAATTGCTCTTGGTGTTTCTGAGATCACCTCCCAAATACTACCTTCACCCAAGGCTTGTGTTAGGCTCTGGAGAACTCAAACAAAGAGAACCACATACCCTTTGGGACAACTTCCTTATGTTAACTGATGACAGAATTATGTGGAATTTAGAATGAACAATTAAGACAGATGAGAAAGCATCATTGCATATGCCTGAATACTCTGGGAACTCTGAAATTCATGTGCTGCTTTTATGCACAAACCTTTGCCCCCTTTTAGTACAGTGGCTGTGTGGGAAAAAATATCTTCCCAAGTGTTTACACATGTCTAAGCCAACACATTTCAGAATCAGGCCTTCACGTTGACTGATGATGTCAGAGTAGCTTAGCAGTAATAAAATAAAGTTTAAGCATGACCGTGTGCCACACAAATGCTCCCCCAAATGAACGAGACTGAATTAGTAATGACATGAAGAAAAATAAGCTTGCTACATCTCATTACGGAACGTCCTGCTAGATTTGCATTTTTGTTTAATACTCAGATGCTGCCACATTAGAGCTGAGTCATGACTTCCACTTCCTTTGACATATTAAAATGAGATTGGGTAAACAGACATCTAGAATGCCAGGCAGACATTAAGGAGAGCCTGAAAATGGTCTAAGTGATCAGCTAGGCCTCGTCTATGAAGCTGAGAGCCTGTGAACATCCAGTTTCCTTTGGATTATTTGAATTTATTGTTATTATTAAATAGAGTAAATTCAAGTGGTGTTTCATTAGTTGAGATAAATGTGTGTATCTATAGTGAAGAAAAATTGGTTAAAAAAAAAAGACCGCAGGTATGTAAAATGACACCAGGGTCCTGCTGATAATGAAAAAAGATATAATTTCTTCAGTGACGTCTAGTTTCCTATCATTATCAGGGAAGAAACGTTGCCAGCCTTCAGCATCATAGTTAGTCTTCTAAATAGGCCTTCTCCTCTACTGATGAGATAATAGTTCATTTACACCCAAGATTATAAACGCAGGTTAGCATCATTCTTTCCCATTCAATTTGCTTCCCTCTCCCAATAGCATCAGATTCACAGTTAGTTATAAAGGAGATTTATGGTTTTAAAATATCATCTTATTTTCTTCCTTTCTACTAATGAGTTTTATAAAATAAGTGTGATTTTCTTAATATTCATTTTGAGTGTCAGAAATATACAATTTAGCAAGGAGCATCAAAGCACTATTAATGCTGCAATTTAGTGACAAAACATCTCTCAGTTTTCAAGTGCCTCTTGCTATATTTCTTCACTTCAAAGGATTTATTGTATTATTTCCTTGGCTGTAATGGTTGGGTCCTAGTGTAATAGGCTTATTTTGATATTTTCTCCACAGTGTAAGTTATTTCAATAATGGCTAACTCTACCTTTGAATGATGCCCAACAAACAGGAAAACAGTGGGTGTCCCATTTTAGCTTTTCCTTCTCAGCACCTTCAAGGGATCACTTCATCTTTGACAAGTGTGTGTTATCTGAATACTGACTTGGATAAGAGTCCTTTCTCTCCCCTCTGAGGAAATCCATGGCTCCCTGGTCATCCACCTAGTTTTTAAAACAATCCCTACCACAAAAGCTTGAGCTTCTAAAATGAACATGTCAGTGATGACATGGATTGGAACAAATTATGGACAAACATGCCTACCCTTTGGGATAAGGCAGGTACTCGAAGTCTCATGGTTTCTCCATAACTGCTAACTAAATCGGAATTTGGGTACGAGGGAAGGAGAAACACTGTTTGCTCAAGTTCTTACTTGTTCATAGTCTTCCAGATATCCTATTGTTGGCCCTGTGAGTCTCTTAGAATTTTACTGGTATGTGATAATAATCATAGGCAGAGATAAAATAAACTTGATCCAGCCATTTGTAATTGACAAACAGGTGTAGTGTATCCACACAGGAACATCTTTTCTGGGCTTCCTTGAGGAGTGGGATAGAGAAGTGTTAAATGTGTTTCCAAGAAGCATTAAAGGTGATGTTTATACTATCGGGCTTTATGGGCTCCATGCTGATAAGCCAGAGAGTTTCAATGGTAGAAGTGAACTGTGTATGTCTATCTCAGGGTGGCTAAGTGTAAATAACTCAGCCCCTGTTGCTGTTGGCAGATTCCTAAGGACCATTTATATTTTCATGCATCCAAAATTGAGAGAAGTCACAACTCTGTAGGCAATAAAACTAGGTATTTAAGAATCCTTTACGTAAATTGGACATCTGTGGAATTTCTTTTTGTTGTAAACATAATGCTTAGACCATATGCAAGAAAGTTCTAACAAAGAGAGAAAAATTTGAATATTATGATACAGGTCATTTCTCCATATTCAATTTGTTTTTGGAATCAGTCACTGATTGGAAAGAATAATATTCTCAGAACCGATGGTAATGCCTTTGCCTGGCCTGGGGGCTCAGACATATTCTTTAGGGGAACCAAGCATCATTTGGCTATAACAGGAGAATTTTCAAACGAAGAATTTTCTCTTTGTGGTCAGTGGTGGTAGCCTCACCAATGGTTGTGCTGCTTCTGCTCTTGATAGAACACAGCAGCCAGAATGATCCTTCTAATAAGGTCCAATCATGTCACTCTGCTTCTTAAAATCTCCAGTGGCAGCCCATGTTATTTGGAGTAAAAGCCTGTAGGCATGGGAGCTGTTATTGCAGGGATACTTTTACCAAAAGTGTTGTGGATACGGATCCCATGTCTCCAGCTTTCCAGCTCAAGTTATTAATTTCTCTTCTACCTACAACCCAACAGTAAATCAATAACATATTTTAAGTTTTTTATTCGATGGCGTTCAACTTCTATATTAGTTAATGTAGTAGTAGTTGCTATAAAAGATAAACATAAAATCTCTGTGACCTAAAACAGTACAAGTTTACTTCTTATTGCCATGGTCCTTTGAGCCTGTTTGTGGTTGAATAGCCTTCCATGTGGTCAACGGGAACCCAGGCTTCCTTGAGGAGTGGGATAGAGAAATATTAAATGTGTTTCCAAGAAGCATTAAAGGTGATGTTTATACTATCTGGCTTTATGGGCTCCTTCACTCCTGGAAATTGAGATTCCTCCCTCATCTAAATTTCTGGAGACTCCCCATTCATCCAGGGAATAGAGGAAAGAAAGAGGGAGAATTGTACTGCAAGATTTGTCTGCCTACATTCCACTGGCCAAAACTCAGTCACTTGATCACACCTGACTATGAAGGGTGCTGGGAAATGCAGTCTGTATGCTGAGGAGGAAATAAAATAGTTTGTCGATCAGCTAGTAGGCACTGCAATACCTATTTGCCATTAATTCCCTTAGTTATTAGACCATGTGTCCTGTTACATGATTTCTCATTTCCCAGTTGCTTATCTCTTGTTCCTAAATAGCCGTCATAGTTTGAGGTTATGATACATTCTTCTTGGGTAGGCAGCAGAAGGAAGGGGTGAATCTCTTGGAATAAGACACACTTGGGTTTACATCATAACTGCGGCATGTGCCCTCCACGTGCCTTTGAGTGAGTTATGTAACCCCTCAGACCATCAGCTGCTTTGTCTGTCAAAACAGGTATAAAATACTTGCCTCATGAAATGACTTAAAGAGAAATGTATCAGGCAGAGGTGAAGAGCATGGATCCTGCAGCCAGGCTGCTTGGGTTTGAATACAGGTTGTGTCTCCTATTTGCTAAATGATCTTGAATGAGCTTCTGTTTTCTTATCTGTAAAATGGGCATCATAATATTACCTACAACAGAGAGGTTTTGCGGGGAAATTGAATAAGTTGGTATATCTAAGGCACTTAGAATAGTGCCAGAAACATAGAATAAATGATAAACAAGTGTCAGTGCTAATCCCAGAGTATCTGGTACATATTATAGGCTCTTGATAACTGGTATTTTCTCCGGGTTGTTGATTGGTATGGTTTAAGACGTTATTCTTTTCAGTATCTCTTGTAGACTGAGCACCCCCTTGCCCACCAAAGATCTCCCCAAAGGGCTCTTCAGGGATGAGATTTCAAGCATCTTAATGGGATGTCAAGGAGCTGTTTGTGCAGAGAGCCCTGTCAAATGACCACTTGTTTTGATTACTTCAGTGTTGGTTCTGGGTCCTGGTGGTAATTGCCCCAGAGAGGACATTTACCCAGGGCCCTAGGGAGTGGTTCTTACAATTGTGTGATGTGAGGTTAAATAGCACTCATTAACAATTTAGGGTGCACAGTGGAGAGGGGAGGTTATTCAGGGTATTAGGCTCATCTGAGTTGAAGATTTCAGTTTGAAAATTGTTTAAAGAGAAATATAATTAGAATAATGGGACAGCATAATGGGAAATCAATGCTATTAATGTAACCGCTAATTACTGCATGAGAACATTTATCCAAATCCCTTCTCCTTAAAACTAAGAACATGAAATTAAATCATCACAGTAGACAGTTCACGTAGAGGGATGCAGGGATCTTGGTCTACTCTGGAAAATTTGCCCAGAACAATTTTCTGTTGTACCAAGCATCAAGCCGGACCCTATTCGTTTCAGGGTGAGAGTCCGTACAATACAAGAGAGGACTTATATTTTTACTCCATTCATATCGGTCATTTTAGGTCTCATGGATTCTGGGCATTAAGAATGTCCTAACACTGTCTGAAAGAGACTTTTGGCTCCTGCCCTTGACAGATAGACCAATGGTTTCATAATAAGTACAAAGGACTGTGACAAACTGAATGTTCTGAGGACTGGGGTCAAAGGCCAAGTGTTCAGATTTGAGGTATCCAGGTATAGTAAAGACCCCAATCTTCTCGGTGTCAGTGTGAGTTTAGGTTGGAGCTCAGGCAGCACCATTTGAGGTGATGAGAGGAGTCCAAAAATAAGGTGCAGAGCTAGGAACCAGAGCAGGAGTCTCGGGACACCCAGCTAAATGGTAGAGATGAAGGTTTTTATTTTTTTAAATTGGGGAAATGTACACGTAACATAAAATTTGCCATTTTAACAATTTTTAAGTGTACAAGTCAGTGGCATTAATTGCATTCACGATGTTGCACAACCACTATCACTATCTACTTGTAAAACTTTTTCATCACCTCAAACAGAAACTTGGTAACCATTAAGACATCAGTCTTCATTCTCTTCTCCCATTAGCCCTTGATGATCTCTCATCCACTCACTGTCTCTATGAGTTCACCTCTTTTGACGATTTAATGTAAGTTATGGGGGTTCGTATACCTGATTGTTCTTTATCACCTTCCCTGGGACGTTCACTTCTCTGTTTGTAGAACCTGCACTGACTCACAGAGAAGCTGCCTTTGCAGTTTCCTTCTTAGGGAAAGAGAAGAGGGGTTGGACCTTTACTAGGAAAGCCAAGTAAACGCCAGAGTGAAGTCATCTGTTCAGTTAGACAAGGAGTCAAGATGCTATTTCTTTAAAAACATGAAAAAAAATAGCTGTATTTTGTGAAGACAGTAAAAAAAAGACAGGCAGCCTGACTGCCTGATTTCAAACTCTGGCTCCACCACTTTCTGTGTGTCCTGGGGCAAGTTCCTTGACTCTTTATACCTCATTTCCTCATCTGTAAAGTGAGTTAAATAATAGCAGTCCACATCATAAAATATTTGTGTGGACTAAATGAGTTATAAGAGCTTAGATTAGTGCTTTTTTAAATATAGGGAGCAATGTATCAGCTACAAGTATGACTTACCAGACACTCCGTAAACACTGCTTATCTAATCTGCAATTCTCATATTAGCAGATATTACCTAATTTACAGATGCAGATACTACTCTAGTTTACAGATGGGGAAACTGAGGTGTACAAAAGTTATAAGCAGCTTGCCCAACATCACAACTAGTGAGTGAGTTGCAGTGTTAGGATTAGAACCCACGTGTGTCTACTTCCAAAACCCATCCTCCTTTAATGGCTGCCTCTCTAGGATTATCTTCAGATGTTAGCCAAAGATGGGGAAGGAGGGAGCTAAAGCTTATGGAGAGCCTATTGTTGACCAAGCACTTAGTTCTCTTGCTCCCATTGGCCGTAGCCAGCCAAAACATGTACCAATGTTGGAATCAGCCTCTGCGGGGCATTGTCGGAGGTGAAGAATGAGAACCTGTATGTGCCGTGTCTGTGTCTGCTGTATCTGAGGTCCTTTGTCCCATCTCCACATATCACATGGGTGGCATAACCTGCTCTCACTGCCTTTCTCTTCCTTCCACATTAGGGACTTTTGTGGGAGAGTATTGAATACTGTGCTTGTCTTCTGGGCACATGCCCAAACAAGATAAGCTACTATTATGCTCAGCTGGGGTCCTTTCTCAGTGAAAAGGAAACTGGGGAACAAAAAGGTTGATCAGCCCTAGGGCAGCAGCCTCAAAATGACAAGGATTCTTTCTGGTGTTTTGCAAGGGAAAACCAGAGCTTAGCTTTACTGCCCAGTAAAAGAGTTTAAGAGGGTAACTGTGATCATCTAGGGTCATTTTCTCTTCTTTTCCTCATACATTCCCACAAGTGTCAATTCCTCTAGATTGTTAATTCTTAAAATGTGGTTCTTTTACCAGTCAATTCCTCCAGATCATTATTTTTTAAAATACTGTTCTTTTATCACAGTCACCTGAGAACTGCTTTAGACCAGTGGTTCTCAAACTTGAATTTATATCAGAATCATCTGGAAGGCTTGTTGAACCACAGATGAAACCCATCCCTGGAGCTGATAGTTTGGTAAGTCTGGGGTAGCACCCCAAGATTTGAACTTCTAATATTTTCTCATATGTGGCCTGTGGACCTGCGTTTGGCTTCACCTGGGTGCTGGTTATAACTGCAGCATCTCAGGGCCTGCCCCAGGAGCACTTGCTTGTGCCACTCTAACTTAAATGTGCATGGGACTGTAACCCAGGCATCTAGTTAATATGCATATTCTGAGTGGATTGGTCTGAGAGTCCACATTTCTTATGTGCTCCCAGGTGATGCCACACCTGCCAGTCTGTGGATCCACAGTTGGAAGAGTGAGTTGCAAAGCTTTCTGCATATTGGAATCACCTGTTTTTCATTTTTCTTCTTCTTCTCTTTTTTTTTTGAGATGAAATCTTGCTCTATCCCCCAGGCTGGAGTGCAGTGGTGTGATCTTGGCTCACTGCAACTTCTACCTCCTGGGTTCAAGCAATTCTCCTGCCTCAGCCTCCCAAGTAGCTGGGACTACAGGTGTGCACCACCACGCCTGGCTAATTTTTGTCTTTTTAGCAGAGATGGGGTTTTGCCGTGTTGGCCAAACTGGTCTCGAACCACTGACCTCAAGTGATCCACCTGCCTCAGCCTCCCAAAGTGCCATTACAGGCGTGAGCCACTGCGCCCGACCTTACTTGTTTGTCAAATATCCTGATGCCTTCTCCTCATCCTCCAAAAGCTTCTGATTTAACTGGTCTGGGGTGGGCACTGGGATTCAGTATTTGAATGCAGCTATCCTCAGGAGTCTAACATGCAGCCAGGGTTGAGAATTTCTACTCTGGGTTTGCACATTCCCATACCTCTTGCACGTATGTCCTCCTACCTTCCTTTCTGCTTTCTTTCCAAACTCTTCTGTCTAAATTTCAGTTAGACTCCCAACTGATAGATCTCTCTGGCTCCTGTTTATCATTCAAATCACCTCAAGATTAATCTTTCTAAAGCGAGTTCTGTATGGACTGCTTTCTTACAAAAACCTTCAATGACTCCTTATGCACTTCAGGAGTTAAAAAAAGACCTTGCACTTTACCCTTTGTCCTCTTTGGGGTTGCTCCAACCTACTTTTCCAGCCACATCTCCCTCTTGACTGAGCCCTGTACCTTAGAGAAACTAAACGAATCTCTCATCTCTGAATGCACCTTGGGTTTTTCTATCTCTCTGCTTTTGCTGGGGTTGACCCTCTGACTGGTTGATATTTTCTACATCTGTCAGTCGAGGGCGATCCCTGCTTTACTTACTCTATGAGAGCCTCCCCGATCCCTGCAGCTGTTGTAATCATCTTCCCTCTGGTGCTTTATTTGTTGTGTTCTTACAGCACTTAGAGTTTTTTTCTTGTATTTCTGGAATTTACATTATTCTCTTACCCTTCTTTCCAAACGATAAACTTCTAGGGGCACAGAGGCTCTTTTTGCTTATTTTTGTATTCCTTGCAGGGGCTACTACAGTGCCTGGCACACAGTAGGTGTCCATAAAGATTTGTTAAATTGTATCGAATTGAGTAACAAGCCTCCATGTTATTAATTCCATTTTGACCTCTCTGCCATATGCTGACATTTTAATTTTGCTGCCTGACATTTAGCAAATCCGTAGGGATTCTATCTAAATAAATACTTTTCGGAAAGCTCCAAATGTTCTTCATAAACATATGGTGTAGCTTCCACGGTGTCTTCAAAAGTTCATAATGTTTTAATTGTTTGTTCTTTGTACGAGTTTGTTGGCATTTTGGCTTCCTCGTGTCCCAAGACAGTGTGGGATCCAGTAGGAAGTCAGAGGCCAGGTTCATTTCACTTTCAAAAACTCATTATGTTCCTAAAAGTTTCAGAGTGCAGTGGTAATGAGCCATGATTTTGGGAAGCCAATCCAGCTTCGATGACTCCTCACTGTTCGGGTGGGACTTTTGTGGTCGTGAAGTAGGTGATGGAACTTGGGAGGGAGCGACGTTTCCGGCAATTAGATCATGCGCACAGCAGTCGCTTGCAATCCTATAGGAACAATTATAAGGAATCCCTTCTCATTTGGCACAATGAGATATGAACATTTTCTAACGGGCTAATTAGTGTAGTTATCATATTTTAGCCAAAAATGTCAATGTGTAGGATTTAATTAGTCTGTCCTAGGATTATAAGATAACTTCTTAGTTTAGTCAGTCAGCATTTTTAGGATTTGGAAAGATACCAGGAACTATATCACCTACATACTTGTATCAACTTTTAAGCCCTTTTAGCAAAATTACTATGCAGAGCAGGGGAAGTTTCCAGAAGTAAAAATCTTTTGAGTTAGATGGGTGGATGTATTGTGACCAAAGGAATATGTAGTCAATGGAAAGTGGAAAAACAGACCTTGACATCCTGTTGGTCTTACCTGTACATTTCAGGACTTAGGTAGTTCAAATGTTGTAGTCTCTGATTTAGACTTCTTTAGTTTCTAGTAGTGGTACCTGGTTCTAGCTGGTTAAGCTACATGGAAATTTATTAGCAGGACATCAGATAATACACAGAATTGAAGAAAATTCTTAGCTAAGCCATGCAATGTGGGGGACCAGAAGTTTTGCTGGTGGAATGAATGTGTTGCAAATAGTTTCGGTTCTTTTGGTTTTCAGGAGAAAGAGAGTTGAGTTGGCCTGTCTTGGGTCATTAAATGGGTTGAAAAGTGTCCCACTAAAATTCATGTCCACCTGGAACCTCAGAATGTGACCTTATTTGGAATAGGGTCTTTGTAGATGTCATTAGGTGGTGATGAGACCATATTGGATTAGGGGAGGCCCTACATCTGATGAGAGTGTTCTTATAAGTGACAAAGAGAAGACACAGAGACACGGAAAAGAAGGTGTTGTAGAATAGAAGCAGATACTGGAGTGATTTGTCTACAAATCACAAGGAACACTAAGGATTGCCAGCAATCACCATAAATTGGAAGAGAGGCATGGGATGGTTTCTCCCTCAGAGCCTCTAGAAAGAACCAACACTACCAAAAGTTTAATTTTGGGCTTATGTCCATCTGAGCTGTGAGAGGATAAATTTTTGTTGTCATAAGCCACTAAGGTTGTGGTGATTTGTTTCAGTGCCCCTAGGAAACTAATACAGGTCAGGTCCATTCTTGGTTCAGGAGAGGCAGGGTACCTTAACTGACAGCTTCACTGTAACAGAATGCAGTGGGTTAAAAGAAAATACAGTGGTTGTCTTCAAAGACTGTGGGCAGAAACCACAGGAATGCCCACTACCTATTGAGACTCATACAGCTTTCATTGCATTCATATATTTTTCTGGGATGCTGGGAGACAAGGATAGGACATGGGCTGTGTCTTGCCCCTCCCTCAGGTGAGATTTGAAGCCCATCCTCATTTTTCCCAAGTTACAACTAGTAATGCTACAAGTCTTTTGGGGGAGAATTGGTGGTGTAGTGGTTGGCAAAAGATACCAGAAGACAATGTGTAGGACAAAGACCTTGTTCATATGGGTCTGGAAGGAAGACTCTGAAATGAATGAAAACTTACTATTGTAAATTGTTGTACTAATTAAAAGCAGTTGGGAATCATGAGTCCAACCTCATACCTGACTGAGACATTGTGAGAAATGTAGGTTGCACATCACCAAAAGAAGTAGCCCACATGTAGAGAAATTGTAACAGGGTAAATGGAAATTGTAGATCTTGTTTGGGTGAACTCCCTTAAGTTCTTAGGTATTTGGTGGCCAGAGTGGTATATGTGCGTTTATTTCCATTGTAAATCTAATGGCAACAACAGTAACAGTAACAACAACAACAACTAATATTTATTGAGGGCTTCTTATGAACAAACAACTGTGCTAATGTGTTATGCATAAATCACCTTATTTAATCCACAAACAACTCGCTGTTGTTGATATTGTTAGTGGCTATGATTTTGGGGTGAGGAAATGGAGATTTAGGCTGGCTAAGCAACTTGCCTAGGGCCGCATAACTAAGCGGTGGTATCAGGATTTGAACCCTAAGTCTTGACCCCAGAATCTAAATTATTGACTAATTGTTTAGCTAGTATATGCTTTATTGTGAATATGTATATAACTTCATTAAAGAATTATCACCTTTCTTTGTCATTGTTATAATATTTTCTTCCAAAGCCCAGAAGCTGTGCTGTGTTATATATTCCTTGGAAACTTTCAAATGCCAATGGAGTGACCAGAATGTTCTTTGTGCCATGACATGTACTGTCTGCAAAGCTAATCTCTTTCCTACTGGGGAATATGTTTAACAGGAACTGGTTATAGCTAGACTGAAAATCAATCACCAAGGCCACTGATGATGCTAAAAAAAAAAAAAAATCAAAAGCAGTTAGCATACAAATGAAAGTGATTCCCTATAACTCTATGTGGGACAAATTTCCTGAACCACACCAATAAATCAAGGCTGTTGAGGCTCAGTTATAAAGGAAGATAGATTGAACAATTTTCCTGTTACAAACAAGCTGTTTTGTACTATGTATCTATCAGCCAGTTATTCAGGCCTAATTTAGGAATGTGCAAGTAAACATGGCTAAATATATTTAAATACACTGGCATTAAACGTTGCCAAGTAGTGCTCTGCATCAATACAACCAGATTATTTCTGGAATCTTTTAAGTGTCTTTTTCATAACTGAAATGAGAAATTATTTGCTATAAAAACATAGACTACAAGGATACCCCCATCTTTTCTTCCCCCCATTCTCTTAGGTTAATTTTTTTTGCTGTTGTTGGTTAATAGAAGACTTTTTGAATTCATGGGTCCCACTGTTGGAGTATTTCCTCCCAGTGTGTTAAGTGACTTCCTGAGATTTTAGAGATACAGATGAAACCAGACATGTAAAGCTGCTTTTGGCTTCCAGTATCCTAAGAAGTTGGCTGACTACACGGCCTATGGACTCTGTCAGGTGCTCAGGTAATTTCTATCAGGACTTTGGGGCTGTAATGAATACAGAGAATGTTTTTTTTTTTTTTTTTTTTTTTACTAGCTCTAGGTTCTTCTAATGCACTGTTTTTGCATGTTTTAATTGCTCTAAGGGAATACTGCAGGCTGGGTAATTTATAAAGAAAAGAGATTTATTTGGCTCACGGTTCTACAGACTATACAAGAAGCATGGTGCCAACATCTGCTTCTGGTGAGGGCTTCAGGCTGCTTCCTCTCATGGTGGAAGGCTAAAGGAAGCCAGCATGTCACATAGCAAGAAAGGAAGCAAGAGAGAGAGAGAGTGGGGAGGGGCCAGGCTCTTTTTAACAGTCAATTCTCGAGGGAACTAATAGAGCAAGAACTCACTCATTGCCACACATGGGCAATGTGGCAGCAAGCCATTCACGAGCTATCTGTTCCTATGACCCAAACATCAGGCCTTACCCCCAACACTGGGGATCAAACTTCAGCATGAGATTTAGAGGGGACAAACATCCAAACTGTATCACTCACTCTGAGTTGGACCAAGACACGCTAGTATCCTGGGCACGGCAATAATGGGCAGGAAAATTTGGGGGCATAGCTTCCCACTGGAAGTAAAATTTTTGTTCAACATTTATTTAGAGCTATGGGAACTTTGGAAATGCAAGACCACAGGCAGCAGCTCTGATCCTCACCTGTATTGTTCTAAGTGACAGAACTCTGACCCCAAACTTGGATGCCACACTCTGCATGGGATGGCATCATTGGTTAGATTTAAGAGCAGGGACTCCAGGAATTTTGCTCCCTGGCTTCAGATCTTGGTTCTTTCATACACTGGCTTGTGACCTTGGACAAGTTCCTTAATTTCTGTTGCAGGGGAGGAACAACTTTACCTCCACCCTCTTAGGGCCTCTGGCTGGGTCTGAGAATTCAATTGACACAAAATAAACCAACAGGAGAAAAGCATACAGATTTTTATGTTGTGCCTGTGAGCCTTTGTAAGAAAAGAAAGACTCAAATAAGTGGCAAAACCTAGCTGCTTATGTAGCAGGTTGAACTAAGAGTGGCAATTGTGGAGAAGTGACTGAAATGTAAAGGAGGTGAAAGGAAGATAAGAGTTATTTTAACAATTTCTGTTTGTACAGACTTCTCTCAGCCTCCACTTCCCGTATCTGGTGAAAAGAGTGTTTCTTTTCTCCTGATACATGCAGGGCAGAGTGTTACTTTTGTATCTACTGTCTTCCAAGTGCCTCTAGCTTAAAATAATCCTTATGCCACAGTGGCATATTTTTGGGCTGGCATATTCTACCACCCTTCACTGTATATCTCAGATACCTCATCCATATGCATGTAATAATAGTATCTAACTTATAGGGTTGTTTTGATGTTTAAGTGGGATAATCCATATAGAGCCATTAAGATGGTTTCTGGCATATAGCTACCATACAAAAGATGTTGTCTGTTATGCAACAAACAAAAGTCCTGGCATTAGTGAATATTTATTGGTCTCACCTGCCCAGCATAATTCCCCTTCTTACAAATGTATGCCTTTCCTTTCCTTTGGGGAAGCATCCTTTGCCCACGCTTTGTCCATGTCATTTGGGTGGATGGCTTTTCTGGGCTCCCCTTCCCCAAAATCCAGAAGTGGCCTTGTGATCCAGGTTTGACCAATCAGCCTATTCCAGTCCCTCTTGACTACAGTGACCGGGTCAAGGAGGAGCTTTGGCCAGGTTGGATCAGTGAAATAACTGTCCTGACACTTTGGTAGAGTGTTGGGAAGAAATGACGTGGCTAGGATGCAAGATGTAAGCCTGGAGGGGATAGGGACCACCATGTGGGCTGAGCCTGCCTGAAAAAGAAGCCAGTATAGGGGAAAGCAGAGCAGGGAGATGGAGTGAGAGAGATGAATCTTGGAGATATCACTGGTTCCCAGCATCCTTGAAGCCAGACACACCTCTAGACTTTTCAAACATTGGCACCAATGGATGGTGCCTTTTGTTTGATCCAATTTAATTTGATTTCCAGCACTTAAAGCTTGTGAGGTGAGTATATGTCCTCATTTGTTTGGGACTGTTCTAGTTTACACCTATTGTCCTAGCATAATTATTAATAAAGTCCTATTTCACACTCAGAAATGTCTGATTGAGAGGATAAATTGTATGACCATCTTATTTAAAACCAAAAAGTCCAGACTAATAGAGCAATACTAGAGCAAGACCTTGTGGAGAGGCATTTCCCAACAGCCTCACAAATCATTCAGCACATGCTATGTTCTCACTGATGAGAGTTCTAGTAAATACACTTGTCTCCACTTCTTTTCATATCTAGTGATGGTTTAGGGACCCTTTAGATTGGCAGCTGCTGCAGTGATTCTCTCATTTTAGCTCTGACCAGACCTTAACAGTACTTAGGACCCTTTCCTATCCTGGTATGTCCTAAGTTAAGCTTAACTTTTCTAGTTAAGCAATTAGCTTCCTCTGTCTGCTTCACACATAGACACACACACACACTCTGATCCCCTGACTACTCACACATGTAAGTAGCAAGTATTCCACTCTGGGTCCCTGCCTTTGTAAGTGAGTGTGTGTGTATCTATGTGTGTGTATGTATATTTTCTTTTTTTGGAGGGAGAAGTAGGAGATATAAGCTGATCACATAGAAAAAATGCATATTTAGGTAACATGGGTTAATAATAATATAGTTAATATCTATTTAATATTTAATTATGTGAGGCTTAGGGCCAAGTGCTTTATGTGCATCGTATCAAATATTCCTCAAAATTATACTATGAAATATGCACCATTAGTTTACACATTTAAAAAATTAAAGGAAATAATTGACAGAAACAAGAGCCAAACCCAGGTCTTCTTGATCCCAAAGCCCAAATCCCTTGTTTCTTTCTTTCTTTTGTTTTCTTTCTTTCTTTCTTTTTTTTTTTTTTTTGAGACGGGATCTCACTGTGTTTCCCAGGCTGGAGTGCAGTAACACTATCACAGCTCACTATAGCCTCGACCTTCCCAGGCAAAGGTAATCCTCTCATCGCAGCCTCCCAAGTAGCTGGACTACAGGTGTGTACCACCACACCTGGCCACCTTGGCCTCCCAAAGTGCTGGGATTATAGAGTGAACCATGGTGCCTGGCCCAAAGCCCTCATTTCTAAGGGTAATGTTGTGCTGCTCATTCTATGCATGGGAGTGAATATTCGACCTGAAGTCAGGAGCTCTGGTTTCCATTTCCCCATATGCCCTTAACGGGCTGGGTGACCTTGGGCAAGTCAATTTACCAAATGAACTTTTATTTCCCTATCTGACAAATGAGGGACTGGATTAAATGATTCTAAGCTCTCTTGGGGCCCAATGTTTTTATGATTCTAGGTATTTGAATGTAGGGTCAAGAGTTCAATTTTTCTTTAAAAGTCTAAATCTTCCCTTTGGGGCAATGCATGTTATAATGAACATCAGTCACCAAGGCTCCCAGATGCAAACCAAGAATAAAGGAGAGGCGGTGATTTGCCAGGGTGGTGAAGGAGAATAATTTCCTTCTAGATATTTGGAAAATGGTGAAATTTGCATTGAAAGTATATTATTAGTAGTAGAAAATAATGATTAATGCCATTTCATGTTTTTTTCAAAAGTTATGGTGGATAATGAACAATGATAACACTATGCATGATTGCTAATCCTGTGACATTCAAAACAGATTCAAAATTCCTATTCCACATACAGGACTCAGTTAGGGCACTATAGTAAATTCAAACTTAGGGATCATATTTACAATTCAAATGCATCTCCTTTTTGCATATCTATTTTGACACAGCATCACAAATTACTATAATATGAATTAAAGATGGACTTTTACATAATGGGGGAAACATTAAAAGAAATCCTATTTAAATTTAAATCCCTTTTCCCCTTTCAGATTTTTCCCCATATTTTTCCCTCAATATATTTGCTAATTATCAAAATTATTGCTGTTTAAATAGTGATTTGTATATCCGCATTTTATTATTTTCTACTGGTAGCAACTGCCAAGAATCAATGTTGATATCTTGAATCATAATTATTTGATTGTGATGTTTTTAAATGAAAGAATTTTAAAAGTACTTTGTCCTGTCTGCATTTTAGTATTTACCTAATGTACATGGTATAGGGAGGGTCGATGTCAGAAGAGAACAGAGTGGCAAATGTGCTTCTAAGTATATTACAATAGAACCAGTGAAATGTGCAAAATGACAAATTAAATTTAATGTTCAGGTGCATTGCCAATTTGTTTGGGGGCTAAAAAGCAGCACCCTTTGCTAACCTGATAAGAATTAATCAGATTTTAATTACTCATTGTGCAACCTGGACTGTTTAGCACATCTATGTGAATAATCACTGGGGCATCTCAATCCAAATTGCTAAAAATTTCCATTTTCTAAACCATCATGTGGTTCTCTGTTAATCATTTTTGGACCTTCTAATTTTTTTTTTTTTTGCAACCTCATTTCTTCTATGACATTAATAATTTCCTCTGGGGTTTTGCTTTATAACAGAGGGGAACAATTTGCTATTTTGTATAAATGAAGGTGATGTTGATCTCAGTTGCTCAGGCCCTAAAATTGTTTATACAGTATTGTGGGATGGATTTGTGTGAATTCGAATATCCTCTCTGCTTCCATCAACCAGAGAAGCTCCCTGAGGTTAAGGGCGCAGTTTGTCACTACAGAGATGGAGCCTGACATTTTGGCCTCATTAATGTGGTGCTATGACAAAGCGAGCAAACCTCAAACCTAATTTAGCAAAACAACCAAGCCCATAAAAAAAGGGCAGGAAAAGAAAATCAGAGCTGCTTTCAATAAACTTTTATTATGGAACTTAAAAATCTTTCTGAAAATTGCCAGAAGCTTCCCAGCTTTGTGCTGATACTTAGGAAGCTTCACTCATGAATGCTTGCAAAGTTATCATGCAAGGTTCAGTAGATACAATGAAATTCAGAATTGCATTCATTTTTGTTCTTCTTCAATTCCTGGAGGTCCTTGTTTAGCCTTCAATAAAATCAACCCTGGACTAATCAATGAGAAATTGCAGAGAATATGAATCTTTCAAAATCAATAATTCATACAATAATTACACAAGCGTATTAGGGAAGCATGGTAGTGCATAGTCAAACAAATCCCAGGGAACATGCTTTTGAAATCTTTAAAATTCAGCCAGACGTGATGAAGTTTCATGTACTTTGCCCTGGTTTTGGATAGTGTTGGATGGAGCTCAAGAGGAAGAATATTGTAAGGTTTTCCTTTAATTTGTGAAAGTTAAAAAAGAAATGAACATATGTAACTGCTTTGAAAGCTAAGTTGTTAGTAAGTAGAAAAGTTTAAATAAATTTTGCCAGAAAAGGGACACTTTGGTCTGAGGTTCAAGACCCTTTTATGTATCTGAAATACTAAGTTGTTCTCATCCCCAACACAACCCGTGTGGGCAAACCCAGCAATCACTCATGGCTGCATTTTCGTGATCTGTCACAAGAAAAATTCCTTCTCCTTCTATCAGCCCTGGTCACTAATCTCATCATTTTTCCTTGACCCATGGCTGTGGTGTCATGAAGAGATGATTAGGACCATAAGTTGGGACCGCAAGAATTGGAATATGAGACTGGAGTTCTAGATGTGACTGTATCAGAAGATACAGTCTTTAAAATCTCAGCCTCAACCCTCATCCCTAAAAATGAGTTGTCTTAATCTGTTTGTGCTACAAAGTACCAGAGACTGGGTAATTTATAAATCATAGAAATTTACTTGTTACAGTTTGGGAGGCTGGGAAATTCAAGATCAAGGCATAGGCAGGTTTGGTATCTGCTGAGGGCCCTGGTCTCTGCTTCCAAGATGGCACCTTGAATGCTGTATCTTCACATGGTGTAAGGGAAGGAAGGGCAAAAAGGGCCTAAGCTAGTTCCTTCTAGCCCGTTTATAAGGCACTAATCATTTCGGGAGGACAGAGTCCTCTCAATCAATTTCCAAAAAGACTTCACCTCTTAATACCACTATGATGGGGATTAAGTTTCAATATGACTTTTGGAGGGAACACTGTCATTCAAACCATAGTATGGGGGTCACAGTGATGCTGAGTATTTTAAGGTAAAACATCAGTGAAAATGCTTTCTAAATTGTTTACCTTCTGTAGTCCCTGGACAGTTTACTGGCCTGGAATAGCTTTATCTCTGAGTAGAGGAGTCCCCAAGAACTTTATGGAGGGGTTCCATGAAGGAAGAGCTCTGGAGAACATGCTGGGTGGGCTGCATTCATTTATTCTGCAAATATTTCTTGAGTGCTTACCAGGTACCAGGCACCATGCTTCAATGTTGGAGGTACAATGGTGAGAAAAATCAAGCACAGAGCTTATAGTTTAGTAACTGAGAAAGACTTCATCATATTACCAGAAATAAAGGTAAAATGGAAACTGTGGTAAATGCAATAGAGGAGAGGAACATGGTGCTATGAAGACATACAATGGCGAGTTTAAGAGATGCTGTATCACTGGAGCGTACTCCCGCCCTCCCATGTGCTTTGTTATGGAGGAACTCAAGCTACTGCAGACGCATCAGGCCTTTTCCTGTCTTTTAATTTGAGAGGGTGATAATATAAATCTGAATGTTTATATATTCTGCCCAGAATAATAGTTTCAGATCTCACTAGCTTTGTGAACTTTCATTTTGCCTAAATATCTTCAGAGGATTCTTTTAAGTTTGATGGCACAATAATATTTGAGTGGGATAGGTTTTTAAGAAGTCATCAGAACTTAGCTTAATATATAACAATTTGATAATAAAGTAAATTTTATAATTAGAGTGAAGATGCATGTTAGTGTTTTTATAGAGGCAGGCAGTGTCTATAGCGGTCAGAGCCAGGTTTTCAGGTCAGATGGGGTCTGCTTTGCCATTGAATAATAATGAATTAAATTTTTGCTTCAGGGCTTTTGCAAGATTGAAGTAGAGTTTTCACAATTCTAAGATTCACTAGATTCTGCATGCCTTCAGCTATACATGAAATTTAAAGACACTTATGGGTAAGTTTTATTTTGGTGGGGGCAGAGAAAACAAGAAGAATTTTGCCGACTCATTTTATGTTTAGGTGGGGAGAGAGATCTCTTGAAATGAATTAATGGTAGAAGACTAGAGGGAGTTTGTTCCTCCCCATCTTGCTGAAAATGTGTGGCACAAAAAAAGTTGTATTTCTCACTGCAATACCTTGAAGAAGGTAACACTCAACCTTTCAAATAACTTTGCGTTTCACAGTGACAGTAGGGTGGTATCTGCATTTGGAAAATGGGATAGATGCCATAGAGACTCTAATCTTTTGTATTTGCATAGTAATTTATATTTTACAAAAAAAGCTTTGTTCTAGATCTTTACTGAGAAATAACAGCAAAGAAAAGTTTTAAAACAACCTGAAGTTATTCTATTATAACCACCCATAGTGTAAAAAAGGCATTAGACACTAAGATAAAAATAAAAATTTAAATAAAAATAATTGAATCTTAGTGGGAACAGAAATAGAAAGAGGTCCAAAATATATTCAAGTATAAAACTTGAGCTATTTATATTTGTAAATAGATTTTTTTTTAACCCATTTGGGAAATTATAGACTATGATTTCTTCAAAAATGTTTTGTTGTCTAACGCATTTGCTCTCTCTTTTCCTTCTGGGACTCAAATTACATGTATGCTGACCTGACTGATGATGCTTAACAGAAAACTGGGTCTCTTTAATTCCCCTACCCCCATCTCTGTCCTTCAGATTAGATAAATTCTATTGATTTGCCTTTAAGTTCATTAACCCTGTCTTCTTCAAGCTCCAATTTCCTTTTGGGAGCATCTAGTAAAATTTTCATTGTAGATATTTTACTTTTTACTTTTATAATTATTGTCTGGGTTTAAAAAATAGTTTACATTTTTCTGTCAAGATTCTTCATATTCTTACTCCTTACATCTTTAAAAAAAAGTCTTTGAATTTATTTCTGTAGCTGCTTTAAAGTTCTAATCTGCTAATTCCAACATCTGGGTCATCTTGGGGTCTGTTCCCATTGACTGCATATTTTTTTCTTGATTATGAGTCATGTTTTCCTGCTTAATCACATATTTAGTAAGTTTTGATTTTATTCTAGGCATTAAAGTTGATATATTTAGGGAGTCTGGATTATAATGTCTTCCTTTAGAAAGTGTTGAGTTTTGTTTGGAAAGCAGTTAAATTACTGGCTGGTTCTTTTAGTCCAACTAGGCTTGGTTTTATTTTTTGTTACGTTGAGTCTATTTTAGTTTTACACTTAGTCCTAGGGTGCGGGCCTTATTCTGTGGTCTGATGCTTACTCCTAATGCATGATCTTTCTAGAGTTTGAATGAATTGCACAAGGAACTCAGCAAAGTATTCTATTCTGGCTGGGCCAGCCTTGCATGACCTCTGTTATCTCCTTCTAGAAGTCTCCTTAAAAACCTTCTTAAAAATCATGGCTTGGCCCCACGCAGACAATCTCTTCCATTTTACCTTACACAATCTAGACCTTGGCCAAGAACCCACTCTGAATCCCCCACCTTCCTTCTGAGCCTGACTTATCTGTACAGCTTTCTCTTTCCAGTACCCTGCTCCAATCACTTTGATCACCTAGAACTCCAATCATTGTTTCCTCAGCTCACTGAGTCCACCAGTCTCCACTTAATGAGATTCCTACTCATAAAGAAAATAGCCCTGCACTGTCTGCTGTTCAATGTCTTAAACAGTTGATATATGCACTTTGTCTAGTTTTAGAGTTATCTTTAGCAGGAGGCAAATTTGGTAGTAGCTGGTAGCATTCTGTAATGGCTGGAAGCAGTCTATCTACATACTTTTGCTTTAAATTGTACACAAATTATTTATTCCTAACAGTTTTCATATACTGAGACTTTGCCTAATATTATTACTAGGATCCTATCTAACCAAAAAGTGAATTTGATTTGAAGAATAAATGGCTCAGAACAATGAAAGATGCTGATTTCAAATTGTAATGTTTGACTGCTATAGAATGAGGTTGCCTTGATCTAAGAACAAAAAGACTGCCAGACAGCATTACTACTCAACAGAATTTTCAATTATAATCAGTAAATTACCCAACACCTCTGCGTTTTTAAATTAAACTCCCTAAATTTAAACTACGACTTCACACATGTGGTAAGACCTTTGGGATTCCGTGTAATATAAACTTTTATTTCAAAAGTGAAAGTTAAATAATGAAAGAAGAGAAAACTTTCTCTCTCCCTCTCTCTTCCCTATCTACCCACCACTTACCTGTTCTTGTCTCTCCCTGATATTTATTGAGCCATCACTATATGTTAAATACTTTGCATATCATATCATATTCAGTCTTCACAAAATAATCTTCAGCAGCAATCTTGGCTAAACCAAGAATTCAATCCAGAAAGTCAGGCTCCATGATACTTATTTCTACAAGTGATCCAAGTAACAGGGAGGAGGTAGATGTTTATAGAGAAAGAGTGGATTCTCAAAAAAAAAAGCCAAAAAACACAGTTTTGCCCAACGAGATTCTTGATGTTCCTTCTACTCCTGTGACCCATTGTGATTTGTGGGTCTGTTAGTAGGGGCACCTTCAAAGGAATTCACTGCATTTTTTCTCATATTGTGCAAAAATGACTTAAAATTATGTATAGGTGAGAAGAACCATGTTGTTCAAGGAGAGAATGTTGCCATATTACAGTTTATTGTTAGCTTGAGGTTATAATATCCCTTCTTCTCATATGTCTTGCCTCCTAGGAGAATCTTTCACGAAGTCATATGTCATAAGAATGCACTAGCTCAAATATAAACATCTTTTCTTAATTCATGACTCTTTTTTTATTTCTCTTCTCTTAGTCTCCTCATCTTCCCTAGTGCCACTGTCATAAATCTTGGTTCAACTTTATAATCTCACTTTTATGCAAAACAAATAAGCAACACAACACACAAATACCAAGAAACCCTTGTACAGTAACTTATTTTTCCCATCAAATGAGTCAATAAAGATTGGAATATTAATTTATTAAGGGAGGTTTGTACCAGTATTTTTTTTCTGAAAAAAGAACCAATTCATGGTCACTGGTGCATATCATAGCAAACGTTTTCCATTGCCCATGTCATATGGCTCAAACGTACCCAAGTGTTTTGTGTTCATTTTTAAGGAGTGTCTCAGACTTTCAACTTCTGTTTTTCTTTTGTGTTTATGTCCTTTGGTATTTCTAAATCTCAAAAGTAGAAAATAAAACAATGTTAATAATGCCAGAAAATTAAGACGAGGAAATAACAAATGAAAATGAAAACAATTATCACAAATAAAAATAATATAAAGATAGAAGTTACTCTCATTGCTGTTTTATATCCATGAACAATGGAAAGTACTTGGAACAATTTTCTGGTTAATTTAATAAATAATGTGCAGTTTATAAAAATATAAACGGTATGATATACCTTTTTCCTTAAGTTAGTTAATAAAACTATCTTTGGAAGGAAGTTGGAGGTTGAGATTATGTCACCTGTAGCCCTGTTGGTTTACTTAGGTAAACCTAAGTAAACTTATCTAAGTTACTTGATTGGCTCTCAGAAACTCCATTAACTGACTTTCTGTTGAGAGTCAAAGATATGATTGGATGCTGAAGCAGTTTTAAAAGACTTTTGCCTCTAGAGACACTAGGCAGCAGAGGGTAGGTTTTATCCCTGCAAAGAAACCTCATATCAGGGGGAACCATGTTTTCTTTTGCTTTTCTTATTTCCCCACAATTCTCAGCACCAGCTGCTGTACCCAACTGGTACTTAATAAATACCTGTCTATTGACTGACTTTCAGACTTAGAAATGTAGAATATCATGAGATCAACAAGGGATTATGCACAATGGGAGAAACAGCTCAAAAAAGAGTTTTTCCTTGTTCAGCTTGGTGTCTTATTTTTGGTAAGTGCTTTGTTCCAGAAGAAACTACTCAAATTTTGATCTAGTTTAATATATATCTTGAAAAAATGTTTTATAAGCGTGATAAAAGTATGGACTTCAGACAGTAAATTCTGTTAGTCATTTCCTTTTAAATAATTTTCTACTTGTCTTTGGCCTATGAAGATATCTGGATGTATTTAGATGCTATCCAAATTCATTTTATCTTGGTGGGTGAGATTCTTCCTAGATATATATTTTTATAAATAAAACAGACATCTCTTATATTGAGAGGATTTTTCTCTATTAACAACTAAACTCTGCAAAGGAGCTTCTGCATATTTTTAATGGGATTTGAATATTCATTTGCATATGTATTTTTAATATTCTTTTGGAGACATTGTAGTAGGGCAAGTGGATTTTTTTTTAATTTCAAGGGACATTGAATCACAGTAAAAAAAGTTGACTGAGGAAAACAACTGAGTATTATACACATGAATTCCACAAAGATTAAAAAGCACAAACTACTAATAATTACAAGAATAAATCACCCACTTTATATTATCAGTAAGGAGAGAGAATCAAGGGGAGAAGTGAATGATGGCTTTGGATCCCTTTTAGTGATTTTCAAAAATTTCTGTCTAAATAGCCCCAGTACAAGACAGAGCGAATGATGGTAATTCTTGAGGTCTGCCATTCCAACTTGAATTTTTCATGTAGACTAAATTATAGAAATACTATTCTTTACTAATTAAATAGCATAATTTTAGTTCCCTTGTTTTCTAATACAATTGATGTTGCAGGATAATGAACCATTTTTACCCTATGAATTTGGATATTCTCTGTCATCATTTCTTGTGCCCACGTAGAATAATAACTCTTGAGTTTGAAAAACATGGTGCCATTATACCTTACATAAATATTATAACAGTGAATTTTAAAGATTTGTTTTTCACATTGTCTTCTCCATTACTCTCTGATTCCTTGAGGTCAGGGAGTAAATCTGATTTTTCTCTGCATTATCAGAGGCTGGTTTAGTGTTCAGCAAACAGTAGCATTTGGTACTTGTTTGCTAAACAGAATTAAATTAGTGTGTATCTTACACTTGGACTGTGAAAGGTTTAGTCAGGCTGATAGCATCTTTGAGGAAAATGACTTTGGTGATAATTGTTCAATAGCCCATCTTGTTGAGTCTATAAAATGTGCTGAGGTTTAAATGGAAGCAAGATTGGAACAGTTGCTTAACTGAACATGTTCTCTTGGAGGAGTTCTCCAAGGCTTGTTATGTGATCACCTGGATGGCTGTGGGGTCCGTGATGCATCAGAAGAGGCTTGTCTTCTCTTCAATTTTTATAGAAAATGACACATAGTTCTTTAGACTTTGTTTTAAAAAATCCCAAAGGTATATTAGTCTGCTAGAGCTGTCATAGCAAGATATCACAGACTGGGTGGCTTAAACATCACAAATTAATTTTTCTTAGAGTTCTGGAAGCTGGAAGTCCAAGATCCAGGTGCTGGCAGATTTGGTTTCTCCAGGGGCCTCTCTTTTGTTTTGCAGATGGCTGTCTTCCCACTGTGTCCTCACATGGGCTTTCCTCTGTGCACCCCTGATGTTGCTTCCTCTTCTTATAAGGACACCAGTCCTACTAGGTTAGGGCACTACCTTTTTTGACCCCATTTAACCTTAATTACATCCATAAAGGCCTATCTCTGTATACAGTCACACTGGAAGTTAGGCCTTCAACATATGAATTTTAAGGGATACAGTCCAGTCCATAACAGAGGGTTGCTAAGAATTATTTACATCTAAGCTACGAATTGGGCTGTTAAAAGTTATCATGTGACTTGAGATTTCTCAGAGTCTGATCTGCACCCTATTATGAAGCCTGGAAGCCTGTGTTTCTGTGCTCCTGTGACATCTGCGTTTTCTCCAGCACAGCCTCAGTTCCCCTTGTTCTTGGTGACAATGTCAATCACAGTGCCCAGTCCTCCACTGGCCAAGGGATAAGTATGTGACTTGAGCAAGGCTGATGTGATATTGTGATACAATGAGAAATATGTATTTGCTGATCCCTGGGTCCTGGCACAAGAGCTTCTAAAACCCTTGAAATTCTCTGAGTGATGGGGTAAAAAGAACATCTTTTTTTATTCATAGTGAACCCCTTTTAACCATACCTGAATTTATGCTAATGATTGACTCTTGGGGCCCTAGATAGCTTTTGGATGGGGGCTGGTTGCCAGAGGAACCAACCATGTGATTAGAGGTAGAACTGACCTGGGGGAGGGGACTGGAGATGGACTTAATCATCAATGGCCAATGATTGGGTCAATCATGCCTATATAATGGAACCTCTGCTAAAAAACCAAACCAAAACAAAACAAAAAACCCTAAATGACAGGGTTTGGAAAGCTCCTAGGTGGGTAAGCACATCTTAGTGATGGGTGGGTGATGAGCCTGGAGAGGATATGGAGGCTCTGTGTCTTTCCCTACCCACCCTTCTCACTCCTTGCCCTGTGCATCTCTTCCATTTGATCGTTCCTGGGTTGTATCCTTTCTAATAAGCTGGTAATAGCAAGTAAAGTGTTTTCTTGCGTTCTGGGAGCCATTCTAACAAATTATCAAACCCAAGGAGGGGTCTATGGGACCCCTCTGGCTTTAGAGTGGTTGATCAGAAGTTCAAGTGGCCCAGACTTGTGGGACTGCACCTTTAATCTGTGGGGTCTATGCTAACCCTGGGTAGTTAGTGTCAGAATGGAATCAAATTATACAATACCAAGTGGGTATCTGGAGAGTGGAGAATTGGTTGGTGTAAGGGAAAACGCACACATTTGGTGCCAGAAGTGGTGTTGTAAAAACAGTTCAGAGCTGGTTAGAGGATGTCTTCCTGAAATTCCACTCTTCAGTGTAATGGGCCAAAATGGAAATGGCTTCATCTTATTCCCTGCATGGTGGCTCACTAAACAGCCTGTCTATGCCTTCCTGCTGCTTATCTCCATAGATGCTGGGTTCCTGTTCTTTCCAAAACACATTGGCTTCTCTTTCATTCCCCTTTCAACCAATTTCTTCCCTCCCTCAGGACAGTTTTAACTGAAGTTGTCCAGAATGTGTTTTTGTTGCTTGAAATAATAACAATAATAATGCTGTCTGGTAGTTACATGATGCTTACTATTGTTACAAAACTCTAGTCTACAAGTAGTTGGGTGGAATTTTTGAAATTAGGGACAAGATGTTTTGTTATCAGTGCTTCTCCAGTATGATCTTGGATGAGTCACGGTATTCAGTTGCTGCAGTTACATAAGTGAATAAATAGGTAGACTTTTTTAGGTTGTACTTTGACTAGTCATTTTGGAAAATTCCTGTACTGTTATCATTTTTAATGGCTTTTGGTTCTGCTCTATTTTTAAATTTTCATTGTTCTTTTGTGGACACGGTAAAGATAAGGAAGGTCATGGGGTCTTTTTCTCTGCCAAAGTAGAACCTGGATCAAAATATCTGAGTACCAGCTCCCTGGAGGGATGGTCTACTATGTTCCTGTCCTTTGGAAATTAACATTGAATATATTTAAGCAGCAAAGGAATGCGCCCTTTTGTATCCAAATACAAAGCAAGGAAAACAGAAGAAGCCAAGTGACAGGTGTAAAGCCAATCTTCTGCTTAATGAGTAACCAATCCTTATGGGGATAACGAGTAGTGAAGGCACTAAGAAGAGGAGCTGCGCAGATGTCATCTTCTTTATTCTGACTTAGGAAAAGGCATGGAGATTATGAAATCCCCCACAGAGGTGTTGCTTCCCAGCTGTGATTATGGCCACAGTCTTAGCCAGTTGGGGCCAAGTACCATCTGAAAAGAGAGCAGATATTTGTGCAGCTCTGGAAGCAAAGGACTGACATAGGTGTTTGTCATGGCAGGGAATGCCAGCATGAGCGGAGCTTCAAAGAGAACTAGAAACTACAGGTCCTTATTACAAATACAAATAGAGAAATAGAACACGCTTTGGTGCTAGAAGTAATGTAGGCTGTAAACTGCATTTTTATTTTAGTTAAAATTTTTTTCTCTTTACAGTTTAATTTTACCTTTAAGGTGATAGTGTGATATAGCATAAATTGCTTTATGGAATGATTTTGTCAAATTGTTGAATATGAGAAGGTAAATTGTAGACCTAGCATATTACAGTGAGTAATATTGCTACCTGTGATTCTTAAGCAAACTACACATTCCTGGGGCTTAAAACGGGTATGGGGCAGGGTGGGGGGCATTTTCAAAATACCTTAACCTATGCTAAAAGGTAATAACGTTTGGAATTAATGATTGTATTATCTTAGATCTTTGGATGGTTTCTTTTGCTGAAAACAGCTCTCTCAATAGTGGATGAACTTTTCTTTTTCTATTTTCAAATTACAAATGACATTTTTAGAGTAAATAGCCATTTTCCATGGAATTGTAAAGATATGACTATCAAGAAAGGCTTAAATTTTAGAAAGCGGCTTTTGAAGCCAGAATTCCGTAGAAAGGCACAGAGCATGTGAATAGATTTTTTGATGGGCAATTTTTGTTCTTTGAGAAAGTTGGGGCTACTTTATTTAGGCTATATCTAAAAATTAAATTTCAAAATCTGAGACTTTTTTTTTTCTCTTCAAATAGTTTTCTTTGGTGTTGTAGTTGAGTTCATTGTTTGCTATTCTCAAGCCCTTCCAACAATTTTGGAAGTTCCTAATTCCTTGAATTAAACTATAATCTACTTGAAATACTTAGAATGGTTTCCATTTTCCTCACAAACCCTAACTGATGTAGTGATTACGTGAGCATAAGATAGCAGGGTACAGAAAGAGAAGGCTGAGCACCTAAGACAGACTTTTCTTGGGTTTAATTTTGCCTGGAGTTACTGTATTTACTTTTAGCCAGATGGGGACAAGTTAAAACTATGTGAGTAAAACATTTAAGATGGGTATGCATACAGCTAACACAACTCATGCTTATGTGTACCATTGCAATTATATATCTATAGACCTAGATAACATTAATCTTTAGTTCTTGTCCTGCAGAATAACTAAATTGTTTTGTTCTTGGGTGAAAGACTAGCAACATCTGGACATTTCAGGCTGTTTTAGTAGTTGCTTTGTTGGAGCTGGGGTGATGTGGACTTATGTTTATTAAAGGAACAGAATGCAAGGCTGGTCAAGGTGGATTACTAGACTTGAGTAGACAGAATGGGCTGGTGGGATGCCTACTTCTATCATACCATGTTCATTCTTCCAGAAGTTTTATTTATTCAGTTAAAGAAGATCACTTCCAATGGTATAAATAAGATTTTTTTTTAAATAAGCAAGAGCATACTAGTAATTATGATCTCTTGCCAGAATAAGTTATCTGATTTTTTTTACATTTCCTGCCCCTCACTATACAAATGTAAATTTCTTGATTTCAAGGACCTTATATGCCTTGTTTACTGCTGTTTACTCAGTAAATAATATACCCTTATCTTTTCAAATCATTCAGCAACTAAATAGCGAATATGTACCATGACCCAGCACTGGACTAGGCCCTAGTGACATAGTAGTGAAAAGACTCGACAATATAGAAAAACATCACCATTAACAACGCATCTTTTTTGGAGTTGGGCTTTCAAAATTTAAAAAAAGTCACCATCTTTTTGCTGTGTGTGATGTGTATATAATAAATAACACTGTTGGAGACTGATAGGGTGCCAGACATGGCTTTTATTTTACCTGTTAAATGGGATTTATGGAGAGCTCAGAGAGGCTCAACAGCTAAACATTTTGATTTTATTTTGATTGGAAAAGAGAATTTAATTTTAATGACAATTATAGGGGAACAACGAATGCACCTAAATTGAAATTAAAAAGTAAAATAATAAACCAGTTTAGTTTACTGTGTTATTGTAGTTTTTCTCTGGTACTTTGCATTACGTGATCATATTGATAATCTTGTAGAATACATTAAGTTCTATGGTTTATTATAGTGAGAATATTACACTACATAAATTGATAAATAGATTTAAAAGAAAAACACCTTTTCTTTGTATGCGAGAAGATTAAACTCTTTACCTTCAAAAGGGCTTAGAAATTGGGTCACCTTATACATTTTCTTCATATTGATGGAATACAGGTCATTGAAGTCTAGCTTTGTTTAGCTCTTCTTACTCCATTTTGACAAAGTGATAAAGAACCTAATTACCAAACTACTCCAGCTAACAAAGATGGGAGAATCATCTTCTCAAAAATGGAAAAGCGCCTTTTCATGGGTACTGAGGGCCCATCAGTTTCTGGGCTTAACATTTCTTCTATTTAGAACCCAGATGAGGAGGCATGTACTTAGGGGAGCATGGCTCTTGATTAGCCCCCCAGCCTGGGTGTTGGAGGGCAAAGACCTCTGTGCTTAGCATTCTGTTTCTTGGAAAAATGCTCCCTAAGAGCAGGGGCTATGTCTGTGAAGTGCTCATTATATATTTACTGAATGAATGAGTGAAAGTTTGAGAGCACCATTAGCCTAGGTTTCTATTTGCCCGTGCCAGAATTTCCTATGTGATCATGAGCAACTTACTTAACTTCTGTCAGCCTCAGTTTCCACATCTGTAAAATGGAGATTCTTATAGTATCTCCTTCACAGGATTGAAATGAATAGAATTGAATAAATGAGATAATTTGTGAAAAAAATTTAGAGCAAGCTCTGGCACACCATGAGTACTCAGTGAATGTCACCCTTGTTACTGTTACTGTAAGGGCCATCCCCACATTCAGAGATTTAGAGATTGACATCCAGAGAGACGAAATGACCTCAGCATGGCCACATAGAACCAGAGCTAGAACTCCTTATGGTTCCCAGCTCAGTTCACCTTCCCTTTTAGAGATACCAACTGTTCTGGAGGTGTTTTCTTGTTATCCTAATATAATTTCTATGAATCCATTAGAAATTCCTAGAAATGCTATTGTCCCAGCATCCAAACCACAAATCCCAGAACTCCTGTATTATGCAGAAAGAATGAAAATTTCTTGTCAGAATGAGCTAACGTTTCTGGGTCTGTAAATGTGGTCACTTCACTATTAACTAGCTTCACTTCAATGAATGCCAAATTTATCTCAATTCCTAGAAGAGAATTTCTTTGTTGTACTTTCAATGTTCCTCATCTTGTCCCTGTGAATTTCCACATTGGCCATCTTTTACAGTGTCCCGTCTCTGACTCTAAAAGTTGGTGTTCCTTAGGTTTCCCTCCTTTTCTTCCCATATATATTCTCCTTGGATCTCATGTATTTTTCTAGGTTTAAGTGGTTGACCATGTCTACATTTACGCCTCCTGCTCTGATTCATGTCCTCCTCTCCCTGAACCCTAGATGGGTCTATTTGGCTACCTGCTAGCTATTGTCATTTGGGTATCTGTAGCAGAGACAGGCCTGATGCTTATCTAAACCTGCTCCTCTTCCTGGGCACTCAGGAAGACTGTAAATTCTAGCCTCTCCTGCATTTAGTTTGGGACCAAATGAATGAACACTAGCTCTTGTATTGATGTGAGTGGGAATAATATGCACCAATTCTACACATCTCTCTCTCCTGTCCTCATGACTGGAAGCAGTGCTCTGCAAGATAGCAGATTCATAATGTGGGAGGATCCTGGATTCCTGAGCCACTCCTTTAAGGAGAGCTTTCCAGGAGAGCTGTCTAAACTCCACTGGGCTATAGTAGGAGCAAGAAATAAAAGTTTAAGTCACAGAGATTTGAGGTGATTTGTTGCCACAGAAAAGCTTGACCTTTCTTTACCAATATAGTGACCCTCAGGTACCTTGAGTTCTACGTGTAAGTCTATTTTCTACTTCAACTGGTGTCACCGTCCTCTGTTCAGTCCCGCAATTCACAGTCCCCTAGTCTTCAACCAAATCCGATGAATAACCAAGCCCTGTGGATTTTAACATCCATATTTTTTTTCTAGGATTATGTATTTTTAAAAAACCATTACCCTGATAAAGGATCCTATTTCTTACCTGCCTATTGACATGAGTCAACTTAAACCAGGAAATCATCCTATTAGGATAGTTGGTCATTATTGAAAGTCATTCCCAGCAGGGAACATAAAAGAATACGTTAACACTGTAACAATACAGTTGGTGTCTGGAAATAAGTAAATTTCCAGATCACTGATGAAGAAAGTGGGGAGCTCCCTGGGCTATGCTCTGTGCCTATAGGACCCATATGCAAAGAACAAAAGGACCCTCACACAATGTCCAGATAGACAAGTGAGGGTTAATGCAATTAACCATGGATACCTGGATACTTCATAACTACCATCTTCCACTTCATGTTTTCATCCACTCAAACATGCTTTTGATAAAGGTCAGAAGGCCAACTGCTTACTGAGTGTAGATCAAAGGTGGAGCCATAGTCTGGCAGGGGTCTTCTTGCTGAGCTTAACCTTACCTGGGAGAGTTAGCTAGCTCAAAACATTTCTAATCACCTGTGATCCCTCTTCACATCTCCTGCAGAGTGTGAGACTGTAGATGACAGCTCTCACACTCCCCTTTCCATTTAGTAATGCTCCCTTTATAAAAGCAGCTCTCATTTTTACCAACCTATATTTCCTTTCCCACAAAAAGTGAGCCCCTCCTTGGTCATGCCACTCTTGTTTAGAAACACCTTCTGGGATGGCATTAAGCAGGGGTCCTTCAATTTCTTCATTTCTATGGCAGCTCTCCCTCCTCCAAACCAGCATGCATTACCTTGCATATTTTAATAAATTAAAATAAGCCCATGTTTTAAAATGAGTTTTTCTTTAAATAATTGTTCAGCAGTCCACAGCTTTGGTCTTCCTTGAAGACTAAAAAGATCTCATGAAAACCTGGAGGCAGCAAATAATGGATAAGCCATTTTGAGGTCTTTGGATAACTTTGTGCTGAGTTTTATAGGAAGGCTTGCTATTATTAGAGAGCTACACCAATGTTTAGTGACTGAATTTTCCTTGCCTGACTCAGTAATCTAGGGGACATTTCTGCACCAAGAACTGATTCCCATATACATAGGAAGTTGACCACAGTAGTCATTCTGACTACCAACCTTCTTCTGGACCTTTTTTTCCTGCTTGCATCCTAACTCAAACCTGGACCTTAACCTGGTCCCTGTTTCAGGTCTGAAACTTCCTTCTTTAGCCAAACTGGCCAGACATGACAGATAGATAGCTATGTCATGGGAATAACAGTCATTCTGTGGCCTTTTCTATTTTTTTTTTTTTTTGAGACAAAGCTTTGCTCTTGCTGCCCAGTCTGGAGTGCAATGGCTCCATCTCAGTTCACTGCAACCTCCGCCTCCTGGGTTCAAGCCATTCTCCTGCCTCAGCCTCCCGAGTAGCTGGGATTACAGGTGCCCACCACCATGCCTGGCTAATTTTTGTATTTTTAGTAGAGGCAGGGTTTCACCATGTTGGCCAGGCTGGTCTCGAACTCCTGACCTCAGGTGATCTGCCTGCCTTGGCCTCCCAAAGTGCTGGGATTACAGGCATGAACCACCACACGCCCGGCCTCTGTGGCCTTTTCTAAGAGTATTTGCCTTTAAAACACTATTGCCAGTTGTAAAATGAAACATTTTGCTCCTGTAGAGAAATTCAAGGTAAGCCAAATATAAGGATGTAAGAATATTTTTAAGAAGAATATTCACTCTGAAATCCCATCATAACCCATAACCCTATGCAATGGACCTTCACCTAGTGTGAGGCTGGCTCCATTAGCATCTCATCGTCTGTCACAGGGAAAAAGGTTCTGTGCTATTTTTCATCTCCTGAGTATTCCTGATATAGAACAAGAGCAAGGACTTTAAAAAAATTGAGAACATAAATGACAAAGCATTTCTCTGTTTTCTTCTTTTCTAAAATGTGCACAGTCAGGTCCTTTCCTACCTCCATGTCTTTGCACACACTATTCTCTATGTCAGGAATGCCTCTCTTCCTACACTCCCATCCATCCTGCAAGCGGTACTTCCCACATGAGGCTCTTCCTGGTCTCTCCAGCTGCAATTACTTCTTTTCTTTGTTTGTATCCTGACTACAGCACTTTGCATTTTTGTAATCTATGGTGCACTCAGGCACAACAAAGTCCTGACACTTGTGTCATTTTACAAGGTGTCATAATCACTGCCATCAGATGGGGTTCCTCAGTTTAGATTTTGTGTATATGACACTATCTAAAAGGAGCTCTTTATCTTGGGACTTTATGAAGAAAATAAAAATGTTAGTTGCTTTAAATTATTTTTGAAACAATATGGGGTAAGGATAATTAAATAATAACTGAACCCATGCTATGAAATGAGAACCATGTGGAGTTAGAAGGCAAAATTACTTATAAATAAGGACTTATACATTATATATGGGGAGGATTCTGATGTTTGCTAATTTTCTCCTCACTAAGGAATTAATAAAATGCTCAGTGGTGTGGCCAGCAGAAAGGTTTCTGTTCTGTGCTGGCTTCTTTATTTTTTCCTCTTTGTATCATCCAAGTTCTACTGGCTCTTGGATTCTATGTGTAACTCCTTGTTTTGAACACTTATCTGTACTAAGATGTTGCTTACTTCTATCAGAGCCCTAATGCTTTCTGCAGAAAACACATAGTCCTGGATTTTTCCTTTGCTTTTATGTTCTGCAAAATCACCCTACTTTCCTCTTTCTGTACTTTGCTTTTCTGCAATGATAGGAAGTTCCCCCTCCATATCCTTGTATTACAAGAATAACTTCTTGATTGAGCTTTGAGCTGAAACTAGATTTTTTCTTGGGGTGCTGATATATTTGCTGAGACACCTCCACTTCTTGTTCCTCAGGAGACACTGAGGTGCAGCTGCCAGGGGTGTAACCTCTCTATACCCATGGAGCCCATCCGTTGGTGATATTTGTGTGTGTGTCTTGTCTGGTCTACTAGACTGTACCCTCTTGAAGATGTCAACAGTATCTCATTTGATATGTTTCCTCCAGGGCTCCTAGTAGTGTTGTATAGGGTAGATGCTCATGAAGTGTTTAACGGATTGAATTGTATCAGCTATTACTCTGAGTGCACACAAAGGGGTGCTGCAGCTCTGAAGAGCCTCAATTCACCTCATGGGGTTACATGGAAAAACTGTCAGACTTATTTATGCACCCCAGTTCTCCATGGGTTATGTCAATGTCAATTAATACTAAATTTCTGCAGTGGAGAGAAAACACATTTTCACCTAAAGGCTGATCAGTTCCTTTTCTGCTGTATATCTCAGTGATCATAAAGCAAGGAGACCCCTGGGACTCTATTCTATTTAGGCAAAGGCAGGTGTGCTGGGGAGCTTCGTATTTGTACACAGACACAAAAAGCAGGGCTTATTTTTGCAATTACTTGCAAAGGCTGCCCATGTTTTCCAGCATGTAAATTAGGACTTGAAGGAAAACATCTAATTGCATTTCACTCCAACTAATTGCCAGCTCAAAATTTTAGATTAGTGTGCACACCATACTTAATTTTTTCGTTGCTGTTATTAATAACACGCTTAGCTCTGTAAGAAGAGAAATAACAAGCTGGAATTAAAGACTTGAGGGCTGCCCCACTAAGAAAATGCTTTGGGGAGTGTGGTAAGGAAACGATGAGAAATGTCTCAAAGCCATGGCTGAAATTCCAGACAAAGATTGCCTGGGTAGGGTGCTCCTCTGTTGGTTTGCTGATAAAGGTTAGATAGAGCGGATATAATAGAGATGGTATGTGGAGTCATTGCATGTGTTTTGCCACAAGGAGGGGCCGTGGTTACAACCCTGGACGTGTCCTTAACTTGTATTAAACCAGTAGGCTTTCCTGTTTGAAAAACAAAACCTACTTAAAAGAGATTTTTGTTGTTGTTGTTGTTTGTTTTGTTTCTTTCTTTCTTTCTTTCTTTTTTTTAAAAATGTGCTCACATCCAGAAAGAATGGTATGGTCTTTTATGAGTAACATAAACATACTGTGATATCCTTATGTTACTAAATGCACATTACAAAGCATAACAAAATCATAGTCACACACAAAAAATAAGGACAAGCTACAGTGTTGACTGGAAATAAAAAGGGGGAAGCTTTTTCACATGTTGTTGCGCAAAGGTAACCGGCAGCTTCAGAATTCTCCTGTCTTCTCAGCAAGAGTTATTCTCTAAAGGACATGATGAACTTTTTGTCCTTCCAAACACAGAAGTCAAAAAAATGTATCCTTGAAGCTCAATTTAGCAATAGCAGCTTTGCAAATCTATTTACCATTGGGGAGACTTTATTCAAAGATGGTTAGTTCCTGGGTTTCTCAATGAAGGGGCAGAACGGAGACCAGATGGACTTTGGAAAAGCTTATGAATTAAATAACATGCTTTCATCATACTGTCCCTCTGTGTTTATCCTCTACCATTCTTTAGTGGGCACCTATCTGTGCCAGGCATGGAGCTAGATGCAGCAGCCACCTCAGGGACAAGACTCGGTGAGATCCCCACTGTTCAGGTTCCAGACAAGTGGCAAGCCAATGTTAAAAAAAAAAATAGAGACACAAGCAAATATATTCCTATCAATATTGTTAAGTGCCATGAAGGAAACATATGGGGATTAAGACCACAAAAGTTGCATCTAACTGAAATGGGGAAGGTCTGGGAAAGCCCCTCCCAAGAAATGACTTGTAAGCTGAAAGCCATAGGACAAAGTAGCATTTAGCCAAAGCAGGAGGAATAGATCTTTCCAGACATATGGAAGGACAGGTGTGAAGGGCCTGCAGTTTGACACATTGGAGGGAGTAGAAGACAGCTCATGGGGTTGTTGCTCAGTGAGTGAGGGGAAGAGTGACTGAAATTAGGCTGGGAAGATGGGCAGACGAAGGACCACACAGGGGCTTGTAGACTGTGGTAGAGAGTTTAGATTTTATCCTCAAAGTGATAGAAAGCCTCTGAAGGGTAGAAGAAGGGAAGTGATGAGAATCCATTTAAAGAGATCTCAACTTAGAGAAAAGATGGGAGGGCAGCAAGAATGAAAACCAAGAGACCAGTTGGGAGGAAACTTTCATGGGGTTGGTGAATGTGCTGGTCACTTGCCTGCTTGTTTTCAAATCCATTCTCCACCCTTCTCATACAAAACAAAGTATATTTCCCAAACTCCTCAGCCAATCTGCTTTTGTGTGGGTTGTACTGATAGGAGGCTGTGGAGGGAGATTTGAGAACTAGAAAAAGGGAGAAGCCAGGGTATTTTCCATTGTCCCTCCTTGTTTCTTGGGGCAACCCCAGCAATGCTGGTCCTCTTTGGTGTCAGCTGTTTCCACATAGACCCACTGGATAGTCCCATTGTCTGTGGCCCCAGATCCCGCAGGGCAGTCTTCTACATGGTTTCTATTTCTACCTGGCTTCCTCGGTTCTTGAACTTTAGCAATACCATCTCCTTCCAAGATTCCCCCAACCCTGGAGGTGACAGGGACTCCCTACTGATCTCTGGGTCACATCCTCATTCCCTGATTGTCTTTGCAGCTCTCCCAACACCTTTGTAATGAGATCTCTCAATTTCCTCTACTCGGAGCTTGGATTTTATTTTCCTGACTGGATCTTGACCAACACGACGAGCAACAATGGCAGTTTGAACCCTAGCAGTGTAGGAAGAGCAAATATATGGATTTGAGATAGTTTTTGAAATTCTGTATGAACTGACTGAAGACAGTGGAGAAATGAGATAATCTACAAGCTACATCTAGAATTTCCTAGCACCCTGAGCAGGATTAATTAATTTCTGGCCAAAGTTAGCTGGCATTAACTTGACTAAGGAAAACAAATGAACATCATGGACCTGCCCTGAAGCCCTCATCAGTGGTCATGAAGTCAGCAATTGGAATCAAGCTAATATCACTCCACCCACAGACTCCCACCTTTACATTCTAATCTCTAGAGTTGAGGTCTGAATAATATTTCTGGGACAGCAGAAAAAAGTTTGAATAAAATCCTGTGCAAAGTTTGAATAAAACCCTGTGCAATAGTATGGCCTTAACACAAGAAGGGATGCTTTCTCTTTGTTGAGAATCTCATGCTCTACTGACTGAGCTAGCCAGGCGCTCTGGTGTTTCTTTGTTAAGAAGTGATTTTACCCAACTATTTCCTAGCTTTTGTTTCCTTTTTCTTAAAAGATCAATAGCCTTTCTTGTTTCTTTGGCTTTTTAAAAGCAGACTGTTGTAGGAGTTACCATCTGTTCTGACCCTGTCTCCTCCTGGTACCTCTGCTCCATCACGCCATGACTGGACCTCTTGTTTGTCTTGACACACTGCTCTGTCTGCCTTTTCCCTTTGTCCAGTTGAACCCCCATAGGTTTCAGGAGTCTGTGAAGCCATAGGTATGTGGGGAACAGGTGGAACAGAGCAAAGCAGCAGTGACGTTCCTTCTGTGGTTTCCGGGGAGGCTGTGCACATGAGGATGGTACAAGCCATGCTGCTTCTATGAGCCTTTCTTTGGATATGTAAGCCTTCAGTGTAGACTTTTAAGGAAGATATTGAGAGTTTCTTGTAGACCAGATTTTTGTGTCCCTGGAGCCTGGAAATAATTAAGAGATTATTGTATGTGGGTGTTGCTGAGAGAGTGAAATGGTTTCAAGGCCTATGGGTTCATAAAAGACTTTCCTTCCCCCTCCTTCCCTCCCTCCCTCCCTCCCTCCCTCCCTCCCTTCCTTCCTTCCTTCCATCCATCCATGTTTCCTGTTCTCTCTTTTGTCTTTCCTTCTCTCCTTTATTCCTGTATACATTCATCCAACGAGAATTTTGAGCACCCATCATTTGATTATTTGAGACATATGCCAGCAGCTCTGAAGTATATGAAAGAAGTATAAGACAGAGACTTGTTCTCAAAGTTTGGATACGAAATAGACATATCTGAAATTGTATAGCAATAGTAGGGTAAACACAGGGTTAGGAATGAGGAAATCAGTATTTAAAACTTAGTGATGCTTTTCACTCACTGATCTTGGGCAAGTCACATGGCTACCCTAAGTTTCAACTTATCCACAATATGAAAGGAGTGAATGAAAAAATCTCTAAGTCCTGTCATTGCTCTAGGATTAATGGGCACGGTTATCTAGAATAATCTAGAGTGGTGGTTTTTGAACATTTTGGTTTCAGGATCCCTTCATACTCTTAGAAATTATTGAGGCCTCCAAAGAGCTTTTGTTTATGGGGGTTGTATCTCTTGACATTTACTGCATAAAATTTAAACCTGAGACATTTAAAAATATTTACTAATCCACAAAATAACAGACTCATTGCTTATAAACACATAATTATTTTCACGAAAAATGACTATAGTTTTTGACCAAGTGCTCACGATTGTCTGTTACTTATCCACGGAACTTTTGCTTGACCAAATTTTAATCAGGCTTCTCTCCTTCCAGTGGGCTCCCAAACTTTGGCTAGCTCCCAAGTTCGAGCAAGGCCTAAAGCACTAAGCTGTGAAACATCCTCCCTTAACAGCTCCTTCTGAGAACTGACTAACCACAAGAGAAACATTACTTGTTGAAGTACCTGATTTTGCCCCCTGTTCACCCACCTGCTTGTCCTCCTCACCCATATAGTCCCTGCCATCTCTGCTTACCCTTCCCTATATAAGAAAAACCTTTTTCTGCTTAATTTTAAGACACTTCCTCATCCTGAGGTCAAAGCATTCTCTTTATTGCAATTGTCTTTTCAAATAAAGTTACTCCTTATCTAAGTCTGGTGTTGTTTCTATTTGGCATTTTCAAAACAAAAATATTGAATGAGAAGAGTGGCATTGTTTTAAATTTTTGCACATCTCCTTCATGTCTGGCTTACTGCAGGCACTGCATTCCATCTGTTGTGATATGTTGCTTTGGTTGAAGTCTGTGGAGGAAATCTAGCTGCACATGGCTATGTATCCAATAGTTGAAAAAGGAGGACCTCAAAGACCTTCTGACAGGGTGTCAGGATGGCCCAAAACCAGACTTTGAAAACTGCTCTTCTAGAGACTGGGAGGAAGCAAAGAGCCAGATGTTGAACTGGATTCTACTGAATAGATTTCTCATGACTTACTGAAGGAAAAATAGAACTTAGCTGAAGTCTCTAGAAAAGAGCCCCACTTAAAAGATGAACTCCAAAAGACAGCTTCTGCAAAAAGCGATATAGAAGACTTTGAGATGGTCTGAAACAGCCCTGAAGGTGTAGCTGAGAAGTTAACCCTTTAAAAACATGAACATTTTGAAACAGATTTATTTTTCCAGCCAATGTGTTGACTGGTTTTTTTTTTTGTTTTTTTTTGTTTTTTTTTTTTACAAAAAGTTCAACCTTCATGATTTTCAGCAATTATGGGGTGTATTATGGAGCATTGCATAGCAAGAGATTGTAATAATGTGAAGTCTTGACACAAGGTTCAAGGATTCAATGATATTCTGTGGTAGCCAGAATAAAAAGATCCCCTGATAACCCCTGTTATCACCCTCCTGTTGAGCGTGACTGGAACCTCAGACACGATGAGAGATCACTCTTATGACTGTCCTGTTGTACGGCATAAAGAACTTTGCAGATGTAATCAAGGTCCCTAATTAGCTGAGTTAATCAAAAGGGCCATTATCGGGTAGATCTGACCTAATGGGCTGAGCCTTTAAAAGAGGGCTGCAGGTGGCTTCTAGGAGATGAAAGTGGACCCCATCTGGAAGTCAATAAAAGAACAGGGGGCTGAGTCATACATCTACAAGGAATTGAATTCTGCCAACAACCACGTGAGTTTGAGAACCCCTAGCTCCAGAAAGGAACTCAGCCCAGCTGACACCTTGATTTCTGCCTTATGAGACTCTGAGTGAAGGACCCAGCTTGAGCCACGCCTGGACTTCTGATCTACAGAAATGCTGGTGCAATAAACAGGTGTTGTTTTAAGCTGTTAATTGTGTGGAAATTTGTTATGCAGCAATAGGAACCTAACATACATTCCGATAAGTATTTTTATGTTTCATGGCCTATCTTAACTGAAGCTTGGAACCTTCCTGGATTTCCCCATAATCATGAATTGCAATGACAATACAAGAAAGGAGGCTAATGATCAAAGCAATTCTGTAGCATTGCCATACAGGGAACCACACACGTTGTCCCTCTTGGGTGGCTTACAGATATTGTTTAAAAAAGTCACTTAGAAGAGGCATTGCTTCAATTTTCCTTTTTAATAATCAAATCTTATTTATTCTCTTTCTTTAAATATTAAACAAGCTTTTAAAAAAAATACCTGGTTACTCAATTCTTTCCCACATTTTTCTCTGATGCAATACTTTTACCACCTTTGTCTGTCATGTTCTCTCTGTTCAGAACTCCTGTTTGCTCTGCTGCTTTTCTTTTTCCTTATTAGTCATCCTCCACAGATTAGTTAAAGTGGCCTTTAAAAAATGAAATCAGTTGATCAGGCCATGCCATTTCCCTGCTGTAAGCCTGTTGTGGTCTGAATGTTTGTGTTCCCCCCAAATTCATATGTTGAAGTCATAAGCCTAAATGTGATCATATTTGGAGATAAGGTCCATATGGAAATAGTTAAGGTTAAATAGAGTTATAAGGGTAGGGCCTTATCTGATAATATCAATGTCCTTATAAGAAGAGATACTGAAGAGTTTGTACTCTCTCTTGATGTATGTGCACCAAGGAAAAGCCCTATGAACACACAGTGAGAAGGCGCTTTCTATGCCTCTCACAAGCCAGGAAGATGGCCCTCACCTGGAACTGAAGGGATGGAACTTTATCCCAAATTTCTCAGCCTCCAGAACTGGGAGAAATAAATATCTGTTGTTTAAGCCACCCAGACCACGGCATTTTGTTATGGAAGCCCAAGCAGAGGAACACAAAGCCTTTCTGTGGCTTCCTGTCACTTTCAGAATGAAATCGGGACTCTTTATCATGGTGCCCTTCCCTGGCCTTATCATCTCCTTTTCCTCGCTGCTTCACTCACACTGGCTTTATGTTAGGTCTTCAAACATGCCACGCTCTTTCTCAGTGTAGCCTTCACTTTTGTTGTGACCTCTTTTAGGACTATTCAATCCTTTAGATCTTAGCTTAAATGTTAGATCCTCAGACAGGCCATCCCTGAAAAACCCTTCTTTAGTAGAATTCCACCTCCTCTCGTGGTTCATCATGTTAAATGATGTATTCCTTTGGTTGATGGCTTCTTGTCTGACTTCTACACTAGATTGTAAACCTCATGATGGCAGGGACATGTCTCTTTTATACACCACTATATCCCCAGTACCTGCCTCACTGCCTGGTGCATAGCAGGTGATCAACACATACTTGTTGAGTGAACAAAGAGCTGACATCTGAGGAGCATTGGTTTTTGCTCTATTGCATGTAGGCCTAAAAAGCCAGAGCTCCACATCCTGTACCCAACTCTTCACTTTGCTTGCTGAGTATCTTGAGGATAAGCTCTGCTATTGACAAGAATTTACACTTTCAGGAAGCTGGTGACAAATGAAATGTATGGTTTTTTTTTTTTTTAGAACACACACTAACTCCAAATAGTTCAGTCAAGTTACCAGTGATGCCTATGGTAGAAAATCAGATAATGTTTACAGCGAGTAGTTTCCTATTCCATGCTGATCTCCTTGAAAATAATTCTGACAATGTGGTCTGAAAAGATAGTATTGAAGAGTTTTTCACTCATCCTGATCTCTCTTCAGTTTCACAAAGCCAGTTCTTAGGGCGTTGGGTAATAATGCTTCTGTCTTTAAAAAAAATTTAATTTTTATGTTTCCTAATTAATACTCTTTAGGATTTTTTTTTTTTTTTTTGACAGACTCTCTCTGTCACCAGGCTGGAGTGCAGTGGCGTGATCTTGGCTCACTGCAACCTCCGACTCCCTGGTTCAAGAGATTCTCCTGCCTCAGCCTCCTGAGTAGCTGGAACTACAGGTGCATGCCACCATGCCTGGCTAATTTTTTTTTTTTTTGTACTTTTAGTAGAGACGGAGTTTCACTATATTGGCCAGGATGGTCTCTATCTCCCAACCTTGTGATCTGCCTGCCTCAGCCTCCCAAAGTGCTGGGATTACAGGTGTGAGCCATTGTGCCCAGCCAATATTCTTTAGGATTTTTAAAACTTCCCCTGAAAATGCATTTCTTTTTGAAAGCATTTTTGTTTTTTAAAAATGTAGACTATAAGTGTAGGGTTTCCTCAGTGTAAGAAAACACAGAGAAAGAAAAATCCCAAATTGTTATAGGGTACAATTTCCAAATTTGGGTGCATGGGGAATAATATTTTAAGTATTTTACTTAAGCTGATTAAAAGCTAAGTCTGAATGCAGGATAGATTGCTTTATCCATGGTGGATAAATGATGAGATGGAATATATTGGAAAATGGATGGAAGGAAGGAAGGAAGGAATATATATAATCCACTATAATGATGAGGTGGAATAACCATTATATATCATGTGTTCTTTCTCTCTTGTAGACTAAAAGAGTTATGTTGGGTGGTTCTTCCTTCTGCACTCTCTTTGCTTTAGGAAAAGATGCACTTTCTCCCCGGAATCACAGTTGAGACCAGCCTCACATAGTCTCCTAATTACTCAATATTCCCTTCAAAAGGCTTCCTTTCTCATTAAAACTTCTCCACTACAAAGAGAAATGTTGCTAGAGCACTCAGCGAGGCCTAGGTAGCTGATTTAGGGCTTAATCTTTAACCACACCATGCCTACTAACATAGATAACAGGAATATTCTCTTGAATACCAGGAGAAATACTGCTGCAGATGCTGCCCCACTCAGCCTTTAAGGCTCAATTCAACTCCCACATTTTCCACAAAGACTTCTCTAACAGTATGTGTCTACCTGTGTGTGTCAAACTCAAATGCCCACAGGCATGAGGAAGAAACATAATTTTGTGATTTGGATAGATATGAGACAGTAGTGAGTGGTGGGTGCTGTAGCAGAGTGCTTGACTCATCCAACAATACTCAGTTGCTTCCAAAAACTTGAATGGCTGGCTGGTTGATCTTCAATGATGGATGATGATTTCTATTCTACAGCAGTTACTAGACCAAACCCATTTGCTGCTTAGAATTCATTCTGGCATCTTAAATTTCTGGGGCCTATGCCTGTAGGTGGTTTTCTTACGCAATCACCCCAGAGAAAAGGATTTTGCCTCACACGTTTGTTACGTGGTGTGGAATTGGTCCATGGAGCTGTCCCCGTTCTACCATAGGCCTGCAGCAGATGCTGTCTGATTTTATATTGGTTAGTTGTCTGATGGACATATTGGCATATGTGTGTGTACTATATTGTGGCTATGTCCAGCTTGCTGCAGTGCAGCTTTTCCCTGAGTGTGTTCTGCTTAATGAGGGGCTGCCAGACAGAGTTCCATGGTCAAACAATTTTGTGAAAAGCTGAACTTAGCAAGGTTAAAGTTGAATAGTTTCTATTACTGCAGGATTTTTTTTGTAGGCTTAAAATGTTAATGAACACCATGCATTTTTAAAAGGGGTATGATTAAAAGACTGTGATTGGCACTCCCAAGCCCATTCCATCTACAAACTACATTTCCCAGACTCCCTTGCAACTAGGCTTCTGGATGAGAATTCTGGTCAGCTGATTACATGCATTTTCACAAAATTTGCAAAGTGAAAGGGAGATGCAGGCAATTTTCCTACTGTTGTTGATGCTGGTAAGTGAAGTCGTTGTTTATAGGCAGTTTTGGCTTTGTCATGTGACAGTATAATGATGGGCCCGTGAGATAAATAGACTGGGGCAACCCCTGACTTCTGTTCCTCTGGCCCTTCCAACGATTTTGTAATCACCAAATTTCTCATGTCAAATTCCTTTTCTGCTTGAAGCACTTAGAAAGGTTTCTGTCTCCTACACTGAGACACAACTGATACAAGAGATACATAATGTAAAATGATTTTGGTTTCATGGCATAATTCTCAAGACCATTGTTCTTCAGAACAAATTTTGGGAAATTATCTGCGGAAAGAACACTGAAACCAATATCAGAAGGTCTATATTAGAGTCATGGGTTTGCCTTTTACTAGGTTGGGGAAGTGACATCCCTTCTGAGCCTTGAATTCCTCTTCCTTATTTGAAATATAAGGACAATAATTCCTGTCCTCCAGATCTCCCAAGATTGTCACGAGAATCAAATAAGATGATGAATGTGAAAGTGGTCTGGAAACTGTAAATTGTTATAGAAATATGAGGCATCATCATTAGTCATGCTGCCATCTACGAAAATGAATGTTAGATTCATAATGCAGGAACATCATTCTCATAAGCATTGCCTGAGTAGTGTATGGTTCCTTGAAACATTGGGGATTTGATAGATTAATCAGTTGGCAGCAAAAATACCACCAGCCTTGCTGAATAGACGATAAACCAAAGGGAGCATTCCCCAGCTCCCAAGGCAGCCTCTTTAACAATAGATGAACACAGACTTCTCTCTGCTCCCCATCTCTTCCACATTAAAGCCTTTGGGGAGAAAATTCTTAATATCTTTAAAATAGACCAAAGGAAATGCAGCAAAATATTTTCTTCTTTTGATTTTCTGTTGGTGAAATGGGCCCTTTCATTAGCAGATTGAGTACAAACAGCCCCCACAGTCTGCTCCAGTAATTTCCAAAACATAATTTACATAAATTTAACTTTGTAATCTTGTGGTTGTATTACTGCATTAAAATGACAGTGTGACACATGATGCAGTTTCTTATGTTGATATGGCAAGTTGACTGTTTACCAACAGCTGCTCAATTGAAGGTCTCTCTCTCCCTCATCTTCCTTTCCTTTCTCAGTAAGCATCCCAAATTCTGGTCTTTTTTTTTAGAAATGAGAGAAGTATATCCCTTTGCTTTGCAAACAGGAAATTTTGAAATTAGTGAGTGGCTCCAATTAATCTACTTTGTTTATGACTCTGAAAAAACTCACCTTAATGTAGGCAGTTCAATCCAACAAACGTCTGTGCACATATAATGTGTGAGGTCTTGGATTTTAGAGAAGCATGAAGACATTGTAGAAGTCATCTAGCTCAAAAGCTTCCCTTTGTTTTCATTACAATCTAAAATCTTATTTTAGATATCTCAATTGCAATAAACAGAAAATAAATACCACTATTAGACCATAGGCTTCTTGAGGCAGGAATTATGTCTGTTTTCCCACCTCAGTACCTATTATGTACTGAGTTGTGCTCAAGCCACCAGGAATATACAGGATACAATACTCTTTTAAAGTACTTTTTCCTTTTTCTTTCATTTGTCACATTTGAAATTGTGTGTTTAATGTCTATCTGCTTTTCTAGACTGTAAGCTCCATGAGGGCAGGGACCTCGTCTACTTTGTTCACTGTCGTATGTTTCGTGTCTGGGGCTGCGCTCTGTACATAGTAGTTGCTCAATAAATATTTATTGACTAACTTGGACTCTGTTAGGATTGTATCTTCTGCATCTTATGTCTTAGTTGGTTCCTGCTGCTCCCTACCCTACCAGTCAATTACTCTCACAAGGGTGCCAGTGACAAGAGTCAATTTCAGCTTTTGCTACTGCTTACAAGACCATTCTCTTGCAGTTGGCCCTTGTACAAGAGCCCCACAATTTAAGCTAGAGATTCTACTAGATGTTGGAGGGTAAAGCCCTTTGTGGGCTTATGGCTGATTTAGGGAGCAAGAATATGTACCTGATTAGATAAATAATTACACGAGTCAGGAAAAATTAATAACCATAAAAATGTTACAGAATGGCTGGGTGCAGTGGCTCACACCTGTAATCCCAGGACTTTGGGAGGCCGAGGTGGATGGAACACGAGGTCAGGAGATGGAGACCATCCTGGCTAACATGGTGAAACCCCGTATCTACTAAAAGTCCAAAAAAAAAAAATTAGCTGGGCATGGTGGCACGCACCTGTAGTCCCAGCTACTTGGGAGGCTGAGGCAGGAGAATCACTTGAGCCCAGGAGGCGGAGGTTGAAGTAAACTGAGATCGCGCCATTGCACTCCAGCCTGGGTGATGGAGCAAGACTCCATCACAAAAAAAAAAAAAAAAAAAAAAAAAAAAAGCTACAGAGGTTCTGTAACTAGAGTATTTGCTGAGAACCAAGGATGTAGTTGGGAAAACCAAGAGGAAATAGAACCTGGACTATGTCTTAAAAAGTAGAGTTTAAACATGCAGAGAGCAGATAATGAGGTAAAGAAAGACCCCCAGCATCATTTTGAGTAGGACTTGCAGCATGCATTGTGGGAGGGATGAAATCAGACCTTAAGGAGAACATTGAATGCAAGGCTGAGGATGAGGTTTTAACCTGTGCCTGATTAAAAATGATTGACGCCATGAGAAACAGGTGAAGCTCATCCAATGCTGTGTTTCTAATAGAACACAGTGGCAGTAGTGGGATATTTACTCACCATTAATATCCCCTCCTCCCTCTCTAGTTCCTGGATTTACAGTTTCTAATTTCATGGTGTTTTTTCCCCTTTAACAAACAGCCTCAACTTTTCCCCAACTTAAAAACCACCACCCACTCAACCAACCAAATCAGCAAACACCCTGGCACTCCTCATCTCCATTTAACTATGTTCCACCTTCAGTCAAGTTCCTGGAAAAATGGCTCATGTTCTCTGTATTAATTTTCCTACTTTGTATTTATTCCTTCATCTACCATGGTCTAGTTTCTGTCTTAACCACTGAAATATCTCTTGTCAAGGCCACTAAGGAGCTTCTAGCTGTTGATTTAAAGGGACAGTATTCAGTCCTTATTTCACTTGATTTTGTTGTAGTACACAATCCCTTACGTGCCTTCTTTTCTTTCAAAAAGTCTCTCTTGCTCTGGCTGTCAGCACGCCACTCTCTCCTGGTTTTCATTATACAATGCTAACCTCACTCAGGGTTCTTTCTCCACGTGGCTTTTATATATTGCTATTTTCCAGAACTCTCTTCCTGATCCTTTTCCCTTTCTTTATGGTCCATGCAAATGTGGGAGAGTCAGTGGTGAGAGGTCTCAGCTTGTGATAAAAATTTGGGTTCCATCAACATGTAAGGGGTAAGTGAAGGCATGGGATTAGGGGATAATATGTAGACTAAGAACCAACCTAGAGAAATCACATTGATAGAGGAAGAGGAAGAAGAACAGTCTGTGAAGGAGGTGAAAATGGAGCACCCAAGAGAGTTGAGGGAAACCTGGGAGGGACTGGGGAAGTGGAACTTCAGTAAGGAGAGTTTCCAGAAGTAGAGAATGTCACAGACAAATAGAGTCAGGATTGGAAGGATCTGTTAAACTTGGGAAAAGCTCACTAGTGCGGGCAGTGTCCTTGTGGTAGAGACAGAAATTAGGTGTTCACGAGCATCTTAGTTTGTTTTGTGTTGCTGTTTTGTGCTGAATATCTGATACTGAGTAATTTACAAAGAAAAGAGGTTTATTTGGCTCACAATACTGGTGGTTGGAAAGTCCAGGATTGGGCAGCTGCATCTGGTGAAGGCCTTAGATTGTTTCCACTCATGGCAGAAAGAGAAAGGAGAGCTGACATGTGCAAAGAGATCACAGGGCAAGAAAAGGAGCAAGAGAGTGAATCCAAGGAAGCTAGACTCTTTTAACAACATGCTCTCTCAGAAACTAATCTATTCCCACTAGAACCAGAGGGAGAATTCACTCACCCTGGTGGGATAGCATTAATCTATTCATGAGGGATCCGCTTCCATGACCCAAACATCTCTTACTAGACCTCACCTTTCAACACTGCCGCATTGGGGATCAAATTTCAACATGGGTTTTTGTGGAGACAAAGCAAATTATAGCAATGGACTCAAGTGTGAATGGGGGCTGGTGGTGAGAAAGTGGAAACAGCTAGCATACACTTCCCTTTCTAGAATTGTGGCTGTGATGAAACAGAGGAATCAGGTGCTAGGAAAAGGAGAATATTATCGTTAAGATGGGAGAGACTTGGCTTTATCAAGTACTTTGGGCCAAGCTAAAGGTAAAAAGCTATTAATTTTATATATCATCAAGTTTACAACTAGTCAATAGAAACAGACAGGAAAGCAGAGTATGTAAGATTCCAAACTTTCTTGTCTTGTGGGTTCATTTCTGTTCTTTAAGTTTAATATGTATCTCATGTTTCATTTCATCTCTTCACAGCAGTATATCATAATTTAATTTTTTCCCTTGATGTACGTATAAATGCAGATGCTAAAGCATATTTATGCACACAGGGTCATCTCTAGATACATGCACTAAATATTAATATTCCAATATCCTCTTTCTAGCTCATAAGCCAAGCAGAAATGCATTTTTCATAGCAATGAATTTTTTTTTTCTCAAGCACAAGGCTATTTGAATGGGCTCTCTTTGCTCAGAGGAAGCAAGTACGGTTATTATTACATTTTCTTCAGAAGAAAGATTATTTAGAAAATATGCTTAGTACAGGAGCTAAGTTCTATATTTAATTTTTGATCTATTCAGAGACATAATGCCCAAATCCAACAGATTGAGATGTAACACATATTAATTGAACCCCGATATTGGTGGCTTTAGTTTGCCACTATATCTTCTTGCATCTCACAACAGCTTTCTGGGTTTCCTCTGGGACATCACCCTTCTGTCCTTCAATATGTGTAGATTGATTGAGGATGACTTTATCTTTGGCTCCAAAGAAAGTCTTATGACCCAAAACAGGATAATCAGAGCACTTAATTTCCTTGTCCACACCTACTGGTTCAGAGGTAATCCTGTGATCCAATCTAGGCCAAGGAAGGCTCATTTAGGGATTTGGGTAGAATTATATCGAAGAGCTCTGTAACTGTGAAGACTTGAGTCTGGAGCTGTAAAACTCCATTTTGTTCTGTCAAGAAAAGCACCAGCTGAGGATGAGGTTAACACGAATGAGAGCACAACTGAGCGACAGAGAGAGCTGGCATCCTGGTGACCTCAGCTGAGTTTTTGTCATTAGACATATCTAAAGCACTGGCCCTGCATTTTTTTTTTTCTTCACAAGCCAGTAAATACCCTTTTGAGATACATTTCTTCTCCCTGCAGTTTCAGGAGCCCTGACAAAAACACCCACTTGGTACCACATTCTCATGTGTGACCTTATGCAATCCCAATCCCTCTGGAAAAGGATTATTAACCTCCTTTTACAGATAAAGGTCACAAAACTGCTAAGTGACAGAGTCAGGAATGGAAACTATTAAGTCTTGCTTGATCCATTACACCATAACTTCTTCCCATGACATGCCTCTTTAAGGTTTTTTAGGAGGAATTTTCAGTGCTATTGCCTTACTGAACCCTACTGAACTTACTATTAAGGTAATGGTGAGCACTTTCTCTAATTTAACACTTAACTCTGCCCTTGGTTCTAAATTTAGTTTATTTACACTCCCTATGTCCTTTATTTCTTCTTCCTTTCCATGTATTAGTAACGTTTTTCTAGACCCCTGTTAAAGTTAATAGACTCAAGAGACAATTATTAATATGATATCCTCTTCTCAACTTAAAACACTATTCCTCAGCCTGCCACTGTGTATTGATTTGACTCTAATATATCTGATTTGCAGGCAAAGTAGAGGATGACTCTTAGCACCTAGCACAGTGTCTAGCACATAATAGACACTCAAAAGGCATTTGTTGAATAATTGCTTGAGTGCCCATTGTGTGCACCAAAACAATTTACCTGTTGCCCTCAGGAATGAGTCTTTTGCCATTTGGCCTGAACCATTTCTCTCCTTTACCTGGCCCGTTATTCATATTCATATTTAGTTTTTCTTTTGGGTGTCAAACAATGGGAGTGACAATGTGTAAATATGTCCATGCAAGTTAGTTTCAGAGAACCTGGGTGCAAGAGTCCTGTTTTCTTTTTTTTTTTTTTTTTGTAGTTTTTAAAAACATTATTATGGGTACATAGTAGTGTATACATTTATAGGGTACATGAGATATTTTGCTACAGATATACAATGCATAATAATCACACCGGGGTAAGTATAGTAAGGGATTCTAGTTGTAATATTAAGCCCAAACTATTTCTGCCTCAGTAAGAGTGACAGACAATTTCTCATTTTTTTTTCAAAAAATTGAAAATCCTATAGACATGTCTTTCCTTTTTGAAAAGGAAAAAATAGGGGTAGTCAGCTTATATTATTTATATTGTAATATCCTGATTCATTTTTCAGAGCAATAAAGTTATATTTGATGAACAGTTTTCATTAAGTTTTTTTTTAAAAAAGAAGTAGTGGATGCTATCCTGTTTTCTTATTTAGTATCTATTTGACTTTAACCAAGTCATTCACTTTTCTGAGGTTTTTCTTCAAATATGTTGTTTTGGGGATTAAAAGCAAAATAGGTATGAAAACTTTATTCAAATATTATTTATTATGGGCACATTGTACACACAGTAAGAAGGCAAGGGAGAAAGAGGTAGGATGTACTTTATCCCGGCAACAAATCAAACTGAATCAGCACATGAGAATAGCTGGGAAGTACAAAGGAGGAACACGAGAAAGAAAAGTTTTGGTTCAATCCCTTGGCACTTTCTCAGTGCCTTCATCTTGTTTTAGTTTTCTCTATAACACTCATCTCATTCTAACATACTGAATTTGTATATATATTATATTAATGGTCTGTTTTGCCTATCTGAATTAAAGCTCCATGGGGGCAGGGATTAATTGAATGTCTGGCACTAAAAGCCATTTGTCAAATGAGTGGAAAATTAGATGGGACAAAATCAGATTCAGGAGCCTGCAAAGTTGGTAGGAGAGCAAAAAATCTATAGCATGAGGATTACTGAGGAAATACCTTTAAGAATATCCAGGATCTGGAGTGGGGAACAACCTTCATATACTTATTCTCCAAATAAACATTTTTTCTCTTCAAAAATCTTATTATAAAAGCCACATTAAATAACCTTTACAATTTTAACATTCCTCCCAAGTAACGAGGTGTTCCCAGAACAAAATTGTGGTGATATAATCACCGTAATATTCTGAGTGTTAGAACACCACAAATCCTGTGCTCCTTCTAGTGGGCTCAGTACTCCCTTTACATTGACACCCCTGATGTGTCATCTCATTGTGTCCTTTTTCTTTAAGAAAAAGACAACAACTGCAACAACAACAAAAATCCCCATAATCCCTAATAGGGTATAAGCTTAGCAGTTTAAGTACCCTTTTGCTATCAAGTAAACAAATACTTCAAGTACATAACAGATGCTTAGGTCCACCTTGGGAGAAATGCATCATTATGGGCTCAGTCAGATCCTGAGAGCTCTTCTCATCACACTTGCTCATCTGTTCATGTGGTGCACACCTGTACAAATTTGGCATGGGCTTGGGTACAGTGTGGGAGAGTCCAGGTTCCATGCAAACCTCCCATCCTTATTTAGTTCTTCTAGTGTTGCAGACTGTTTTTCTCTCCACCCATAAAAAGAAAGGATTCTTAGCATATCTAGAAGCTGCCTTTGCCCTTTAGTGAAAGAATTAAATACAGATGCCCAAAAATCAACCTGAATCAAAGAGCACAGATCTAATTTGCAACTATTTTAAAGTAGGCAGGCAAAAAGACAGATAAAGGTCTTTAGAGTTTTGTGTCAAAAAATAACAGAGATTTCACAGAGTGTAATCTGAGGGACAGGATTCTTATGTATATATTATATGAGTCTCTTTTTGGGAGAATTAAGATGTTTTGGCTTGCATTTGATTACTCACAAAAGTTCAACACAATATTCCTATATATTTTAACAAGTATTTGATAGCCAAGTGCACAGAAGGAGGAAGGAAAATACAAAAGCTAAAGAGTATTTCAAGGCTAAAGATTATTTCTTAACTTTTCAAAATGTTTAGTAGAAGGTTAATTAGCATAGAAAATACTGAAAGACGGGTTTTCATTCTTGTTTTCTAGTGTATATATTAGATTCTATTATAATATGTGAGATTGTAAATATTGTGCTTTATTTGCACATAAAATGGGAAACTCAAAGCTATGTATGATTGGATTTCACTTTTGACTTTCACTATAAGAGTAAGGAATGTGAGAGTCCCCAGAGCTGAGCTCCCTTCCCTTTGTGGAAAGAAAAGCAGAATTGTCCAGTGAATGGTCCTGAAGGTATACCCCACGTTGCTCCCTTCTGTGCAGTAAAGGTTTGACTCAGCAGGACTGGGATGTCCAAACCCTGCACATTTCAAAAAAGGCTCTGCCCTTGTCCAGCTCTTGGGAGATAAACTCTAAGCCCTTGAAATATCCTGCTTGACATGAATATCTTTGTTCACCTGTGGCCTTGAACCATACCAGATGGTTTATATTCACAATGTGATTTATGATGGGGGCCTTGGGCTGTACAGTATCAGTTTAACCTCTAGAGGTGCTGGAGGTTGAGTAACTAAGCTCAGCCACACTGGTGCTCCATGTCTACATGACTGACCCCCAGTAAAACTCTGACACTAAGTCTTGATGAGCTTCTCTGCGTGGCAATACTCTGTATACACATTGTCACACATTATTACTGGGAGAATTAAGTGCTATCCATACAACTCCACTGGGAGAGGACCACTGGAAGCTTGTGCCTGGTCTCCCCTGGACTCTGCCCTATAATCTGTATCCTTTTGCTGTAATCAACTGTAACAGTGAGGATAATAGCTTTTCTGAATTCTGTGAGTCCTTCTAGCAATTCCTTGAACCTGAGGGTGGTCTTCAGGACACTCAGCAACACCTTTCTTTCAGTGGAAAGGGCTTCCCTTGCATTCATCTTTGCAGATTGTCTTCTGAGCAATTCCTATAAAAAGCTGGCTAGTACCTACATGCAGACTATTTGGAAACCAAATTTGGTCTGTTGTTTTGTCCTGCTTACAGGGCCGTTCTCATGTTAATACCTTTAAAAAAGAGAACAGGAGCCTAATGTTCCTTCTTTAGAACACAGCCTCACAGCAAATATAACTGAGTCACAGCCCAAGCATGCCTCTGCTGATGCTAAAAGATTGGGAGAGGATCATTGACTTTTATTCTTTTGTGATGTCTGGCTAGGATACTTTTTGCAGCGTCTTGAAGATGGCAGCTTTCAAAAAGTCATTAATCTGCCACCTGCAGGAGAAACATGTGACACTTTCTGTGACCTGTGTGTCACGTTTCTGTAGGGGGGTGTCAATCATTATTGGACTTACTAAAATTATCCTCAAAACAAATGTTGATTTTCTTCATTATTGTCTCCACAAACTTGCATTAGACTTAGAGTCTGATGCCAAGGAATTTAATATATCTGTCTTCTCTCTTTTGGGCAGGAGGACAGATACATTGAAAACAAACAACAAGGCTGACAAAACATCACAGGAGACACTACTGCACAACCAGTGATGAGGACTGAATTCTCCATTGTCTGCCCCCTACATTTTGGCTGATGGCAACTCTAGTTCTGAGGTGTAGTGGGCTCGTAGGATAATAGGTAGTCCTATCTGGCTGGAGTAAGGAGGAGAAGCTTGGAGAGGTAAGGGACAAGCCCAGGAAGGCTGTAAAGGCCGAGCTAATGAGTGTGATCTTCAAAGGTTAGTCCAGGGAGCTATGGATGGTCTCAGGATTTTGCCCTCCATCCACTCTTGGTTCCAGTTGCAAACACCTGCTGATCATCATAATGAACCATCTCCTTTGCCAGTCCTTCTTCTGCATTGCTTTCTCTCTCTCATTCAATCTACATCTCTCTGCTCTCTCAAACCTAACTCAATTTTAGTCCTGTTCAGGAATATGACTGGCCTGCCTTGACTTGGTTACCCCAAAGACTCCTTAGTAATTTTGCACCCTGTCCCCCATAGACTTAACCTAAATTTCTATAGTAGGGACATTACTGAAGGTGGTTCGTGGAGGCAATGTTTGGTACACTGACCCTCTGCTTTTCCATACACTTTCAATATGAAATTGTCCATGTCTTTCTCTGGAACACTTTTTAGCATACAAATCCAATAAAATCACATTTACCAAATCAGTCACCTTTTGGAAATCATATCTAAAAGTTATTTGAGTCAAGTTTTTCCTGATGAAATAATAATGCAAAAATAAGTCTTAATATAAATGCAAAAGAACTAAGGTTATTTTTTAAATTATAGTAACTTAAAGGTTTAAGGGAAAAATTATAGCAGTAGCTTATCTGAACAGCATTTGTTGATATAAAAAAAATACCAAATGGTTTAAGAAACCTGTAGGTGAAATGCATGTTTCTCTGGATACACAGATCTTTTCCCTCCCCCACCATGCTAGAATTTTGTAGGCACAACTGGTTTTTATAAAATGAACAAGGTGGTGCGGGCTGAGGGAAGGGGCAGCATTAAAGTAAAAGCAAACACAAGAATTCGAAACCTTCAGTAAATGAACAATTTGTAACCCCCTGTGTTGCCATATTTTCTTCTCTGCTTCGTCCTCATATTTTCACACAGCTAATAAGGGGAAGAGCTGGGACTCCAGCAGTTCTAGCTCCATATTCATATCTCTTTGCAATTTACTACAACTGCTGTCAACAGTGTTCGTTAATCTTTGAACATTTTCTTCTTTATGACTACTAGACCTCACTACTATCACAGTTATCTCTAAACACAGATGTCAAAAACAGAACCATTCTTTCTCTTTGCCTTCAAACTTGCTTCTCTTTTATGGCCTGGTTACTAGCATTGTCTTCAACTCAGACACTCAACATATCTACTTTGGGTCATATTTGATTCTTCTTTCTTCCCCACTATGATAAATTCATTCTTATGGATTCTGCTGTCATGATGCCTCTCAGTTTCTCCTCTTCTTTTCTTTCCTGCTTCAGTCATGTTGGTTCAGGTTTTCGTTTCTTCTTACTTACACAACTGCAACAGTTCCTAGCTGCTCTCTCAGCTTCCAGTATTTCACTTCCTTCCAATCTATTCTTTAAAACAGAGAAACTGTATTTCTGTTCCTCTTATACCTGGAGTATCCTTTCCCTGTCTGTACCATGTAAAAATTTATTCATCCTATGAAGACAGCCCAACATATCCTTTCTTCTTTCTCCATTGTGGTACAGTTATTGCATCAATGACCCCAATTAAATGGACTCTTTGTGTCTATGTCCTATTGTATAAATCCATTTTCATGCTGCTATTAAGAAATATCTGAGACTGGGTAATTTATAAAGAAAAGAGGCTTAACTGACTCACAGTTCTGCATGGCTGGGGAGGTCCCAGAAAACTTACAATCATGGCAGAAGGCACTTCTTCACAGGGTGGCAGGAGAGAGAATGATTGTAAGCAGGGGAAATGCCAGATGCCTATAAAACCATGAGATCTCATGAGACTCACTCACTATTATGAGAACAGCATGGGAGAAACTGCCCTTGTGATCCAGTTACCTCCACCTGGTCCCACCCTCAATACATGGGGGTTATGGGGATTATGATTCAAGATGAGATTTTGGGTGGGGACACAGCACAACCATATCATTCTGCCCCTGGCTTCTCCCAGATCTCATATCCTCATATATCAAAACACAATCATGCCTTTCCAATAGTCCTCCAAAGCCTTAACTCATTTCAGTATTAACCAAAAAGTCCAAGTCCAAAGTCTCATCGGAGACAAGGCAAGTTTCTTCTGCCTATGAGCCTGTAAAATCAAAAGCAAGTTAGTTACTTCCTAGACACATGAGGGTACAGGCATTGAGTAAATACACCCATTCCAAATTGGAGAAATTGGCCAAAACAAAGGGGCTACAGGACCCATGCAAGTCCAAAATTCAATAAGGCAGCCATTAAACCTTAAAGTTCCAAAATGATGTCCTTTGAGTCCATGTCTCACATCCAGGTCACGCTGATGCAAGATGTGGTCTCCCATGGCCTTTGGCACCTATGTACTGTTACTTGATGGCACCTTCAGAAATTGACATCAAGCTTAGTCTTTGATTTGCTTTGACTAATGGGATAGTAACAAAATTGAAGCAAGCAGAGGCCTGAAAAAAAAAAAAAAAAAGCACATGTCAATTTCTGTTTCCATCCCCCCCTCCCTTCTTGATCCTCTGAATTTTCTCTGAGGACACATCTGGGGGAATTCTGCTGGAAAATGAGACACAGAACAGCTCAGTCCAGGTGACGTATGTAGCCAAAGCCATTCTGGGCTGGCCATTCACCACCTGACTGCATATATAATTGAGCCAAGCTGTAATTAGCAGAATCATTCAGCTGACCCTTAGACCCGTGAGAAATAGTAAGTGGTTGATGCTTTGAGTCCAAGTTTGGGGGTGCTATCTTATGCAGCAATGGCTGATACATCCACTATGCTTCTTTCTGAATTATTCCCAAGGCATTTCACATATACTATTATTGTAACATTTATCGTGTTCTATTCTCCTGTAATACTAAATTTCTTTAAGTCGGGTGCTAAATTTTTATATCCCCAGTATTTAGCACATTCCCTAGAGCACATAGGCATAGAGTAAGTACTTAAAACATGTTTACTTAACAAGTTAAATGTACACCAACTCATCCCTCTCCAATCTATTACAAAGCAATTGAGTAAAAAAAAAAAATTTTTTTTCCCCATTTTATTCTATTTTTTTTTTTCCGTTTTATTCCTTCGGGTTCAGCAAGACTGTTTTGTCAAGACTATGTGTTTAACTGTGAAATAAACATCTACAAATGTTCAAAAATTAGTGTTTGTTTATAAATGTTTCTTTCTTTCAAACCTTATATTTGAAGATTAAGTACTTTTGTAAGCTGAAGCTCCAGTTCATGGTTTACAACAGTCCAAGGGAAGGACGTGTATTGGATCTTGGATTTGGAGACAATGTCTTTGTTCCAGGATAGAGACAGTATAGGGATTTAGAGAAAGGAAGGAGGGAGCTGAGAGATCGTTGAGCAATTATTGCAAAGTCTGCCTTCCCCTTCACTGTAGACAATGGTAAAATCTATATGGCAATTTAATGGAATCATCTTTTTCCTCTTGGAAAACCCAAATCAAGTTTCACAGAGAAAACTATACAGGCAACACCGGCTGTTGTTTCCATGCAGAGAAGTGAAAATGACTAGATAGTTTTGATTATTTTTGCAGAAATATGTGCATATATTTGACAGTCTCTAAATCTTCCCTAAAACACTCTTTATGTAGCACAATGAATTTGTTTTTCTTATTTATAAAATATTTAAGTTATGCCTATACCTCAAATACAGACATACCTTGTTTTGTTTTTTGAGACGGAGTCTCGCTCTGTTGCCCAGGCTGGAGTGCAGTGGCATGATCTCGGCTCACTGGAAGCTCCGCCTCCCGGGTTCACGCCATTCTCTGGCCTCAGCCTCCCGAGTAGCTGGGACTACAGGCACCCGCCACCACGCCTGGCTAATTTTTTGTATTTTTAGTAGAGATGGGGTTTCACCGTGTTAGCCAGGATGGTCTCGATCTCCTGACCTCGTGCTCTGCCCACCTCAGCCTCCCAAAGTGCTGGGATTACAGGTGTGAGCCACTGCACCCGGCCCAGATATACCTTGTTTTATCATACTGCTTTCTCGCACTTTGCAGATATTGCATGTTTTACAAATTGAAGGTTTGTGGCAACAACTGTGTCAAACAAGTCTGTCAGCATCATTTTCCCAACAGCGTGTGCTCACTTTGTGTTTCTGTGTCATATTTTGGTAATTCTTGTAACATTACAAACTTTACTATTAATATTATCTGTTATAGTCATCTGGGATCAGTGATTTTTGATTATTATTGTAATTGTTTTGGGGTACCATGAACTGTGCTCATATGAGATGGTGAACTTAATTGTTAAATGTGTGTTTTCTGACTGCTCCACCAATCGGCTATTCCTCTATCTCACTCTCTCTCCTTGGGCCTTCCTAGTCCCTGAGACACAACAATATTGAAATTAGTCTAATTAATAACCCTCCAATGGCCTCTAAGTGTTCAAGTGAAAGAAAGAGTCACATATCTCTTATTGGAAATCGAAAGCTAGAAATGGTTAAACTTAGTAAGGAAGGCATATCGGAAGCTGAGACAGGCTGAAAGCTAGGCCTCTTGTGCCAAACAGTTGGCTATGTTGTGAAAGCACAAGAAAAGTTCTTGAAGGAAATGAAAAGTGCTTCTCTAGTGAACACATGAATGATAAGAAAGCAAATCAGCCTTATTGCTGATATGGAGAAAGTTATATTGGTCTGGATAGAAGATCAAACCAACCACAACTTTCCTTTAAACCAAAGCCTAATCCAGAGCAATACCTTAACTCTCTTCAATTCTGTGAAGTCTGCGAGAGGTGAGGAAGCTTCAGATGAAAAGTCTGAAGCTAGCAGAGGTTGGTTCATGAGGTTTAAGGAAAGAAGCCGTTTTCATAATAAAAAAGTGCAAGTTGGCCAGGTGTGGTGGCTCATGCCTGTAATCCCAGCACTTTGGGAGGCCAAGGCAGGAGGACTACATGAGGTCAGGAGTTCGAAACCAGCCTGGCCAACATGGCAAAACCCTGTCTCTACTAAAAACACAAAAATTAGCCAGGCATGATGGTGCACACATGTGATCCCAGCTACTCAGGAGGCTGAGGCAGGAGAATCGCTTGAACCCTGGAGCCAAGATCATGCAACTGCACTCTAGTGCAATTGAAACAACATTCTAGTTGAAAACAACATTAATATCCTTGTACATTTCCATCAGAGACCTTGGGTGACCATGTATATTGTCAGTGAGCGGTAATATTTTGAAAGGAATCTTTTTTTCTGAGCAGTAGTAGGTCTCAATAGTGGGTCCTGATAACCATAATGTAAACAGATGTGCTGTTATCCAGGCCTTGTTTTTTTGCAGTGAGCCGAGATCAGGCAACTGCACTCCAGCCTGGGCAACAGAGTGAGACTCCATCTAAAAAAAGAAGTGCAAGATGAAGCAGCAGCAAGTTCTTGCATAGAAGCTGCGGCAGGTTATACAAAAGATCTGCCTAAGATCAATGATGAAAATGGTTACACTAAATAACAGATTTTCAATGTAGATGAAACAGCCTTGAAGTGGAAGAAGATGCCAAGTAGGACTTTCATAGCTAGAGAGGAAAAGTCAATTTCTGGCTTCAAAGGACACACTGGGTCTCTAGTTAGGGACTAATGCCAGTGGTGACTAAGTTGAAGCCAATGCTCATTTACCATTCCGCACATCCTAAGGCTTTTAAGAATTATGCTAAATCTACTCTGTCTGTGCTATATTAATGGAAGAACAAAGCCTGGATGACAGCACATCTGTTTACATCGTGGTTAACAGGTCCCACTATTGAGATCTCCTACGGCTCAGAAAAAAGATCCCTTTCAAAATATTACTGCTCACTGACAATATACATGGTCACCCAAGGTCTTTGATGGAAATGTACAAGGAGATTCATGTTGTTTTCATGCCTGCCAATACAACATGCATTCTGCAGCCCATGGATCAAGGAGTAATTTAGACTTTCAAATCTTATTATTTAAGAAATACATTTTGTAAGGTGATAGCTGCCATAGATAGTCTTCTGATGGATTTGGGCAAAATCAGTTGAAAACCTTTTAGAAAGGACTTGCCATTCTAGATGCCATTAATGGGATTCATGGGAGGAGGTCAAAATATTAACATTTACAAGAGTCTGGAAGGAGTTGATTCCAGCCTTCATGGATGAATTTGAAGGGTTCAAGACTTCAGTGGAGGAAGGAAATGGAGATGTGGTGAAAACAGCAACAGAACCAGAATTAGAAGTGGCACCTGAGTATGTGACTGAATTGCTGCAATCTCATGATAAAACTTGAATGGGTGAAGAGTTGCTCCTTATGGATGAACAAGGAAGTGATTTCTTGAGAGGGAATCTACTCCTGGTAAAGATGCTGTGAATACTTTTGAAATTACAACAAAGGATTTAGAATATGACATAAACTTAGTTGATAAAGCAGCAACAGGGTTTGAGAGGATTGACTCCAAATTTGAAAGAAGTTCTACTGAGGGTAAAGTGCTATAAAACAGTATTGCATGCTACAGAGACATCTTTCTTGAAAGAACGAGTCAATCATTGTGGCAAACTTTATTGTGGTCTTATTTTAAGAAATCGTCATAGCCACCCCAGCTTTCAGCAGCCACCACCCTGATCAGTCAGAAGCCATCAACACTCGGGCAAGACCCTCCACCAGCAAGAAGTTTATGACTTGCCGAAGGCTCAGATGATCATTAGCATTTTATAACAATGAAATATTTTCAATTTATGTACACTTTTTTTAGACATAATGCTATTACACACTTAATAGACTGCAACATAGTGTAAACATAAGTTTTATGTGCACTAGGAAACCAGAAATTCCATGTGACATGCTTTATTATGATATTTGCTTTCTTGTGGTTGTCTGGAACCAAACCTGCAGTATTTCTAAGGTATGCCTGTACCAGATATTGATTTATAGCCTGCCTGGTAGAATACTGTGTGCGCAGGAGATATTTAGTAAATTCACTTACCATTTCTCAGCCAACCCCGCTTCTGCTCCTTTGAGTTTTCTGAAACATTAGACATTCCCATTTCCAATCTCCTTAGTACCAGAATTGGCACAATATGTGCTACGTGTCGACACTTGGACACTAACTAATGGCATCATCTAGAGAGGAACAAGTATGTTCATGAACTTCATTTCTTTTCAGCCTCCTATTGCCAAAGCTAATTGCTTGTTTAAGTAAATGTGTCTGACTTGATTTCCAATTGAAGATGTTTTTGGATACTTTGAGTATTGAATTTCACATGCAGTGACCAAAGGAAATTTGGGTTAATGTCCTGAAAACTTTTAATCAATACAAAATACTTTCCTTGCAGAAAAAATTTGGCCTTGGTAATGGACAGATGAAAATCAGGGGTCAAAAACTCAAAGCCCACAGGAGCCAGACAGGTAATAGAACTGAGTCAAATGGGTGGAGATAGTGGTGCATGGGGGTTGGCCTCTGGGCCAGCCCCTCCTCCTCTGACTGTTGTAATGTGGGAAGGCAGGTGCAGGATGGCCAGATCATGAAAGTTTTAAAGAAAATCTGGAAATTCAGACTGTATTTCAATGTGAAATTTGAGTTTAATTGTCAACTAATTCAAGAATATGGATTTTTCATGTGGCTATCAGTTTGCTTCCTCTAAGCTAAACAAAAGCAGTTTATGGATCTCCTTATTGTTCCTTCCTCACTATAGGAGTAAACCATTATTTTGTTTTGACCTCTGACAGCTACATCACAGGGTATAATGAGACATTACACCTACACATACTTCAGGTGTCCTGGGGGACACCTGAAGCTAAATTCCAAGCAAGCATTATCTATTAAGTAGAATGTATAATAATTTGAATGTTTTTGAATATACTTATTTCTTATAAAAGTATTGCTTCCTATAAAAATTCTACAAATTATGTTGGAAATGTCTGGGAAAATGCCACCTTTTGTGAGTCGGGGGACTTTCTTGTGACACAGGTACTCCTCTGACTCAGTGGGACCTTCCTCGCATAGACGGCTGAGGTCCAGGTAAAACTATGCCACAGCTCAGTGACATAAAGGGCCTTGGGGAGCTGTAGCAAGGAAAAGCTGGAGGACTCACATCTTACCCCAAAGAAAATCTCTACCCACATCCTTTGTAATACACTGTGTTTCTAGATTGTAACATTGTAACATTAAAGGTGAACTTTGGGGTATAAATAAAGACAATGCTGTCTTTACCTGCTTCAAACTGATATAATTGATCTGTTGGTACATAATAACCATGACCCTGTGTCCCAGAGAGCCTTCTGGTTGCACTGGCCATGGTGATCCCTCCCCTGGACTCCTGAGACCTGTTCCAAGATCCAGGCACTAAAGGGTTAATGCCTGTCTCCCACTGCTAAGGGCAGAGTCCATTCACATTTGCCAGTGTGCAAGATATACCAGTTTTCATTATCTTGTGGTCTAATTATTATTATGGAACACTCCTACCAGAATGCCAGCACTCCACAAAAGAATGTGGTTCATGTATTAGAGGGTTTTATTCTTACTGCTTTCCTTTTGATGGTAATGGGCTAGAGGGAAGGCTGAGATGAGTGGGAACAAACAGCTCAAGGAACATATTTATTGTAATAAAAAGCCAGAAGTTTTTTGTTCCAGTCCCAATATATAGTAGATGCCTGTTTCAATCCATTTTGTGTTGTTTTAACAGAATACCCGAGACTGGGCAATTTATAAAGAAAAGAAGTTTATTTAGTTCATGGTTTTACGGGCTGGGAAAGTCAAGAGACATAGCACCAGCATCTGCTCAGCTTCTGGTGAAGACTTTGAGTTGCATCAAAGCATGGTGGAAAGTCAGAGGGTGAAGAGAGAACCAAACGGGAGGAGTAGCCTCACTTTGTAGCAACTCTCTCTCCTTCCTGTGAGAACTCACTCAGTACTGCAAAAACAGCACCAAGCCATTCATGACCCATGACCTCATGACCCAAACACCTCCCACCGGGCCTCATCTCCCAATGCTGCCACACTGGGGATCAAATTTCAACATGAGTTTTGGTGGGGACAAACCATATCCAAATCATAGCAATGCCCTTATAGCATATTCCATGGATTTCATCTTATATATTCTATTATTAGAAAATTTTGACCAGCTAATTTTAAAGAACAGATTTTTTTCCCCTGCTAATATACAGGCTCCACAAACATACCCGGTGGTAGCTGTAAAACAATTGGAGGATTTCCTGTGTTTAGTGACCTCAGAGTCACACTTCAAGCCGTGCAGTGGTCTCTTGCTAGTACGATAAAACATATACGAGTCGTGGCTGGCTGAAGTGTCAGAAGCAGGTATTTTAGTGTTTTAATAATCTGGCTCCGTTAATGTTGGTGGTTGCTGTACATGTTTCTATTTTTTCTCCAGTTGTAACCATCAAGAAAGGAGTTAACCAGATTTCTGCAGATGCTTTTGTAAAAAGTGTCATTTGCAAAATCAAATGTTCAAGAAAGGGATCACACTTCCACACTTCCACATGTGGTCACATGCTTTCCTGTAAATGACCACCAGAGAGCCTGGGCAGAGAGCAGGGATGAAGCAGGAAGTCAGGGAGAAAGTAATGAGGACACAGAGTTCAGATTTCACAAACAAGCCTTTTCTCTAATTGCTCCCTCCTGTCGCAGGCTTCACCACAGCAGCGGCAGACTCTGACCTTAGCCGCCGTGGTCTACCTGGGTAAAAAGAAGCCACGTGTCAGCAGAGAAGGGAATAGATCAACACGAACACAGAGAACAGACCTCACTCTGATAAACATCAAAATCACAAATTATAGTTTGGAGACTGTTAGTGGCTGAATTGTGTACCCCTCCAAAAGATATATTGAAGTCCTAATCCCCAGTACCTGAGCAGGTGACCTTATTTGGAAATAGGGTCATTGTAGATATGATTAGTAAAGTGAAGTTGAGGTCATGCTGGAGCAGAGTGGGTTCTTGGTCCAACATGACTGGTGTTTTTTTTTTTTTTTTTTGAGACAGAGTCTCACTCTGTCACTCAGGTTGGAGTGCAGTGGCTCAATCTCAGCTCACTGCATCCTCCATCTCCCGGGTTCAAGTGATTCTCCTGCCTCAGCTTCCCGAGTAGCTGGGACTAGAGGCATGTGCCACCATGCCTGGCTAATTTTTTGTATGTTTTAGTAGAGACGGGGTTTCACCATGTTAGCCAGGATGGTCTCAGTCTCCTAACCTCATGATCTGCCCTCCTTGGCCTCCCAAAGTGCTGGGATTACAGGCATGAGCCACCGCGCCCGGCCATGACTGGTGTTTTTATAAGAAGAGTAGAAAAGACATAGACACAGAAGGAAGAAGGCCATTTATGGTGGAGGCAGTGATCAAAATGGTGCATCTATTAGCCAAGAAATGGCAAGGATTGGAGCAGCCCACAACAGGCTTAGAGGAGCCCATGAAGGATTCTCTCCTATAGTTTTCAGAAGGATAATGGCTTGGATGGCACCTTGAATTTGGATTTTGATTTTGGATTTCTAGACACCAGAATTGTAAGTTTGTGGTACTTTGTTATGGCAATTCTAGGACATTACTACAGAGACTATGTTACAGCCGATGTGCATAAGACACAATTTCAGATGTAAGGATTTGTTAAATCTTAGAGTGCTGCAGATGTCTGACTTAGAGAATAAAATCTGTTGGCTCACTGTGATGTCAGTGTTTTCCTACTTGTAGAACTTGCAGTTCTCTAGGGGCATGAGAGCTCAGAGACTGAGACCATGAACTTTTAGGGTCATACTTGGTCTCCATCAGCGAGGGCTGTGTGATCTTGGGAACGCTACTTAATCTCTTTACTTCTCAGGTTTCTCATCTGTAAAATGGAGATAGTAATAGTATCTACCTTGCAGATTGGTCACGAGGATTGAATGGGGTAAGGCATTAATTCATATTCATTCAACAATTACTTATTGAGTCATGGTATATTCTGCACTTATAGCCAAATAGGGAAAAATAAACAAGAAAAAAGAAAATTACAAACTCTGGCAAAAACTCAGAAAGAGACAAACAGGGTCTTGGAATAGTCTTAATGGAGGGACCCACTTTAGATAAAGACTACTTTTATCAAGAGGTGAAATTTTTGATCTAACACCAAAAGGATGAACTGGTGGTAGCCAGATGAAGAGTTGAGAAAGAGATCACAGACAGAGGGAGCAGCCTGTGCAAAGGCCCTGGGGTAGAGAGAACATGGCATGTTCAAAAAGTGTATTTTGGTAAGGGGTAGATGGCTGTATTGCTGCCATAACTGCCTCAAACTTAGTTACCTAAAACAGCACCCATTTATTATTTCACAGTTTTTGTGAGTCAGAAGCCTGGGCACTGCTTGATTCTCTGCTTGGGGTCTCCCAAGGCTGAAATCAAGATGTTGACCAGGCTGCAGTTTCTACCTGAGGCTGGGTCTTCTCAGTGGTCAATGACAGAATTCATTTCTTTTTCATACTATCCCTGGGGCACCCTCCATCTTCAAGCTAGCCACAGCAAGTTAAGTCCTCAGGTTTTGAATTGCTCTGATTGCCCTACCTGCCTCTGCTTTTGAGGGCTCATGTGGTTATATTGGGCCCACATAGGCAATCGAGGATTATCTCCCTATTTTAATGTCAATTAGCCCTTTTTAAACCTACTTGCTGTGACATATTCATGGGTGGGAGAGCTCCTCAGATTGGGGATTGAGGCATGGAATCTTCTTGATAGCCGTAATTCAGCCAACCACATGTTATGATGATTGTGGAGATGATTCTGATGATATAGAGCTTTATGGTTCATGGTTAATTTTAGAATTTAATGGCAATAATTATAGCAATTAATATTATCATGTAACTACCATGTATAATATCTATTTAGTAGCACTAAGCACTCTGCCGACATTATAAACATAATCTTATTTTGTCCTCCTAATAGCCCTTTTAGAGAAGTACTACTATACTCCATTTATAGTTGAGGAAACTGAGGCCCAAGAGTTCAAGTGACTTACCCAAGAGCACACATCTCCTTGGCAAATCCATATTGAAACTCAGATCTTTCTGGTTCCAAATTCCATGAGCATTTTTATTTAAAATCTCCCTTATTTAGATATGCTTTCAAGATATATATTTTAGAGGTTTCAATAGGGTCTTTTCTGTTTTTATGGGCAAAAGCATAATTGCATACAAATAATGTTTTTCTGTTTGACCCTTAACCGTGCTTAGGGGAAGCTTTGTAATTCCAATTATTAGGTCACAGCCAAGGTCTAGGGCAGATATGGAACTTCATATGTAAAATAGAGTTATAAAGACTCTCTGGAGCTCACAGAGAAGAGTCAAAGCTTGTTCAGTTTTTGATATACTTTTCTGAATATTTAGTTGGTGAACTTTTAATTTTCATGGGACCAATATGTTCCTGAATCCTATCTCCTGGCTTGCCTCTGGATATACCTTAATTATTGTTGAAGGCATTGAACTCTGAAATCTTTCAAAGTAGGTAGGAACTGCACACCAGTAAGGCAGTGTTTAATAATGGGGTAAAAACATCCACATGTTAGGCTTCTTTAAGGATCTCATTAACTATCCACAGTTTAATGACAGAAAGGTAGCTGCCTCTACGAATTGTGTCATAACAACTAGACAGAGCTTCTAGTCTAGGTGATTATAGAGAAGCACATTTTTACTTGAGGCTAGACAATAGCATTTACCTGCATCCCATTAGCCAACCATTCACTTCTTGGTCCACTCTACCAAGGATGAAGTTCTAGAGATCTGACTCCATGTTGGGGAGAAGAGGTGACTGTTTACATATTAGTCACTACTCCCTGCCAGCTGCCTACTTGCTGTGGTCTGTGTGTTTAAGGATCTTGTAGGCAGGCGATAGAGAGGACTGTAATTGTAAAGCCCACTTCCAGAGAGTAGACAAACTTTTTCTATGGGCCTGGTGAGAGGCGGACTCTGTGCTTCTCTAGGAAAGCAGGTGGAAATATTGCAGGGGAGGAGGGAATAGGGAAACAGCATGGCCCACTGACTAGAGCTGCCTGTGTCCTGCGAGATTGCCTGGAGCACTTTGCAGAAATGGTCAAGCCCAGTTCCCAGATACCTGCTGATTTAGCGAAACTCATAATTAGTTCATATTTCATGCCCATTGGGTGTTGCCTCCCTGTGCTAGCTGTAGCTTCAGAAACACTTGCTTGGGGATATGTTGCTAGAAACCAGGGCTTCAGGAGAGAATAAGAAATGTGTTTGTATTCACGTTGCCAAAAACCATTGCTTTGCAGCTGCAGTACAGAAACAGATATCAACACATTTAAGCCATGCAGGAGGGGAAAGAATTCCACCCAGGATGAAACTTTGTTTGCCAAGTTTCTTGCTAGTCTTTTCTATACAGGGGGCAGGAAGCATTCCCAGAAAGAGAATGCCAAATGCAGTAACAACAAACTAAAAAAGGCAATTCGCGAGGGAGCAAGATCTTCAACAAATGAAAAGTGTAAGTGGTGATATTCCAGCAAATTAGCTTCTAGAGAAGCCCTTAGGCAGAACTGTAAGCCATTATAATTAAGGATATGGAAAATATCAGTATTTAATTAGAGCCTCTTTTCTTGGTGAAATGCTGTTGTTTTGCTGTAACTTCAGGTGTAAACATCTAAACATACCCATTTCAAAATGCGTTTTGTCAAAAGCCTAGAATCAGTGCTAATGTTAATTTGCTTATTGTGGCTTCCTTGTGTATTTTTGTTTCTGATCAGAGCTAAATTTTAACAGCAATTTATCTTCAGTTCCCCCAAACAACCATCTAATTCCCAAGCTGTTATAGGTGCTTATCCATCAATACTGGGTAACAAGCACAATTTTTCTAATATTTAATACATATTTCTGGGGGTTGTTACAGACAAGGAGTTTTTCAAATCTATTTCCAATGTAATCAAATATCTTGACAATAAGAAAATGTTTCTACTTTATCTGTTAACAATGGCAAACATTTTAGAATTGGTTTGTGCTTCCTGAAATACTGATTTTTAAAAACCTAGTCACATAGGGAATGCTTAGTGCCTAACTCACGATCTGTCTTAGCCTTCACTTTTTGCACCTGTAATTCCTGACAACAGACAGGCCCTTATTCCTTTGCCTATACAGGGATACCTGTAACTCAAAATGTTTTCCTGCCTTGATGGAGAAGATGAGGCATCATCAAGACTAACACTACAATTTAACGCTTCGGAGAAGCAGTGTATATCATTACTCCCTCTGTAGCCAAGCACGCTAATTAATATGTATTGCACCTGTCAAGCCAGCAGCCACGGCCAATCCATTCCAGTGGCACTTCAATGGGAGACTGGACACCATATTTCTCCTTGGCAGACATGTTTGGGTCATCAGCAAAGACAGAATCCCCCTTCCCCAGTGAGACATCTTAAACTCTCTCCTTTCTCTTGTGAAATTAAACCATTAATTCTCTTTGTGTTAATTTTACCCTTGTTGAGAATCGCTGTAAAAAATAAGTATATCGGATGGGGGAGTGGAGAAAGGATGAGAAATAGCTGCATGTTCGGGGTCAGCTGTCTAACATATTTATTAGAACAAGGGCTTTTGGAGCTCACGACCTTTGCTTTTTATCAGACATCCCTTAAAGGTTACAGGCATGTGGGGGAGAAGATGGTTATAAATCCTCATGAAGTTTAATCAAAAGTGGCAGAACACCCAGCAGTAAACAAGTTATTACAACTATTTGCCTTAAAACTTTGTTCAGCATTATCAACAGAACTCCATCATCAACAGGTAGCTGGCAGTGGAATTAATTAAGCGAGGGTGAAATAATAAATGAATTCTGATATTGCACCTACAGCAAGGAATTTGGCACTTGGAGCGGAGAAATTTATATCGATGTTGTGAATCATTCTATAGTGCATCTGAGCGAGCCCAGCATGGCTGTGGAACTGAGTTTACTAAAAAATTTAATTAGAAGAACATGTAAACTGTACTGGAGAAAAGTAGGGCACCAAATGCTGCTTTTTTTTTATTTCATTTAACTTTTTTCTCTTTTTTTTTTTTTTTTTTTTTTGCTAAATCGAATAGGAGCACCTGTTTCATAAGAAACTGCATGACCCAAACTGCCAAGCTATTGATTAACAGGGAGAGTTCACATGGACTTTCACTGATGATTATCTAGGCCATTATATTTTTCCTTTGAAATAATTGTTCTTCCCTTGAGAATGATAATATTAACAATGATAATAACAAAGCAACAATAGCAATAATAAAAAAGCCAACATATTCTGAGCTAGTAGGATGCTCCAGGTACCAAGTGCTTTATATACATTATCTCATTTAATTCTTACAACCCTTTGAGGTAGGAATTATTAGTTCCATTGAACAGATGAGGAATTGAGGTATAGAGGGGTTTTGTAAGCAATGTCAACCAGGCAGAGTCTCTCAAACTCCAAAGCTGTTCTCTTAACCACTCCCTGCTCTGTAGGCTGTGGGCTGCTTTGGAGGGCAATACAGGGTATTGGGAGAAGAATTAATTTCTAAGAGATATCAGCACCTCCTCCACCTCCCTATTGCTTGTCCCTGGCTCTTGCTTGGGTCGTTGTTTTACCATAGCAGTGTTCTTCCTGTCCTGAAATTTTATAAGCAATGCTAATTTCTATTTTGATTGTCCCCATCTTATCTTTAGATTCCTTGATGTCTCCTGGTTGTCTTTAGTATTAATCATTTATGTTGGAGTCCATACTGCTCTGGTCAGCTCTCAGTCCCTCATGGGACCCCACTGGAGTTTTCCATTCTCTTATTCCATCTCTTTCTCACTTACTGTTAGGTGTGGATGTCTGCAGCATCTTTAACTCCCCCTTTACAGTGTGATATTCCAGCATATTCAACCACAGCCACCTTAAGATGTGTTTATGGGCTTACCACTGCTATAGACTTTGGAAGCCAATTTAGTAATTTTTAACTTCTTTTTTTGGGGGGGGTAGTTAGTGATGACTTCTTTGGAGTTGATAGTACCATAGTTTGAAGGTAGGTTCTCAGAACTGAGTCCTATGCTGAGAAGACTACAGCGCAGCAGTTAAGATCACTGGGCTTTAGAATTAGAACTGGTTGGGCAAGGTTGGCTCAAGCCTGTAACCCCAGCACTCTAGGAGTCTAGGCAGGCAGATTGCTTGAGTACAGGAGTCTGAGACCAGCCTGGGCAATATGGCGAAACCTTGTCTATGAAAAATCCAAGAAAATTAACTGGGCGTGGTGGCATGTGCCTGCAGTCCCAGCTACTCCAGAGGCTGAGGTGGGAGAATTACTTGAGCCGGAGAGATTGAGGCTAGAGTGAGCCATGATCATTCTATTGGACTCCAGTGAGAGAGACCCTGTCTCAAAAAAAAAAAGGAATTAGAACTTTCCACTATTGGGCTGGCCAGCCACCTAATGCCTCAGCCTTAGTTTCCTCATTGTAAGATAAGGATATTTATTTCTCCTCCTCCACAGTGTTGCTATAAAGATGAAATTAGATAGATGACTTATGTAAAACCCTTAGCACAGTGGCAGGCACACAGTAAACATTATTATCAGAAGTTTTGCATGTGATTTTTAGAGAAAGGTCCTCTAAAATGCAGGGGTGGCAGGGGCAACAGCAGTATCACCTGGGAACATGCTAGAAATGCAGATTCCTGGGCCCACCCCTGACCTGCTGAATCAGAGATTCCAGGTGTGGGTCCCAGTCCTGTGCATTTTAATAAGCTCTCAGGTGATTGCAACGTTCTGATGTTGGGGAACCACTAGAATGCATGCCCGTATCTCCCACTGATATGAGAGTTACGCTTTGATGGCTGCACTTCTAGTTTCCCCTTCATTTTCTTCCTTCTAGATAATGATCATGGCCGCTTGCCTAGCATCATTCTCTCTCTCACTCTTGTCTCGGGTACAGAACACTGTGGGCTTCTTTACTCAAAGTAAGATTTCTACTGAGAGACTGCTCCAGTGCTGGCTCACCTGTTTTTTGAATCTGTCCTGCTTCCCCATGCTGTGGTTGTGAAAATTGTAGGATCCTCTGGGAAGGGGCTAATTCTATGCTTGGTGGATTGTCTGCCTCACTTTATATGCCTAATGATTACTCCTGATAATAATAATTATGGAAAGCTTTTCTTTGACTTGATTACTGCTTCATGCTAAAGAAAAAAATCCCTTCAATTTATCTTTCCTTCTCTGAGACCCGATGAATGACTATTACCATGTTAAATCATTCACCTGTGTAAAGCAAAGATTTTTATTTATGTCTCTGATGTTTGTTCTTTAATATCTTTAGAAAGACATAAAATTTGTATTAAACTCTAAGTGGGGACTTGCACTGTAAACAAGGATCGGTAGATTTTCCCTTTCTTGTTTGCCATATTTAATTCAACCCTGGAAGCCTGGTGCACGCATCATTTCCTCCTCATCTCTGTTTCACTGTTGAGTGAAGTGTTCTGAATTAATTTTGTTAAATTATTAATAGTTCATGATTGGAAAACATTCAGCATTGGAATTTATGTTTCATCATGCACTGCACAGCAATTGGGTAGATTTCATACATGCAAATGGATATGCTTCTACTGGTTGGGTGTAATGTTAGCTTCCACTCCAGCCTATCCGCAATGAATTTTTGTTAAGACCAAATTAATAATGAAGTAGATATTTTAGTTTTAATGCAATCAGGACAGTTTCCTGGAAATCAAATGATTAGATATAGAGCATGGATTGGATCATTCATTTTTTTCAACAGAAATATGCTACTTTGGAGGCTAAGGTGAGAGAATTGCCTGAGCCCAGGAGGTTGAGGTTGCAGTGAGCTGTGATCGTGCCACTGCACTCCAGCCTGGGCAACAGAGTGAGACCCTGTCTCAAAAACAAACAAAAAAATGCCAGGCACTAACTATGTGTTAGGCACTGGGAATACAACAGGGTGTAAAAGAAGACATGGACCTTGCTCCTATGGAGTTTACAGTCTGGGAGGGTAGATGGATATTTATTAATCACAAAATCACCTGAATAAATGTAAAATGACAACTTTGGTAGCTCTTACAAAAGAAGACAGATATGCAAGTGTGAACCCATGACAAGGAAACCAACACTGTCTTCCCCGAGAAGTGGTGTTTGCCCTGAGGTGAAGAGGGAATATGATTTAACTCAGGCAGGGCATGGGGTGAAAAGAGAAGGACATTTCAGGCAAAAAGAGCAACATTTGCAAATATTCTATGGCAGGAGGGAGCATGGTACCTGAGGGGGGCTAAGGAAAAGTCAGTGTGATTTGAGGTTGGGGAACAATGGAGAGCCACTGAGGAGTTTCAAGCAGGGGAAGAAGTAAATAGAGTTTTGGCAAGATCATTCTGGTTGCAATGTGGGGTGTGGATTGTTAGGAGACCAGGATGGATGTGGGGACATCAGCAAATAGGCTATGTCAGAAGAGATAGTAGGAAGGGGCTAGATTAGGGCAAGAGTAGTGGAGGTGGAGAGAAGGAATAAATGTAAAGACAGTTACAACATACAAATGATAGGATGCTGACAGGTAAGGGGCAGAGAGATTTCCTCAGATTCTGGTGTACATGAGGGTGCTATTCATCAGGGTGAAGAAACCCTGGGAAAGAACTGGGTTTGCTGGAGAAGCTCATGTTTGCTTTTGGGCTATTGCATGTGATGAGCCAAGGAAGTAGCTGAATATGTGAGTCCGGGGCTCAGAGGAAAGTCTGGAATAGTATATGTACATAAATGTGGTGAGGTAGCCACAGGCATGGGTGAGAAGATGAGGGCCAAGAATCCAACTTTAAGGATCAATAACATTTAGTGCTAAGTAGAAGAGAAACCAAGGAAGCAATGGTCAGAGGGAAAAAAGGAAACCAGGAAAGTGAAGTATCACTGAAGCCAAGGAAAGAAAATATTTCAAAAAAGCAGGAGTGGCCAACAGTGTCAAAAGTATGCCTAGAGATGAGGCCAACAAAAAGCCTACCAGATGTTGAGAAATCCATGGTTTAGTTAATTTGACATTGGATCTTGGGGAAATAATGATATAATGGTCCCTGGAGAATGAGCTAGATATGTACTGTTGAGGTTTCCTCTCCTCCATGAACATGTCCCCTTAGATCACAGAGAGGGAAGATTACAGAGATGACCCACTGGCATGAAAAGCAGCAAAGTCCATGCAAATCAGGCTTTGGAGGCAGACATCAGGTTGAAATTCTGACTCACACTATATAGCTTGAGTAGATATCTTTAACTTCCATCATTTTCCTTTCTTTATGTATAAGACAAAGGTACAGGTAGTTGTGATTAAAGAGAAATAAATTAAAATTCTAGAAAAGTACCTGGACCACAGTAAAGGTTAATAAAAATTGTTCAACCAGTAAATAATGATGACTTCAAGCTAGGAAATGATGAAGAAATATGAATTTTAGCAGGATGACTATATATATGTATAGATAAAAATACATATAAATATGTAAATATGTACACATATATACATGAACAGTTTCATAATTGGATGAATGACTGCAAAGGATAATCACTTCTGTCACCTTAAAAGGGAGTTTCTAATAGTGTGCCATAGAGTTCTGTCCTCTGCTTCAGGTACTTTAACTTTTCCGTTAATGTCTTTGATGAGAATATAACAAAAAATTTGTGAAGTGTATAGATAAGATGATATGAACATGGAAGTGATAGTAAATATGTCCCATGACAGAATAAGGAGTGAAAACAAAAATAAATGGTCTGAATGTGATCAGATAAAAATTTAACAAATGTAAGGACACAGTTCTACTCTTGAGTCAAACCAACTTCACAGATTAATCACCATGCAATTCATGCAGGTTTTTGTAAGAGATTTAGAGTTTAACTGGACTGTCATTTCAATATACAGCCATGGGGAGAGATCACTGCCAAAAAAGCTGTGGCAGACAAGCTTGTAACCAACATAATCCACGTATCTGTCGTCTTTTTGGGAACCAGACTCTATTTCCCAACCTCCCGTGTGACTGTTTTGCTAGTGGATTATGAAAAGAAGTGATATGGGTTACCTCTGGGTCAAGGTAGTTAAGAGCTCTAAGCCTTCTTCATACTCTTACTTTTCCCTCGACTTAGGGCTGGAACCAGTAGGGAACACTGAGTCTCTAGGAGGTGCCAACATCTGGGTTCATGAAAGACTCTGTGGAGCAGAGTCCCTCTCCAGCCTTTCCCTCTTGACCCGTGACCTCAGTCAACTGATAAATGAGCAAAAAAGAAATCATTAATGCATTAAGTCATGGAGATTTGAGGATTGTTACCATGGTGACCATAATTATTCCTAGCTAAAAACAACCACTAAAAGTAAAAACAAAAAAAGTCTTCAGTTATATTAATAGAACTATGGTGCCCAGATTAATAAGAAATGATATTCCAGAAGACACTCGTCCAGGAAGATGCTAAACGACTTGACCAAAGTTTCGTAGCCTGTTAGCAGAAGTGTAGGCCACATCTGTAGCATATTTAGTTTTTGGCTTCACACAAGAAGAAATGGACACACTGGGGGAGTTCTTGGCATACAGTCGGCACTTAATAAATATCTGTCAAGTGAATAAATATTGACATGGATAGGTTCAGTGGAATGACCACAGGAGAGATGATAGCATGAATCCAGGTCCTATTAAGTGTGGCTGGAGAAACTGGGATTATCCAGCTGGGATCCAAAGAGACAGGATAGGTATCACAAACTATTTTAGGAACTATTTTTTGGAAGAAGGATTGGATCAGTTCTCTGGGACCCCACGAAGTAAAACTAGTACAAACAGGCCGAAGTTACAGTAAGACATTTCTGTTCACTGTTTTGGCTTTGGAACATATGGAAGTCGCTCATCAGTTTATCCAAAGGAGAAATGGCCCCTTGTAGCATCGGAATTGTTTAAGCAAAGGGTGAATGACCATCAGTTGGGGCTACTATGGAGGGGATTCAAGCACTGGATGGAATGCTGGATAAGATGCTTCTTAAGACTCCTTATAGCCCTATGACTTATGCTCACATGGTTCCAACTTAAACCTGATTTAGAGATAATGTTAACAAAGGCATTTAACACAGAGTCCTGTGGTGGGCCATGCATGACTTGTCTATAGGGAGAGAAAAAGTCACTTCTATCTTTCAAATAATTGCCATGATTCTGTGCCTTATAGGACAGGGATTATTAACGTCTTCCACTATCATCTCCAAGTTGTTAAATGTGACTCTGCCTGGTAATTTTCTGTCATGAAAACAATATTTACAGGAGGGCTTTTAAAACAAGTGGTCCTGAACCATTGCAGAGAATTTTACACTGAAACTTGGCTGATTTGAAGTCTATTGCCACATCAAGTTGTGTTGTACTGTGTGCTCATAAAATGCCAGGATCTCTGCCGATTACAGACGCCTGCAAGAAGATTCCATTCCAAGCTGTTAAAGTGCTGCAGTCAATAAAGACCTGGAGTATGAGTCTACCTCTGTGCACCACACAGCTGGTAAGAAAATGCTTTACATCTGCTTGTGTGAGTGTTTCCATTGGCAAAACAGAGGCACCGCAATTGATTTTTCTGAGATTTATTATAAAGATAAATGAGAACATGTGGGAAATCAGTTTGAGATTTTAGAAAAATGTAAAAGGAACCTTGGACAGTAGAGCCAAGGTTTACATCAGGGATCCCTTTAAGAAAATACTTGGAGTCTGAGGGTAGAGCTGATTCTTTTCCTGTGCTTATCATGCTCATCAGCTCAGTGTTTTTTTGAGATGGAGTCTCACTCTGTCACCCAGGCTGGAGCGCCATGGTGCGATCTCAGCTCACCACAGCTTCCGTCTCCCAAGTTCAAGAGATTATCCTGCCTCAGCCTTCTGAGTAGCTGGTACTACAAGCACGCACCACCATGCCTGGCTAAGTTTTATAACTTTAATAGACACGGGGTTTCACCATGTTGGCCAGGCTGGTCTCAAACTCCTGACCTCAGGAGATCTGCCTGCCTTGGCCTCCCAAAGTGCTAGGATTACAGACGTGAGCCACCGCGCCCAGCCCATCAGTTCAGTCTTCAAGTAAAAAGTTAATATGGTAAACTGAAAATCTCTAGGATTCCTTTCATCGCTGTGCTGTGAAATCAGAGCTTGTTACTAAAAAACAATTATTTGTCTGAGGGTGAGTTGGTTGAATGGCTGGTATTTAATAAAAATGAATAAAGGACAAAATTGGAAATTTAGTGGAAATTTCCATCTGGCACAATTTTAATGAGATATAGAAGCAGAAGAATAAGAGCATGTCATATATTTCTCTAATAAAGGATGTCCATTTAAAAGAAGTAGAGTGCTGAAATTTGATGAGAGTTTTGGAGAAATATTTAGATCATTTCCATGGAGCCCCTGATGTTCCAAGGGGCTGTTAATCCCTCTGAAACTTTTAATGCCTTAATATGTTCTGCAAATACTTTCTGAGTAAACACTAGGAATGAATAAATTGAATTTTAAAGTGAATTCTTCATTTTATTCACAGTTGTCATGCAAGCTATTTCAAATACCACTCTGGCAGACAAAGCTCTAATTTGAGAGAAACACCAGATAGTTCCACCTAATATAATGAAATCAGCAGGACTCAAGGCTCTTCACAGTCTCCTCATTTGCTCTGCTAACAAAGGTTTTGCTGTTGTTCAGGAAGCACTCATATTCCCCCAGAATGTGTTGAGTTCTTTGCTGGGCACGAGGGATGCGAAGGTATGTATGACACTGAAGCCTTGCCTTGGAGGAGCTCACAGTCTAGAGATGCTGAGAGATTTATCTGAAGGCTTAATTCTGGGCTTAGAAAGAATTTGAGGGTAGATTAATCAGGAACATCCTGTGAACAGTTACTTAGCTTTGATTATCCATTTCTTGAATGTTTCTCTTTCTTGAATATATTGTCTTGGACTGTGAATCCCATAGATTTTTATGTAGCTCATTTGGGCACAGAAAAAACACTTGAAGTCCAAAGACAAGCCTTCCTTTATTCATGTTTCCCAGTGGGATGCTCTGCATCTTGGGTATATGTATTGATTTTCTCCTCACCGAGTGTTCCTTCCATATTTAAAAACATTTGCAGCTGCTAAGGACTGAATTGTGTCCCTTAAAAATTCACTTGCTGAAGTCTTAACCCATAGTACCTTAGAATATCAGTGTTTGGAGATAGAGCGTAAAGAGGTAATTAAGGCTAAATGAGGTCATATGAGTGGGCCATTGTTCTTATAAGGACTCGTGTCCTTATAAGAAGAGAAAGAGACATCAGGGATATATGTATGCAGAGAAAAAGCCTGTGAAGACACAGAAGACAGTCATCTGCAAACCAAAGAAAGAGGCCTCAGGAGAAACCAAACCTGCCAACACCTTGATCTTGGACTTTCAGCATCCAGGACTCTGAGAAAATAAATTTCTGTTGTTTAAGTCACCCATCTGTGGTATTTTGTTACAGCAGCCTGTATTAGTTCATTCTCACACTGCTATAAAGGACTGCCGGAGACTAGGTAATTTACAAAGAAAAGAGGTTGAATTGACTCAGAGTTCCATATAGCTGGGGAGGCCTCAGGTAACTTACAATCATGGCAGAAGGGAAAGCAGGCACGTGGTGTCAGGTGAGAGAGAGTTTGCAAGAGAGAGCAGGGAAAACTGCCTTATAAAACCATCAGATCTTGTGAGAACTCACTCACTATCATGAGAACAGCTTGGGGGAACCTTGCCCCCTGATCCAATCACCTCCCACCAAGTCTCTTCCTTGACTCGTGGGGATCATGTGGTTTACGATTCAAGATGAGATTTGGGTGGGGACACAGAACCAAGCCACATCAAGTCCAAGGAGACTCATACAACAGCTACTTGTGCTTTATTTTTGGTAAAGATGCCAAATTGAGCAGTTATCACCAAATTCTTCTCCAGATTCTGTGCATGGTACCTCCTGGCCCCCAACCACTCTTTCTGTCTCTATAACCAATATTTTAAAACTTTTCCCCCAGCCTTGCCATAAGATTTGAAAAAATTTCAGGCCATAGAAGCAGAGGAATTCCATTTTTCTACTTGGACCTTGCAAATGGCAATCTAAGAAAAGGCTTGATTATCATTTTGTTCTCTCCCCAGGATGCAGGGATGGGGAACTGGCCTGAGAGGTAATGGGGAGTCCCCACAGTGATGTTCAAATCTCAGAACACACTAAAGAAAGTACACTAGTGAGATCTAATGGTCTGGCCCTTTTCTGTCTTCACTGGGGTCAGTAGTGAGTTAACTTCTTAAAATCCCAAGCGCTGGAAATATACCTGCAGGAACTTCATAAAGACAGGTACATTTTAAGGCAGAAACACTAATAGGAGTTCAAATTAAAGAAATGATATGAAATTGCATTTCTTAAAAAGGGAAATAACACTCAGGAACATTAAATGATTTAATTATGCCTGAAAGAGCTTTTTTGAGCTAAAAATGCAAAAAAGCAAAGTGTGTCAGGATGTATGTTTGAGAAAGCAGCCACAGGAAAAAAATCTTGAAACCAAAGTATGCAAAGTGTGTAATCACCTACCTTCATACTAGGGGCATTGGGGACCCTCTATTACATCCATTTTGCCTTTTCTAGGACAAGGAGCAGGGAAACAGAACAGTAATTTTATGTATTATTGTAGCTTAACAACCCCTAGTGGAAAGAAACACTCTGGGCCTTAAGTTTCTTTCACTTAATAATTCTCAAAGATATTAATGTATAGGTTAACATATAGTGTTAAAAGCAATCAATAGTTATTCTGGTTTCCTTAAAGTCACATACATTAAAAATGCCCACTATTCCAGGGCCTGTTGGGGGGTGGGGGGAGGGGGAAGGGATAGTATTAGGAGATATACCTAATGTAAATGACGAGTTAATAGGTGCAGCTCACCAACATGGCACATGTATACATATGTAACAAACCTGCACGTTGTGCACATGTACCCTAGAACTTAAAGTATAATGATAAAAAAAATGCCCACTATCAGAATCAACACACTATTGACACGGTAATAAATATTTTACATCATTAATGTCTGAAAGATTGTACACATATATCAAAAAACTATATGTGTATATTTGTGTGTGTGTATATATATATACACACCCACTGTGTATGTGTGTGTGTGTATATATACACTGTATATGTGTGTGTGTATATTGTGTGTATGTGTGTGTATATATAGTGTGTGTGTATATGTGTATATATGTATGTATATATGAATTGAAACCCTCCATATACTCCAGTTACTTACTATATTCTGACTTTGGAAAAAGGTCACCTACATGTTTACCTCCAAATGTGCTTCTAGTGAAACTTGCATTATGAATGGCCCCTGCAATTTAAATGGATTCTTTAACCACCTCTATGTCCTCAGATTTCAGTTGTAAACTTTAAACAGAATACAAAATGCTCCGTGTGGAGAGAGATGCAAAGTCTCCCGGCTGAACAGTTTCTGGTATGGTGCGAATTTGCTTTTATGGCACCAATTAGTGTCTGACTTGTCTTTTTGCCATGCAATGAATTAAAAATGCATGATTTGGATGCTGGAAAGAGAACCAGTTTCTGGCTAGAAACCCCTGGACACTGCCATTCTTCCAGTTGATCTTTTCGCCCTCGGTGTGTTGGCAAGTACTGACTCTGTTGCCTACCACTCACATCTTTCCCTAACAGATGGTTCTTTTTACTAGTCGAGATCCAATCTGGTGATTTACTTTAATTTGCTTTGGCCTAAAGAAAACCCGTGACAGACAGCTAGCACAGCTTCCTGAAGCAACATTTTGCAAAGAAAAAGTTAAGTGGACACACGCTATCTAGACCGCGTTCCATTTTACGCACCCCATAAATCAGAATATTTGTCAACAACAATTAAAATGTAGTTTTCCTGGTAATGAACATTACAGGGAGGAACAAATCAAGTTTCATTTATTCTGTCAGAAATGGAAGGCAAGAGCTTCGTATTATTTTGTGGATAATCTCTGAGGAGTAAACTAAGCACAATTACATTTTTGATTTTAATTAAAACTCTGGGTACCTTTCAAGTTCCGTTAGGGAGATGTCCTGGGTCTGCTTAGCTGAGGTCTGCACTGTGAAGTTAATTTGACACATAACATATTTTTCATGAAGTAACTGTCTCAGGAAGCCGTTGGTAGGAGCAGCCTCTTGAGGGCCTATGGGGGCCACAAAAAAATAATGACTTCTCCTGAAGCAGCAACTTCACCAGGAAGTACATCTGCATAACAGTCCCCAAAGCCCTCCCAATAATGTCATTAAGCTGGAAAAATCAAAGGAAAAGGCGCCCAAAAGATGCCATTAAAAATGTGTCATTACTCACAGTCCACAGAACAACAATAGAATTGAACCATGGAATCATTTGAATCACAATAAAAGTGAAACCACCGGAAACACCTGAAAAGGTAATGGAGGCAGAGATTATGAGCTGACGCTGTGGCCCTGGGGAAGGCTGGGGAGAAGGACCTGTGTTTCTGCTTCTGTGAGGGCCTTGTTCTTCAAGAGTGGGTCAGTCTACACTCTTAGACATTTGTTTTTATACAGGTTGGCTTATAATCTGATTTCTACTTGGCCTGTTTTTTTTTTTTTTTTTTTTTTTTTTTTCCCTGCATCGCAACTAAAAAACAGGCCAGAATCTGGCCACACGGTTTAATGTACAGGTAATATATTGTCTTTTCGATAATGTCACAGACTCTGCATTTTGGCTGAAGGGTGTTTCAACTTATTTCTGCAAAGCAATAAGCAGAACTGCAATGAGGGTGCTGATGATGTGAGCTGTGTTGGCCAGGGGAGGGGGTTGGATGGTCTAAGGGAGGAACCACTCACATGGCCCCTCTTTCTGATCCTCATCACAACCCTCCTCCCCACTCACCCAAACAGGATTTTCCCACAACTAAGTCTGAAATGTATATTCTCCAGGCCATTTCCTAACATCAAAGGAAATCTGGCATGCTGCCTGCCTTAGGAGACCACCTCGTCCAGCTGCTCTGTTAATTCACAGGGGGTGGGGCTAAAGCAGGAGAAATGACTGAGTCTTTTTGGGTCTCTCCAGCCATGTATAATCAACGCCACCTCGACTCTGAGGGGCACTTGATTTATACTTCCATTCTGGAACTTTCTACTTCCAAGCAAGTATTATCCCAGGCAATGCAACTTTGCACAATTGGACAGGGCTAACGTTGATGGGAAACAGGCTCTGTGCTAGGTGCTAGGTGAGAAGCCCTTTGTACAATGATGTCGTTTTATCCTCATGACACTCACAGGAGACTGGGTCTATTATTGACCTTATCTTACAGTTGAGGAAACTGAGGCAGAGAGATGTTCTGCCATGTGTTCAAAGCCCTCCAGCCTGTGAGTCAAGCAGCAGATACTCAAATCCTGACCCTAGGCTCAGAGCTTATAACCACCTTGCATGCTGTCATTTGTGTAACAAAATGCTTATGTGAGCTTGGAGCTGACAGGGTGCAGACATGGATACAGCTATATCTTTCAAATAAACCCCATTTCCTTAAGATGGTCTGTTTTTTTCTGGTATATATTACTGGTTTTATTATTATTAATTACTCAAAAGCCTGACTACAGTAGATATATTGATAAGTATACCGTGTATTGACCTTTTAATAGGTACTGGATACTGTATTAACACAAACACATTATTTCTTTTGAGACAAGGTTTTGCTCTGTTGCCCAGGCTGGAGTGCAGTTGTGTAATCATAGCTCACTGCAGCCTCTCTAACTCCTGGGGTCAAGTGATCCTCCTGCCTCAGCCTCCTGAGTAGCTGGGACTACAGGCACACACCACCATGCCCAACTAATTTTTTAAACTTTTTGGAGAGATGGGGTCTTGCATTGTGACTTAGGCTGGCCTTGAACTTCTGCCTTCAAGTAATTTTCCTACCTCAGCCTCCCAAAATGTTGGGATTACAGTCTTGAGTCATAGTACCCAGCTATAATCCATTTTTAATACTCATAATAATTTTCTAAAGAAGTGAGTATTATAAACCCCACTTTTCAGATGAGGAAACTGAAATTCAGTGAGTTTAAGCAGGTTGCCCAAAGTAATACAACTACTGAATGACAAAACCAGCAGTCCAGCCCAAGCCATTCCAAATTCCATGCTATGTGTTGAACTGAAGCATGGAGTAGAGCAGGTGGCTTGGTTTATGTGGCAAAAGCTTATAGAAGCATTAAGAAATAGTGGGCTAGGACTGGGAGATGAACTGGAAAGGTAGGACCCTATTTTATAATAGGTATGTGGCTAACAGATACCCCTCTCTCAAGGAGAGAAAGGGGCAGTGTCCGATTCATTTCCTTATTCCCAGAATACTACCAGCACAGGGTTTCAGAGAGCAGGAGCTCAATCATCACCTATTGAATATGAGCCCAGGAGACTGGACTGCAAACTACAGCCCAGTGATGATTCTGTTACCCCAAGCTTTGGAGTGGGCCCCAATTCCTAATTTTAATTCTTACTTTGCTGCCAAAATTCCAATAAGGACTTCTTAGGACCAAACTTATTTCTTTCTCCTTCCTAACTTTTCCAAGTTTCTACAGGTGTATTTATGTTACTATTCACTCAAGACTCATTTTGCAATTTTGGACTTACCTTGCAAGTATGGGAATCCTCAGTGAAGTTGGTACTTATTCTCTGAGTTGGTGCTGAGCAGGGTAAATAAAAATAAACAAATACGAAAAACAAAGCTCAGCCCTGGTCCTATTCAGGCCACACACAATAATCATTGTCAATGTTTTGTGTGTTTCCCTGGGTAACTTCTGTCTGGGAGATTTTGTCTATTAGAGAACATGGAGCAAGATATTAAGATGGATAGGTATTAATGCTTACCCTGGATATTAATGCACAAAAATTTTCTTTAACTTGAGTAGCAAAAGCTGGACATAGCCGATGACAGAATAGTTTTATAGAACACTGCTAAGCTGGGGTTCTGAAATATTCAGCAACTTCTGGAACTATTACAAAGTCCTTTATTCCTTCTGGAGATCTTACTTTGGATTTATTAATGCCAGGACATTAAACGACTTGAGGAAGTTAATGCAATTCCTCTCAATGTCTCTCTGAGACTCAGATTTCTCATTTGTAAAATGGGTGCAGCAAAGTCTATCTTCAATGTTATAAGAATGAAATGTAACATCCGTGATAAAAATAGCTCATATTATTCTAAGATATACTCTATCTATCTATCTATCTATCTATCTATCTATCTATCTATCTATCTAGTTATAACCCTTACAACATTGTGTGAGGTAGAAATTATTTTATACCTTTAATGGGAGAGACAGCAGAATTACTGAAGATCTTGTGGTAAGGAAGATCTGTGAGCTCCCAGGCCAGCTGGCTCTGGAACCTGTGAGACGTTTCCAGGCCCAGGACAGTGCTAGGTACAGAGTGGCACCTGACAAATGTTTAGACTCTGATTCTGGATGTTTTGCCCTGCAAGGTCAGACCTAGGAATCAAGAAGTATAAGAAGAGCATACAATTAGTAGTACCATGTTGTGGCTTTATGTTCTCCAGCTTGGCTTATGTTACTCAGTGATAGTGACAAGAGCATCTATGGGTCACCATGTCTACCCCTTGCTGAACCTCTGCTGGTATTGGGTGGCTTTTTATCGGATGAAATAATGTCCCATCTTAGCATTTGGAGAAGCCCAGTGTGGCTCTTAGGGCAGAGGGTATAAAATAGAGAAAAACAGTCTAGGCAGACATGGTGTGCCAGGCAGCTGTTATAGATGAGATCATTGTCCTCAGTAGAGTATTGGTTGGACTTGAAAAATTCCCTAGTTTCTTGCTACATGCAATTCAGGTTTGCCATTTAACCTCTGCAATGTTAATCTGTATAGCCACAGGATATCTTCAGTCACAAGAGTACAAATCTCTGGTCTAGAAGGTCAAAAACCACATCACCATCACTCCAGATTGCTCCTCCAGCACCGCTCCCCCGCCACACCGGCTCCTTGGCCCCCACTACTTCAAATCCCCTGGAGAAATAGAACATACAGTCATTCAAAAAATATGTATCATTGCAAAGGTCAAAGCACTAAACTCCGATTCAACAGAATCTAAGAAGGATTACAATTCTGATCCCCCTGTCTGGTGACAAACGTCATCTTTGGAGGGGAAGAAAGCAGCATGCCATCAATCAACTCTGGGAGAGAGGGCAGGAGGAGTCATGAACTTAACTGTTCTGGTCCCAGAAGGACTCGGGGAAATCTCCTAAGGACATGCTGTGAACTGATAAGGCAGCAGCTTGTGCAGAGTTGTTTTCTTTCTTTCTTTCTATTTTTTTTTTGTCTTAGCCCAACGTTAGCACAAATCCTGGCAGTAGCTAATGAGCCTCTTTGAAATGATTTCTTTGCATTGTGGAAAGAAGTTTGCTGGTGGATGGAATGTCATCTCCATTTCTAAACAGAGATGAAAAAGTACTGCTGCCTAATAGGTGTAAAAGATGGGAGAATTGAAAGTTAAGCAGAGATTCTGTTGCTCTCGGTGAGTGTGGGTTGAAATTTAAAAATGACCAGACTAACTATCATGGCTCTTCTTGTGGGGCATGCTGACTGTTCATGCAAATAGAGGAAATATTTTAAATAATGCCCTATGTATAACTGAGGGTGCCCCTTATACCTATAAAAAGTGAAGAGAACTCTATTAAGAAAGAAATCATAAAAAGAATAAAGTATCACTACACTTTCATGAAGAATTGCAAATTCATATTACATTTGAGGTGTGAGGCAAATTAGAATTCTGTAACATTAGGTTCATAGCTCACGCAAAATGAGGGTGGGATGTGAAACTCAGGGACAAAAAAAGTGGGGATGATGGATTGAAGAGGAAATTATTTGTATCTGCTAATTTTCAGTCTGAAGTCTGAAGGAAAATTGGGGTGTGCAAGGAGTATGTGTCAAAAGTTTAAGGAGAAGGAGATTTTAAGCAGATGAATTTATAATTCTTTGGATGGATCAGAACTTATTAGTCAGGTTCTTGCTGTTCAAATTGAGGTCTTTGAACCAGTGGCAGCTGCTCCACAAAAGAGCTTGTTAGAAATGCAGCTTCTTGGGCCAGCTCCACAGAATCAGAATCTGCATTTTTAATAACATCTCAAGGTGACTTGTGTGCACATTAAAGCTTGAGAAGTACTGATGTAGCCTAGTGCTGTCTATTAAAGTTGCTGAATTTTTTCACCATTTCCTCCCATGATTTGTTTTCCCAATCCACCACACAGTAAAATTGCAAAGTGAACTAAGGCCCATATTATCTGGCAAATATCAAAGATGGAAGACAAAGAATTAGGCTATCTTAAGAAGATTTCCCCTTGGCCTTCCTCCTAGGATTTCACCCCATGTGTTTGTAAACCTAGACATAAATAGAAGTTGCATTGTCAAGACACAGAGGCCACACCAAGTGTCAGCGATGGTCCATGGAATTCTGTTAACTGTACAAAACGCTAGTTAGGATCTTTGTGACTGGAAGACTGGTGAACAGCTATGTGACAGGACTGTTCCTTGGAATGTGTATCTTTCCAAATAAGAAAATAAAATTAAAATTTGAACTATTAGATGAACTGTCAAGAATGTAATTATTTCTCTCTCCCTCTGGCTCTCTTTAATGTAGCAAGTTGAGCTGCATTAAAGGCCAAATTCAGAAATCAGATCTATATGGTATTTCTGGCTTGGGGTTTCTCCAATAAAAGGGGTTTTCCAAGTTACTATCTCCTATAACAAACAGATTTTCTGAATCCTGAGAGTATTATAAGCATATGGAGAATGTGGTGTACCTGTGGTGAGTTGCTGAGAGTAAATTTTTGTTAACAGCCTCTAATGTGCTTACAAGCTGATTTTTAAAAAATGTATTATTCTAGAGACTCTCTCACTCAGATGATAGGAAATTTGATCAAATAATCCATACTGCCACTGACATGGTATTCATGTAAATCTCTTTGGCTCCATGGATTTTCTTGTTTCTAAAAATTCGGACACTCAAGAGTGTTCATGTCTGTGATCTAAAAACTAGCCCCAGGCTAAAGCTAGGAACCCAAAAAATGAATAAATGAGAAAAATGAATAGAAAGAGATGGAAAAAGGTGCAAAGAGGAAGGAAAGAAAAATGATGTAAATAATTGAGATAGCTTTTAAAATTTATTTATTTATTTTAGAAATATTTATTAAGGACCCACTGTTCCAGATACTCTGCTAGACATTGAGGATATTATAATACATAAAAGACACAGTCCCCACACACATGGAGGTAATAGTCTAGTGAGTGGTGATAGGAACCAATCAATAAAGTATATATCGAGTATAACAGGTACATCTGCATTCTGCACTGACTTTGTGCCTAGGCCTCTGGGGAATGCCACAGAAACATGTCAAGCCTCTTGAGAGGCACTCAGGTTACCTAGAATTTGTCTCATTTACTTTTCTTCCCTTTCTTTGCTCCCCAGCATCTGCTTGTCTGTCTTTTTTTTTTTTAACAGTACCCCTTTTAACTTTGAGTAACAACAATTTACTTATCAGATACAACATGGAAGGATTGTTCATCACAGTCCTGATTTCCCTTATACAGTGGACACAGGCCAAAGCACAGGCAATTGTATGACTTATCTTTGGAATCTGAATCCTGAGCAAAATAGAAAAAGGCCAAAAATGCTGATTTTTCCTCAATGATGGCAGCCTGAAGGGTTAGTTCTCAGGTGCTGGAACTGGACTCACAGAGCTTCCCTGATTTCTGGCTTTTTCAAGCCAAGTCCTTCATCTGGGAGTTACTCTCTAACTTTCAAATGAAATCATTTTTGCTTAAGGTAGCAGAATTTGTTTTTGTTTATTGTGACTAAATAACCTGATCAGATAAGGAAACTAGTACCAGAAGTGGGGAAATAGTTTTGGCGTAGCAAAGAAAAGTATACTACAAATATAGTCACAGCCCTCAAGGAGTATACAATTAACCTAGAGATGTTCTAGTTATGCTGAAAGCTTAGTTTGCCAGAATTAGCTCTACAAGTACCAACATTAAAACCCTTCTCTTACCTTTGTTACTTCCACAATTTCTATAGGATTTCAGAGATACATGGACTTGAAAAGGATTTAATAAGATTATTTTAAAAAAGAATGTACATGTGCTTTTTATTTTTGGTTCTGAAATTATTTTGTGAAGATTTATAGGAAAAAGTCTGCCTTTGGCACACACATTTTGCCACCTGCAAAGAGAATTATCAGAGGAATGAATGAGATCCCCCATTCAGCCTGTAGCTTCTGGGTGATGGCTCACCTATGAGAGACTTAAAAAATAGAATCATTTTCAAGACCCTTGAGCCAGTAAATAACACGTCATACAGAGAGATTTCAGTCACCCAAGGGCATCTGTCTTGATGACTCTATTTGTAGATAGTGAAATTATCAATGTTTATCAGGGAATAAAATATTAGCAAGTCCATTCTGGATCTTAACTGTCTGAAAAATTTATGTTTTTCAAGCAAAAATGTCTGACAAGCAAATCGCGTATAATGACATATATCAGTATCACTGCACAATCTCTGTTTCTAGACAAATCAGATTTGAACAGGGAAAACTAGATGCTGATGAGAATATATAAGTCAGTGTTTTTAAACAATGAGCTTGACTTCATGTCTCCAAAGGTACATAGTTATTAAAGCACAGTTAGTCAGGAACATTGTCTAAAGTTAATGCATTGCTTCAAGTGTGCACATCTATGTATATTGCACTGTTGACAAGAGCCATCTGCTTGGCCTGGATACCATCTCTTGATAGGCTTCCATCTCTATTTCTTGTCCTCTGTGGAAATAAAAGTGGCTTTATTTATTTATTGTTTTTTAAATTTATTATTATTTTTTATATCCATAGGTTATTGGGAAATAGGTATTTGGTGACATGAGTGAGTGGTGATTTGTGAGATTTTGGTGCACCCATCACCCGAGCAATATACACTGAACCCAATTTGTAGTCTTTTGCCCCTCACCCCCCTTCCCACCATTTCCCACAGAGTCCCCAAACTCCACTGTGTCATTCTTATGCCTTTGGATCCTCATAGCTTAGCTCCCACTTCTGAGTGAGAACATACGATATTTGGTTTTCCATTTCTGAGTTACTTCACTTAAACTAATCATCTCCAATCCCATCTAGGTTGCTGTGAATGTCATTAATTCTTTTCTTTTTATGGCTGAGTAGTATTCCATTGTGTATATATATATATATCTCTCACAGTTTCTTCACTCGTCGATTGATGGGCATTTGGGTTGGTTCCACATTTTTGCAAATGTGAATTGTGCTGCTATAAACATGCGTGAGCAAGTATCTTTTTTGTATAATGACTTCTTTTCCTTTGGGTGGATACCCAGTAATGGGATTGCTGGATCAAATCATGGTTCTACTTTTAGTTCTTTTATTTTTTGATTGTTTGAGTTTGGCCATTCTTGTTGCTTTAAAGGCTTGATGTTCCTTCTTATGTAGTGGGATGTCTTACCTGGGGATGTCACGCCTGAGATTAAATGTGTGACCACCCCTATACAAGTTGCCTGTTAGGAGCTGTAGTGAATTCTTATACTTTTATGTGGCCTCAGTATCCATTCTAAATACAGATTTAACTTTCTCATACCAGAAACATGTCTCAGTCAGTCTTGACAGTTTCCAGTTCTATACCACACTCCAAGTAGCTCAAGCCATTTGCCAGAGGTAAGAACTTAGAGGTGTCTTTTCTGACTAGCAGGCCGGGCTCCTCACTTTTACCATTTCATCCTTTAAAAGGATCATTCAGGCATTTGCTCATAAACTTAAAATCACCCATGTGATTATATATACTGCTAGTTGTCTGTCTGTCTGTCTGTCTGTCCGTCTCTCTCTCTCTCTCTCTCTCTCTGTCCCCCCTTGATTCTTCCTTCCCACCTCATGTGACCTGGGGACAGAGGACTGCCCTTCTGACTCATGGTGCCCTCTCTGCCCAGGATCTGTGACTAACAAATCTTTGAACATATTCCCTATTGTGGTGTTTTAATGCATTTGCATTTTGCATCTGAAGAACCAGAAGCTGCCTCTGGACAGGTTTTCCCTGGAACTCTGGAGAGAGTATAAGGCCAGGCTCCCAGCACCATGTCAATGGTCAGAAAAGAGCCTCAGGAGCATCTGCCAGTATAAACAAGTTTCCCATGTGAGAGACCTCTGGCCACAGGTTGGACAATTAGGCATTAAGCCATCCGCCACATATACCAGAAGTGTCCCGTGAAAGGCACACTGTAGACACACATCCAGCTCCCCTATATTTCCTGTTAGGACAGGGCTGCTAGCTCCTCTGGTACTAAACCGCAACTTAGCTGGGGGATCTGGATACAGGCTCAGACTATGCAAAGGCTGATCATCACATTGTAATTATTAATTTTGGCTCTTTTCAGAAAGGTAGCTTAGGGCACCTGAGAAACACTGAGAGCTTCTCTTGGTGGATTCATATAGGAAAAGTAGCCTGAATGATCAGGAAAGAAGGTAAAGAGACTTTTTGTGTTTTGAGTGGAAGGGAGGAGGTCTCATTCCTTGGGAGTTGTAGGGATGGGTTAGGTCTCATCCCCTTGTGGGAGAGGGATGAATTTAAGTGTTCTTGCACTAACTTGTGCCCTAGGAAGAGGAAATTATGCAAACTGAAAAAGCTGTTCACTACAGTTACAACCTAGGAGTATTGAGGGAATGGGCCACAGAAACTGGCCATGGTGTCACATGGAACAGACATGAGCCCATGGCTTGTGGGACTTCATGAGGATGAGCATGAGCATTGACACCTGTGGTGTGAGAAACAGCGGCATTGGGTGATGCTGACCTGCAGTCTTCTGCATCCCTGAAGTAGGTAGAGAAGCGATTTACCTTTCAAAGTTCTAGGGAGTTCCTGGACAATTGGCAAGGACACCTGAACAGGAAAATACTGACCTTCCTGCCTGTGTGGCAGGGATAACTCAAATGATTATATTATTGGCAACAATGAAAGAAATGTGATTTTACTTGTACTGTTATCTTTTGGAGCACTTCTTACCAGTGACATTTAACATTACAAGTTATAACTTATATGTTCTTTCAGGTAGGCAGAAACTTTTTAATATCTTTATGACAATCATACTATAATTTATATTGTAGATATTTCATTAAAATAATGTGTTGCTTAATGTATAATAAAGCTATGACTGTAGTCAGTTTAGAATTGGATTCTGTCCTTTCATTAGTCTTCTTGGTGACTAAGATGATATTGGCAAGAGGAGAAATTCAGCCTTGGCCAAGATGAACAGTTTTTAAGCATTATATTCTTACCAACTATGTATCGTTCATTGGTTGAGTCAGTTGTTCACTGATCAGACACTTATTGAACACTGAGCATACATCAAACAGTGTAGGATGCTGGGGCTTCAAATATAAAGATGATGTGGTACATTTTCTTAAGGAACTTATAGATTATTGGTATTGAGAGTCATCTAAATAAAAAATTATATTACCTAGTGATCAGTGCTTCAATAGAGGCACGTTCAACATGCTGTGGGAAGAAATAGGCCTGAGAAACAAGCACTGGATGTTATGGGAAGAGCTTCACAGGGGAGGTAAAATTTCAGCTTAGTTTTATTTTCAGGATGAGAAGTTGTTTACCAGGTGGATGAAGAAAAGGGCAGGCCAGACTGAGGGGCAGAGCTCGTGGGTGTAAAATGACTGTAAAGCAAAATCTAGCCATTATAGCCAGTGGGGTGGCTTGATGGTGCAGCATAGAGATGTGTCCTTGGGGACAATGGCAGAGCAACACTCATAGACACTGTTCTGTCCAGAAAGATCCATCTCCACACAGTATGAGTGGACAAAAAGACTTCCAACTCAGGAGGGACTAGAAGGCATTTCTCTGCTGTGTTAGCAGGTTTAGTGTTCACAGTGAGCAGGAAAAGAAATATCTATTCCCTGAAGTTTCCAAGTGTGCACTGATCTGTTCAGTCACTAACAGCAACAGACATGGCTACAGCTAGTTCAATAAGCAGTACTTACTAAAGAAAGCCATCTGAACCAGAAGAAGACAATAATAATGACAGTCAAGATTCTGCTGCCCACAGTGGACAGACCTGGTAAGGGCCATACATATCATACACATTATATAAAGCCATAGAAATACTTGGAAATATTAAGCATTTTAGTATCATTGAAGAGTTAGAAGTAAGGCAGATGGATGAGAAACGTGGGTTGTATGCCATGCTTAGAAATCTAAACTTTATTTTGTATTTTATTATTTCCAAAACTGTGCTCAATGTCTGTGAGATATTATTCGTTAGGATTGCAATCCTATTCATTAGGATTGCATTCAACTGCAAGCAACAGAAAACCCGGAGTAGCTTACAATGATGCAGGAATTTAGCTTTCTTATGGGAAGTTCAGGGTTGGTTTATAAGCCAATAATGCCATTAGGGAAATAGGCTAATCTCACCTCCCTGCTCTCCCATCCTTAGTAGAAGTATATGGTGGCTGCCATACCTCCAGCATTACATCTTTATTCCAGGAAGGAATAGCAAGAATTGAAAAGGGTAAAAAGGAAGTGCTTTCCATGACTTCTGTCTACATGATATTGACCAGAATTGTCACTTAGACTCACCTGGCAGCCAGGAAGGCTAGGACATGAGTATTTTTATTTTTCCCACTTCCATAATTGAGAAAGATAAAAAAGGGGTTGCCATGGATGACAAGTGAGTCTTCAATATCAGACTCAGCTTCCCATAACTCAGTTTTTCTCCATTTCAAATTGAATATTTTGTGAAATACTTACTTCTTCTTGGAGACTCATGCACAGTAGAGCATCAGTTTCTGAGAAGTCTTGCAGCAAAGAAACCTGTTTAAATGTGCTTAAGCCAATGTTACCTTAGATTATTTAACCAGAGGATACTTCCTCAGTGAAACACCTTCCAACAGTGTGATTTGAAATTCACTGAAGATGTTATAACAGAGTGACCTAAAATGTGCCATTTGAAAGACAACTTTAGGTGAGATTGAAGATGGCAATCTTGGTAGGGAGATTGTTGGATGTTGCTTCAACAGTTCAGGCAAGAAACAATTTAGACTTGCTAAGGGGGTAGTAGTGAAGACTGAAAGGAAGAGAAAGTTTCAAGTAATGGAATTAATATTTGCAAAGGAGAATAAAAAGGAATTGGTGAGTACTGGAGAGTAAACAAACAAACAAAAAGCTTGATGAACAAACAGGAACTGAAGTTTTTAACTTGAGCAACCAGGAAGATATCAGTGTCATTAAATTATATAAGGAAAATAACAGGAGAAGTAGGTTTTGGAAATCAAAGAAAAAAGTTTATTTTTGGCCCTGTTTAGACAGATTTGTCAAATATAATTGACACCAATATTACATAGAAAGCAGGTTAAAACCTCTGTCATAAAAATAATTTTATTTAAGGACTGGAGGAACATTAATTGAATCTAGTTTTCCTTTTGGAAAGAAAGAAATATGCTTAACCACTTTGATATTTATTTATCCTTTCATTTACATTGCTTAATTGAAGAATAATTTATTGAGGTCTTGCTATATACTAGGTGCTTTATTAGGAGATGAACAAGGCAAGGGGTTTGTAATCTATAATGGACTCAAAACAACATGAAGGCATGAAGTATTTGGAAACAGCAAGATATAAAGGGGACATACAGGAGGGGAAATGGTGAACTTGGCATTTGAGCTGGATGTCGATGAAAGCGCAATATTTCAACAGGCAAAAATGGAGGGGGAAGGGCACTCAGAGACCCATTTTCCTAAATTTTTGACTCTCTTACTAAATGTTAATATTTAATCTTACTAAATGCAAGTACAGTCTCCACTTGGTATCCATGGGGGATTGTTTCTAGGACTCTCCCCTGATACCAAAATCCTCACATCCTCGAATCTCTGATATAAAATGTTGTAATATTTGTGTCTAACCTATGCATATCCTCCCATATACTTCAAATCATTTCCAGATTCCTTATAATACCTAATACAATGTAAATGCTATATAAATAGTTGCTATAGTGTATTATTTAGGTGATGATGACAAGAAAAACTTTGCACATGTTCAGCATAAATGAAATTAAAACAATATTTTTGACTCAGAGTTGCATGAATCCATAGATGCAAGGCCCACAGATTCAGGGGGCAGACTATATTTAATGTTATTCTTCAGAATGTTATGCTCCAAAAGAATGGGCATGAAATCTATTTTGTTCACTGCTGTATTCCTACCACCTAGAAAAGTACCAAACACAGAGTAGATGTTCAAAAAAGTTTTAACGAAGGAAGAATGTATTAGTTCGTTTTCACACTGCTGATAAAGACATACCCGAGAGTGGGGAATTTACAAAAGAAAGAGGTTTAATGGACTTATGGTTCCACATGGCTGAGGAGGTCTCCCAATCATGCTGGAAGACAAGGAGGGGCAAGTCACATCTTACATGGGTGGCAGCAGGCAAAGAGAGAGCTTGTGCGGGGGAACTCCCATTATTAAAACCATCAGATCTCATTATTCACCATCATGAGAAAAGCATGGGAAAGACCTGCCCCTATGATTCGACTACATCCATTAAGTTCCTCCCATGACACATGGGAATTGTGGGACTTACAATTCAAGATGAGATTTGGGTGGGGACACAGCCAAACCACATATCATTCCTTCCCTGGCTCTTCCCAAATTTCATGTTCTCACGTTTCAAAACCAATCATGCTTTCCTAACTGTTCCCTAGAGTCTTAACTCATTTCAGCATTAGCTCAAAAGTTTACAGTCCAAAGTCTTATCTGAGACAGCGCAGGTCCCTTCTGACCATGAGCCTGTAAAACCAAGGTAGTAAAAGCAAGCTAATTACTTCCTAGATACAATGGAAGTATAGGTGTTGGGTAAATACAGCCATTTCAAATGGGAGAAATTGGCCAAAACAAAGGGGCTATAGGCCCCATGTGAGTCCAAAATCCAGTGGGGCAATCAAATCTTAAAGCTCCAAAATGATCTCCTTCGACTCCATGTCTCACATCCAGGTCATGCTGAAGCAAAAGGTGGGTTCCCATGGTCTTGGGCAGCTCTGCTCCTGTGGCTTTGCAGGGTATAGCTCCGTCCAATCTGCTTTCACTGCCTGGCATTGAGCGTCTGTGGCTTTTCCAGGTGCCTGGTGCAAGCATTAGGTGGATCTACCATTCTGGGGTCTGGATGACAATGGGTCTCTTCTCACAGCTTCACTAGGCAGTGCCCCAGTAGGGACTCTGTATGGGGACTTTGACCCCAAGTTTTTCTTCTGCAGTGCCCTAGCAGAGGTTCTTCATGAGAGCCCTGTCCCTGTGGCAAACTTCTGCCTGGACATCCAGGTGTTGCCATACATCCTCTGAAATCTAGGTAGAAGTTTCCAAACTTCAATTCTTGACTTCTGTGCACCTTCAGGATCAACATCACGTGGAGGCTGCCAAGGCTTGGGGCTTGCACTCTTCAAATCCACAGCCCAAGCTGTACCTTGGCCCCTTTTAGTAATAGCTGGGGTGGCTGGTATGCAGGGCACCAAGGCCCTAGGTGGCACACAGCACAGAGATCTTGGGCCCAGCCCAAGAAACCATTTTTTCTTCCTAGGCATTTGGGCCTGTGTTGGGAGGGGTTGCTGTAAAGACCTCTGACATGCTCTGGAGACATTTTCTCCATTGTTTTGGGGATTAACATTTGGCTCTTCATTACTTATGCAAATTTCTGCAGTCAGCTTGAATTTCTCAGAAAATGGGATTTTCTTTTCTTTCACATTGTCAGGCTGCAAATCTTCTAAACTTTTATTCTCTGCTTCCCTTATAAAACTGAATGCCTTTAACGGCACCCAAGTTACCTCTTTAATGCTTTGCTGCTTAGAAATTTCTTCTGCCAGATACCCTAAATTGTCTCTCTCCAGTTCAAAGTTCCACAAATCTTTAGGGCAGGGGCAAAATGCCTCCAGTCTCTTTGCTAAAACATAACAAGAGTCACCTTTGCTCCATTTCCCAACAAGTTCCTCTTCTCCATCTGAGACCACCTCAGCCTGGGCCTTATTGTTCATATCACTATCAGCATTTTGGTCAAAGCCATTCAACAAGTCTCTAGGAAGTTCTTAACTTTCCTACATTTTCCTGTCTTCTTCTGAGTTCTCCAAACTGTTTCAACTTCTGCCTGATACCCAGTTCCAGAGTTGCTTCCACATTTTCAGGTATCTTCAGCAATGCACCACTCTACTGGGGTGTTATCATAATTTACTGTATTAGTCCATTTTCATGTTGCTGATAAAGACATACCTGAGACTGAGCAATTTACAAAAGAAAAAGGCTTAATGGACATAGAGTCCAACATGGCTGGGGATGCCTCACAATCATGGTGGAAGGCAAGGAGGAGCAAGTCACATCTTACATGGATGGCAGAAGGCAAAGAGAGAGCTTCTGCAGGGAAACTCCCATTTTTAAAACCATCATATCTCATGAGACTCACTATCATGAGAACAGCATGGTAAAGACCCACCTCCATGATTCAATTACCTCCCACCACATTCCTCTCACAACACATGGGAATTGTGGGAGTTACAGTTCAAGAGGAGATTTGGGTGGGGACACAGCAAAACCATATCAAAGAAATAATTAATAAATGGACAAAATGCTTGCCTTTGGTCTCTTTTTAATGCATTTTGTCAGATATCCATCATGTCCTTTTTGGCAGACATGTATAGGTCCTCTTTGTTTTTAATGAACTTGACAAAATATGAAGAATCGAAGAATGTGGATTGTGAATTTTTACTAGCCTTTGTCAGCAGGTTTCCAGGGAAATTGTAGTTTTGACTCTTTTCCATTTTTACATGAAGGATAAGAAAGCCACCACATCTGAATGTCCGCTGATGTATTGCCAGCATCTAGCAAGTGTTAGGTCCACAAATAACAGTTGAATAAATGCATACATTTGTGAATAAAATAATAAATCAACAAATAGAAAAGGATCACTGTTTAAAAAAAGTCTTCCTGCTGATGCAGAGAAAAGGGAATGCTTACACACTATTGGTGGGAATGTAAATTAGTACAACCTCTATGGGAAGCAGTGTGGAGATTTTTCAAAGAACTAAAAGTAAAATTACCGTTTGACCCAGCAATCCCACTACTTATTATCTACCCAAAGGAAAAGAAATCATTATATCAAAAAGATGTCTGCACTTGTATGTTTATTGCAGCTGTATTCACAATAGCAAAGATGTAGAACCAACCTAAATATCCATTAATAGATGATTGAAGAAAGGAAATGTGGCATACTACTCAGTCATAAAAAAGAATAAAGTTACGTTTTTTGTAGCAACATGAATGGAACTGGAGGTCATCATCTTAAGTGAATTAGAAAGTCAACACACAGTCTCATAAGTAGGAGCTAAGTAATGTGTACACATGGACATAGAGAGTGGTATAGTAAGGACTGGAGAATCAGTGGGAGGGTGGGAAGGATGAGATATTATTTAGTGGGTACAATGTACACTATTGGGATGATGGCTACACTAAAGGCCCAGACGTTACCACTATGGTTCACTTGTATCCCTTGAATCTATTAAAATAAAAATCTTCCTGTGGATCATTTCAACACCCTTAGTTTCATTCTCCCTAATTAGAATAGCTGTGGAAGATGATCTTTTAATTTCCCAAATTTGGAATAACTCATCAGAAACCTGTCATAAGCACTATTCAGTGTCAAATATGAAATGTGGGAAGCAGCTGTAGAATTCACATATCCTCATAATACATGGTGATTAATTTTGTTTACTCAAAAGAGGTGAGTTCATGCAAACAATTGGAAAAAATGTCTGGCTTCTTTTTGTTTTGGTGTTTTTTTTTTTTTTGACAGTATAACCCATGCACTTTGTATGTCTCAAGAAAGAACCACATTACTAAGTTTCACATCAACCTTATCCTGTGTAGGAAAAATACAATAGATTTTATTACTTCTTTATACATATTCACAACCTATGGCTCAGGTTTTGTTTTCTTTGTGCTTCTTGGAAATTGAAAGGACTAGTCTTTTATCAGGGTTGAGGACAAGAACATTGAATATGCCATTATAGCTTCTCTGCAGCAAATATACCCAGAGAAGGTTAAGAGACAATTACCAAATTGTAATCGGCAAGGCTAAATTGTTTTAGTTTTCTCAAAATAACAACAGCTTTTAATTTTAATGTTAAATACAATTTATACTTACTGTATAAAATTTGAGCAATACAGAAAGGCAAAAGTAAGATAGAAGGTTACTGAGGCCCAAAGAGTGTGAGGGTGCCCATTTCTCTGTATGCCTTTGCCTATACTGAGTAATGTCAAATCTTGATTGAGTGATAATTTAAATCATTATTGAAAACACAAGAAAACTATCACCTGCAAAATTGCTTACAGTCATCTCTGAAAATTATAGAATTTGGTGTTAACATGGCTTAATAGTGTTGAGTTTATGTGTTTTGGGCTTTCTGGAAGGGACTTGACTTCAGTATTTTATCCTAGTGGATGCATTAATAATAATAGTAGCTAACATTTATTGAGCATTTTTAATCTACTTCTAGATGTGTGAGAAACAATTATTCTTATAATATACATTTTACAAGTGAGGAAACTGAGGCACAGAAAGGTTAAGTAACTTATCCAAAGTCATATAGCTAGGAAACAAATTTTTCATTTTATGTCCTATTTTGTTAAAAAATATGGTTATCATGATTAATAGCTAACATAAAGACAAGAGATGGAGGCTGTACCTTTTCTTGTGCTGGGAAAGAGAGAACTATAATTATACAATTATACTGACAAAGGAATATCCCCAAATCACTAAGAGAGTAACGGGGAAGGTCAGGAGGGGTGGTATAGATCTAAGCATAAGAGCATAAATTTTATTAGTTTTCTATTGCCATTGTAACAAATTATATAAATTTAGTGGCTGGAAACAACACACATTTTTATCTTTACAGTTCCAAGGGTTAAAGTCCAACATAGGTCTCACTGGTTAAAATGAAGGTGTCGTCAGGGTTATGTCTCCTTCTGGAGGTTCTAGGGGGACATCTGTTTCCTTGCCTTTGCAGCTTCTGGAAGCCACCCGCATTCCTCGGCTTATTCCTTCCTCCATCGTCAAAGCAAGCTATGATTGTTTGAGTCTTCCTCCATTCTCACATCACACCATTCTGCACTCCTTTTCTGCCATCTTCTACTTTTAAGTACTTTGTGATTACATTGCCCCCACCCCCGAGATGATCCAGGATAAGCTCCCTATTTTAAGGTCATCTTACTTATGAACTTAATTCTATCTGTAACACATTCACAGGATCCAAGGATAGGATGTGTACATCTTTGAGGAGCAATAATTCTGCTTACCACAATACAAGTGGTCTTCAAAAAGTTCATGGAAAATGTGTATTATGAAAAAACTATACATGAATTTTTTTTTTGCACTAAAATAAACTCCTACTAATTTGTTATAGCATGTCTGAACAGGATCTAGTTTGAGGCACTAAGGAGGATAAGACATCAGTTTGAAAAGAGCCCCTATCAGAGAAACATAAGTTTGCTAAAATTGAAACAAGAATGACATTAAATTTATGGTGAAGCTTGGGTGGCAGATTGGTGAAATCATTGATGCCCTACAAAAAGTTTATAGGGACAATGCATCAAAGAAATCAGCAGTTTACAAGCAGATAACTCATTTTAAGAAGGGATGAGACAGGCCAGGCATGGTGGCTCAAGCCTGTCTGTAATCTCAGCACTTTGGGAGGCTGAGGCGGGCAGATCACGAGGTCAGGAGATCGAGACCATCCTGGCTAACACAGTGAAACCCCGTCTCCACTAAAAAATACAAAAAAATTAGCCAGGCGTGGTGGTGGTCCCCTGTAGTCCCAGCTACTTGGGAGGCTGAGGCAGGAGAATGGCATGAACTCGGGAGGTGGAGCTTGCAGTGAGCCGAGATCATGCCACTGCACTCCAGCCTGGGTGACAGAGCGAGACTCCATCTCAAGAAAAAAAAAAAAAAAAAAAAAAAAAAAAAGGGATGACACAATGTCAAACATGAATCCCACAGTGGCAAACCATGCACATCAATTTGGGAGAAAAAATTAACCTTGTTCATGCTCTAATTGAAGAGAACAAACAATTAACAACAGAAACAACAGGCAACATCAAACACATCTCAATTGGCTCAGCTTACACAATTCTGACTGAAAAAATTAAAGTTAAGCAAGCTTTCTTCTTGATGTGTGCTAAAACCATTGAACCCAGGGATCAGCTGCAGGCAAGAGCAGAGATTTCAAAAGAAATTTTAAACAAGTGCCATCAAGATCCTGAGGCATTTCTTCAAAGAATTGTTAACAGGAGGAGATAGACCATGGCTTTACCAGTACAATCCCGAAGACAAAGCATGATGAAAGCAATGAGTGCCAAGAGGTGGAAGTGGTCCAGTCAAAACAAAAGCAGACTGGTGAAGATGAAAGGTCACAGAAACAGTTATTTGGGATGCTCACAGCACTTTGCTTATTGACTTTCTGGAGCGCCAAAGAGCAACAACATCTGCTTATTATGAGAGTGTTTTGAGAAAGCCAAAGCTTTAGCAGAAAAGTGTCAGGGAAAGCTTCACCAGAGAGTCCTTCTCCACCACAACAATGCTGCTGCTCACTCTTTTCATCAAAGAATGGCAGTTTTGTGAGGGTTTCAATGGAAAACCATTAGGCATCCACCTTACAGTTTTGATCTGGCTCCTTCTGACTTTTTGTTTCCTAATCTAAAACAATCTTTAAAGGGCTCCCATTTTCCTTTAATTAATAATGTAAAAAAGACTACACTGACATGACTAAATTCCAAGGACCCTCAGATTTTTTAGGGAATGATGTTTAGGCTTTGTGTTCCCACTCAAATCTCATCTTGAATTGTAATCCCCATAATCCCCATGTGTCAAGGGAGAGACCTGGTGGGAGGTGATTGGATCATGGGGGCAATGTCCCCCATGCTGTTCTCCTGATAGTGAATTCTCATGAGATCTGATGGTTTTATAAGTGTCTAATAGTTCTTCCCTCACACACTTGCCTTTCTTGCCTGCTGCCATGTAAGACATGCCTGTTACCCTTCCGCCATGATTGTAAGTTTCCTGAGGACTCCCCAGCCATATGGAACTGTGAGTCAGTTAAACCTCTTTCCTTTATAAATTACCCAGTCTCAGGTATTTCCTTATAGCAGTGTGAGAACGAACTAATACAGGGATAGACTAATGGCTGGTATCATTGCTTACAAAAGTGTCTGAATTTGATGGAACTTACATTGAGAAGTAAAATTTATATTTATATTTTATCTTTTCTATTTTTTCCATGAACTTTCTGAAGTCCTCTCATAGGCGCCAAAGTCCCTCTCTCCCTTCTTGTTTCCTTCTTTCCTTCCTTTCTCTCTCCCTCCCCCTCCCTCCCTCCTTCCCTCCTTCCCTTCCTTCCATTCCCTCCCTTCCCTTCCCTTCCTTTCCCTTTCCTTTTCTTTCCTTTCCTTCTTTCCTCCTTCCTTCCTTCCTTCCTTCCTCCCTCCCTTCCCTTCTTCCTTTTATCCTTCCCTCCTCCTTTCTTCCTTCCTTCTCTCCTTCCCTCATTCCATCCTCCCTCTGTCTTTTCTTTTTTCTTATTTCCTTCCTTCATTTTTTTAATCTATTAAAAAATACTTATGAGTGCCTCTATAGTTGAAACATGGTTCTAGTGTCTAAGGATATAGCAGAGAACTTAACAAATCAAGTCCCTACCCTCATGGAGTTTACATTCCAGAGAAGGAAATGAATAATAAACAAATACATTTATGACAAATGTCAGGTCATAGAAAGTGTCCTGAAGATAAGGAAAGTAAAGAGAGAAGGTGGAGAGTGACAAAGGCCGGGAATGTATGGTGATTTTTGGTAGAGATTAGGGAGGGCCGTTCTAAGAAGACAACTGTTGAGTACAAACCTGCATGAAGTGAGGGGTCTCAGAGGTGAGCATTCCAGGCAGGAGAAATAGTGAGTGCAAAGACCATGGCATGAGAAAGATGGTAATTTTGGAGAAACAACAATGAGGTCAGCATGTCTAGAATAAAGTGAATGAGGCAGGAATTGGTGAGAGATGAGGATAGCATGGCTCAACAGCCAGGTCCTCTAGGGCCTGTGGGCCATGAAATTGATTCTGGGAGATATAGAAGTTTTGATCAAAGGAATAGTTGATCTGACTTGCATTTTGAAAAGCTCATTCTGCCTGATGTATAGTTTAGTACCTCTGAAAACATGAGAATGGAAGTAAGACAACCAGGGAAAAGGCACCTGCAGTAATCTAAACAAAATGTAATGCTGCTTTGAACTATGGTGGTGAGTCATAGTGGCAAGATGTCAGATTCAAGGCAGAACTTAACATGGGCTGTAGGAGGGTACAGAGAAAAGAGAGGGGTCAAGACTGTATCTTATGTTTCAGCTTGAGCAACTGGGTGAATGCTTCTACATTCTAACAGGGATGGTAAACACGAGAAGGAATAGATTTTGAGGAGTGGTGAAATTGAGAGAAATTTTGGACATGTTGAATTTGTCTGCTAGGGATCCAAATTGAGATGTTTTGAAGGGAGTTGGATATCTGAGACTGGAATTTTAGGAAGAAAACAGGCTTAGAGATAGAAATTTGGAAGGGATCAGCTTATGGAAGTTTATGCATGGAGGTCAGGCACAAACATTGGAGAATAGGAGAGTGAATTGCTCACTGGGTGGTGCCAAGGAACCTCTAAGCTTTGTGGTCACTTAAGATAGTACAGGTTAGCACAGCTGTGTGTTTTCTTGGGCCACATGTACTTTGCATGCATTGGGTAGTGAATGAGGAGGTTGGAAGATGACTGAAACGAGGATCCAGGTGCTTTGGATTGGAATTCCAATTCCTCACTTCCATGCTATGCCTGGTAGCCTTTTTCAACTCTATTTTCCTGACAATGGAGGAAATAGCAAGGCTTATTTCTAAGGACTGTTGTGAGGGAGGACAAAGGAGTACAAAGGGCTTAGCCTAGCATCTTGAGCAGAATAAGAGCTTAGTGGTTGGCAGCTAGAATCATAGTTATGGTATTTACTATCATCATCAACATCAAGATAAGCAACATTGCATCATAGTGTTCCAGAGTATTGAACTTATTTTTTAAGGAATAATATGTTTAGAATATCTGTCTCCAAAATGTCAAACAATAATGTGAGGTGAGTAACTGAGCTTAATATGGATAATAAATCACTCACAAAGTAACATTTTTTGACATCCAGAAGTCCTCACTCTTTTATTTTGGTTCTTTAACCAGTTCTATATATTTCACATCCCATTTCAATGAATCCTACTGATTTCTATACTGCCCTCAACCACTTATTTCCTGTAACATTAGTTACCTTTAGTGTCCCTCTTTCAAGATCACTTTTAGATCCTCCCATATAACTCCTTATGCTGAAACAGTTTTATTTTTTAATACTCAACTTTCATAGAAGAGACCCTTTAAATATGAGATGATCAGGAGTTCAGTTGCTAAAGATTCTGGTGTTAGAGTACTAACAAGAAATGGATGAAACACTCAAAATGATGTGAAGAGGGTTTTGTGTTTTGTTTTGCTTTCTTAAAAAAAAACAAACAAACAAAGAAGTGAGGACCACAAGAGATAGTATAGTAACTCAGGGCTACTAGTTGTGACTGGTAAGATCCCCAGGTTTGAAGAAAGATCAGGAGAAAAAGCAATTAATTATTGGTTTTAGCCCAAGAAACCCCCACAGTCAAGGAACCAGGGAAATAATTCTTCTGACCTAACTCTCCTCCCAGCCCCATGCCCCACATCTCCTTTCAGGAAGCCCCACTGGCTGACCCAAGCAGAAGCCAGTGGGTGCAGGACCTCACTGATGTGGTCCATCCCAGAGGAGGCTGACACTCTCCCAGGCAGGGAGCAGCGTAGGGGAGGATGGGGAGTGCACTTGGAGGGACTCAGTCACTTGGTAAAAAGATCTGGCACATTGCCTGTTTTGGGACTTCTCTACTGAACACCTGCTCTCAATGCAAATAACTCCTGTAGGAAGCAGTTCTTTCCATCTTCCGATTCACCCACCTGGAACACCTGGATGGCCATCGCTGTGTAACATCAGCCTCCAGCCCTCATTTATCTTTTCTCCTCTTACCTCCATCTCGCTTTAAAATAGATTTCTTTAATTAGGCTTCAAATGAGAACCTTTTACTGAACGTCTCCATTCAAGTAGCTACATACATAAAAAAAGCTGTAGGAACTTAATACATTCAACTCACCACATCTCATCCTCACTTGATGTGCTTTATGTTTGAATTATATTGCTTGGGTATATTACTTTGAGTGTTCCTGGGCCAGGTATGGTACCATCCCTGAGACTATATTCAGGAGTTAGTGTTCCATAGAAGGTAATGAGAAACAAATGAATCTTAAAGGTATGTCATAAAAAGCTATTTAAAAACATTAGCATCAAGTGCCCTTCTAAAGCCAGTTACTTAAGCAGATGGTGTTTTTAAAGAAACACTGTAGAGTTAGTTCAGGCTAGCAATAGTCTATAGATTATTAAATTGCTCTGACCTTATGATTGTTAATATTCCTGATATAGAAATAGATTTAAAAAATTGCCAATATATGCAATAGCCATGGTGTTTCAAGAAACATTTCCAGACCTCTCTCTCCAGTTCTATAGATTCTAAATAAAATGATGGTGTCCTTTTGAGAGGGACCTGCTGAGTCCCCAAGGGGACAAGAAACAAATGCTGTTATTTTGGCTCCAAAAGGAAACCAGGAATATTTCTAAGGCTTTTCTAGAATAAGTAAAAACCGAGTAAAAACTTGGAGACCGAGTAAAAACTTGGTTTTGAGATTGGATTTTGCTTGGAAGAGTGCCCCCTGCCCCTTGAACAACTGTAGGAAGAGGAGAAAGGGAATGCCATCAAAAATTGCAGAATTAAACAGGTCATCTCGGGGGTTGGGGCTGGCTCTGTCGTCAGACAGATGACCGTGAGTGAGGTGCTCAGGAGGGGGACAATGATCCATGTGGCCACTTCTTTGGCTTCCAGCTTCAACCATTGGTGGTGGGAGCAGAATGGCCTTGGAAGCAGGTGGGACTGCCATTCTTGATTCTCTTTTCTAATTATATGAAGTGTGGAAAAAGGATATTGGAAACAGAGACCCAGCTGTGCCCGGTGACAGTACAAACACAATGAGGACAAAGAACTCCAAACGCAAAAGGGAAGCTGTTTTAATCTCAGGTGCCTGCACTCTTCTATCACTATATAAAAGAGAGCGAGCAGAAATAATAGAAGAGAAATAATAAAATGAATGGGTCTCCCTCTTGTCATTCCTTCTGGTACCAAACCTTGAATCAATCACTCAAGAGAAGAAAGCTCACAAGATAAAGTGAGGAAAATGGAGTAGGTCACTAGCTGTAGAATTTAGAGGGTGTAGACTAATCAAATTCCTTCTACTATGCAGCCTTGATAGTGAATTTAAAGGATCTGTTTGAAAAAAGGGAGATGTTATCTCAGGGAGAGAAATGAGGCACAGAGTATAGTATTTACCCCAAGATAAGGTAAGTATTTATGTCCTTCCCTTCTCTCATCTTCATCCCTCCTCTTCCCTGTCTCTGTCTGCCTTTCCTTTACACAGTGTTAGAAATAATTCCAGAGACTGAACAGCTTGTGAGCTGCCTACGAAAGTGTTTAAGGAGCTGGAATCTCAGGGCAATAAAAATAATTCAGAGTATTCTCTTCATGTGTCATAGACACAGCTTGAAGGACAGAACAAACTTCATACAGTAATGTAGATCCATTTTGTCTAGTTCCTTAAGTAGCTAAAGTTTTGCTGATTACATCATGTACTATTTTTAGTAAGACTTCAGTGTAACCATGGAAACTGCTTTTGCTGAAAACTCTCACACTATTTCCTTTGAAATTAGCCATAAAGAAGAAAACCTTTGCAGAAAACTAATAAGAAATAAATGAGTTATATTCAAGGGAGAAAAAAAACACAACTTAGTCACAAAACTATTTACATGTATATAGACACCTGTACACATGTGTGGGACACAGTTATGCATAGACTTATATTTGTATGTAAAATCACTTGAATTTTTGCATTCTTTTTGACTGGTAACAGCCTGAGCATATGACAAAATGTAGTTTATTACAATGGTACAGCACTGAATATAAATCTGAAGGGAAGCCTGCCCCTGAGGAACCCAGAAGCACTGTTTCCTAGCAACAAGAGATAATAGAAAGTTTCGCAAGACAATCCTTTTGTCCAGTTGGGAACTTGCTTGGGTTTGAGCAGTAGGTGTGAAAAGAACAATTCCCCACACCACTTTGAAAAGACTGAACTCGTCCCTCCAAACATTGCCTTGGGATGAAAGATGGTTAGTCAGGTGACTGTGCATCGTAGAGTTATTTAATGCAGTTTCATGGTTCTACCCTTTGGCAGGCAGGATGGTTACCCTAAAAGTGTCCACACTGATCCCTGACACCAGTGAATATATTATATTACATGGCTAAAGGGACTTTACAGATGGAATTAAGGTTATAGACATTAAAATAGGCAGATTGTTCTGGATTATCTATGTGGGGCCAATTTAATCACATGAGCCCTTAAAAGCAGAGAACTTTTTTTGACTAGAGTCAGAGTTATGTGGCAGAGAGAGATGTCAGAGACATTCTAGGTGAGAAGGACTCAACTCACAGTTGATGGCTTGAAGATAGAAGTGGTCATGTGGAAACTATGAGAAGAAAATGAATTATTTCAACAACCCAAATGAGCCTGGAATGAGCCTGGAATTCCCACCATAGCTTCCATGGGTGATAAGAGCCAGGTCAACCACTTTGATTTTGGCCTCGTGAGATCCTAAGCAGAGTACCCAGCCAAGCCCTCTGGACTTCCGACCTAGAGAACCGTGAGATAGCGAATGGGTGCTGCAAACTGCCAGATTTGTGGCACATTTGTTACTACAGCACTAGGAAACCGATACATACTCCAAAACATCTGTGTTAGAAATGTCACATAGTAGTGAATCTTCCTTCCCACTGGTGCAAAAAGGACAAAGAGAGAACTTCTTTGGGTGTCTTTAAAAAGTCTAATTGCCATTTATCAAAAACTTGAAAACCTCATACCCTTTGACAAGCAATTATGCTTCCTGGAATTTGTCTTAAGGATGAAGCTTTGTTGTAAAAATGTTGAATGCTTATGATGTTATGTATACCAGCACAAAATTAGAAACAACCTAAAATTTTGTCAGTAGGGTTCTGGATAAAAAAATTATGGACCACTGTTAAATAGAATATCATCCTTCATTAAAATTGTGCTGCACAGAAATATTGGTTGACCTGGGAAAATGTTCATGTTACAAATAATTAAAAGGTTGGGGAAACAGTAATTGAAAAAGGGATATATCTATATCTATCTGTTTGTCTGTCTGTCTGTCTGTCTATCTATCTATCTATCTATCTATCTATCTATCTATCTATCTATCTATCTTTCTATGAAAAAGGCTGAAAGTATGTCAAAGTGTTTAGTGCTGTTTCCCTCTGGGTGGTGTGAACATATGTTTTAAAAAAATTTCTATGATGAAAATATGTAACATATGTCATTAAAAAATCTAATAAATACCATTAATATTATAAAATAAATAAGAGCTTGATACTGAGTAGAGCTGCCAGTAGTGGAGCAGTTTAAGGTTGTGCATCAAACAGAGTTTCTTTCAAAAAGCTCACTAGTTTGCTGGCTTGGAAATGGGACTCTATGACCTCGGTTTCCTCCTGCTTCTTAATTATTTTTCTTCAAGGCTGGTTTAGGAGAATACCTGGAACATACTCTCTTTTGTGTTAGATAGGATTTGCGCAGTTGCAAGTAACAGAAACCCAATTCCAAGCAGCCAAGCTTCAAGTAATGAAAACATCCAGAGATAGACCTTACCTTCAGGTAAGGCTGGATCCAGGTGTTTCAACAATGTCTTCATGGTTCCATATTTCTCTTTACCTCATGGATAAGCTCTTTCCCCTAGCCAAAAAGAGCTCTGCTAGAAAAGTCCATTGAGGATTCTGTCCACAGGAATCATATCCGGTCACAGGAACCAGGAAGATGAGTATTTTGAAAGGTTAAACCTATGGCAGGGTTAGCCTCACCTGAGTTGCATGAAATGGCTTTCCTAGAGGAAATAAGGGTTCTGTTAGCAAAATAGGGAGAAGCAATACTGTACAGGAAAAACAAGAGCTATCCATCAGACAACCCATGCAGAACCCAGGCTTTGGACAACCAGACAACCAGTCAACCAGAGTTTTCATTGACAGCGTGTCGAATCCACTCCCTATCAAGTAAGTTCCAGGCCCTGCTCTTCCAATGAAGGCTCCTACTGCTAAGGGAAGCTGGACCATCCCTCATCTCCAGGCACTCCAAGCAATTCATAATTGTGGCAGAGATGGGCCATTGCTACCATCTGTTCCATAGCCTGTGCCATTGCTCTCATACTTCACCAATTCTGAAACTCGAGAACAATTATTTCTACTTTTGAGGAACACTGTGCAGTGTCACATTAAAAACAATTCATGACTATGATAAGAGTTGGATCATCTAGTTTCTTCCTAACCCATAATGAGTTCCTTGCCTTTCTAGCCCAATCTGGAAGGAAGTCAGTAAATATGTGTTGAATGAATGACTTCTGAGGTTGGGATGAGTATTTGTTCCCCTTCTTTGTTCACATCCTCACATCATAGCCACAGGATTTTCACTGTCTACCCTAATGTCGTCTTCACTGAGGCTCCCAGGAAATTGAGGCAGCTCCCAGAACCCTTGAAAGCCCAGAGTTCACAGGTGGTCATTCAAGTTATGCTCTCCATTCAAAGTGTACAATAACGAAGCCAACTATTATTATGAATTGCCTAATATTCTACAAAATTGAAACCTTCTATTTTTCATACCTCCTCTACATCATCCTCAGCTACTAAAAATGACTGTGGAATTTTGAAGAAAATATTTTAAAGCTATGGTAAGTTCTGACCAGTCTTTGAGGGTTTAGGCAGAGTCCCTGGGATAGGAAGAAAAGAGGCTGGAGTTTCTTTCAGGTATCTGGATTTTCTAACCTTGTTTACGTTTCTCTGTAAGTGAGAATGCTGTTTCTGAATATTCTCTGCTATCAGGAAATTGTACATTATGGGTCCTCCATATTTGGGATGGTTAACAGCAGGAGAAAATGAGGAGCTGAGGACTTTTTCTATGGAATGCATATTGGCTAATGATCAACACTATGCGGCACTATGCAGAGAGCAGGGCTGGGTGACCTCTGGTCTCTTCCACTTAGAAATTCTCTGTTTCTGATGCTCCAGGAGGATCTTTGGCAAGATCTTCTCAGATTGGCAGCAATTGTCTTGTACTTTCTCGAAAAGTCTTGAAAAATACTCTTGAGGATGTGAAAAAGGCCTAGAAATCAGAGGCAGTGTGTACTTTCAGATTATTACCCATTCCTTGAATTCTCTTTGGGGGATACTTGCTAGATAATTGCCAGAACAAATCACTGAGTGACTGCAGGACCTGCAAGCCAAAGGCTGTCCCTAGGCAGAACAGCAAAGTAGGCAAAGTTGTCATTTGATGCATTTGTTTCACCCTGCTCCATCCCTGCTTCCCATCTCTGGTTTTCCCACGGTTTTATGCTACCTCCCTCCCCCGCTCCAGCTCTCTAGGACCATCTGCTGCACACCCTACTAAAGCAAATGCTGGTCTTGTCCTGATCTCTTTCTGTGTAAGCACAGGTTCATGCAATATTCCAGTTTCTCAGGTATCCTCCTTGAATGACAGTTCTTTTTGAGTGACAATTAGCTCATCTGGCAAATGTATCTTTGCTATTGAATTAATGTTTCCTATGCCATTTTCAGGTTAGCAGGGGCTCACTGGAGATAGCATGTTAACATGCTGAAGCCTGATTAAGGTCTAAAGGACCTTTTCTTGACACTACTAAGCCATACAACTGGTCCGTGGCAGAGCCAGGAATGGAGAGTCTAAGCCTTCTTATTTAAAACCTAAAGAGTAGTTTCTTCTAGTATTTTTCTGTGGAGGCATAGCCAGTTTAATCTGCTTTTGAGAACTACCTCCCCACCCCACTCTAATTAATTAAGTTACATCTCACACATTATTCCATTCTACCAAAAATAAATGGGTACACTAAACTTGGTATGTTTATTTCTTTTTTTACACCCTTATAATTTGTATTTCATTTCTGCTATTCCATGGCTAGTGGGCTCCAAATCACCAGAAACCACTTAATCACCAGGCTTTCTATATTAAGCTCGTATTATCTGTCTGTATCATTAGATGCTGCCTCCTACTCGAATCTCTAGCCTCTTTTGGTATTCCACTGGTTCTCTTTCTTCTTCTCTGATTAATTCTTTTTCTCATTAACTGTTTTCTTTTCCTTTGTCTAAACCCTTATGACTGGAGCTTCCATAAGAATCACTTGGACTTCTCTAACTCACTCCCTAACCCATCGAGCTAATCACGAAATCATCAGCCCAACATCTGCCAAGTCTCAACACTGTGGCTATTGCTTTGATTTAATCCCTTGTTACTTTTCTTTGAACTTTCTCAAAGTTTCCTCTCTCTAGTCTCTTCCCCTATACATCTGTCTTACACACAACTTGAGTCACCCAGTCTTGATATTCTCACTATGCCTCAAATGCCTTTGTGTGTCTCTATTCCTATTCAAAGAACTTGCTACACCATTTGTAGCTGTCTTTGAAGTCCTATCCCTTCATTATTCTCTTGCCCTTCTCCCCACAGTCTCCATTCCTTTAATTAACCACATTCAAGAGAGAACCAGGTGGGCCCCTCATTTTTCATTCCTGGAAACACCTCCAGTATTAGTTCCCCAAAATGGCTGCCACAAATGACCACAAACTGATGGCATAGAACGACAGAATCATACTCTCTCACAATTCTGGAGGCTATAAGTCCAAAATCCAGCTGTTGACAGGACTGCACTCCCTCAGAAGGCTCTAGTGGAGAAACCTTGCTTGCCTCTTCCAGCTTCTGGTGGGTCCTTGTGTTCCATGGCTTATGGCAGCAGCACTCCAGTCTCCACATGGCCTTCTTCTTCTCTGTGTCTCTGTGTGCCTTCTCCTTTTCTGTCTGAGAATATTTTCTTAGGATTTAGGGCCCACCCAAAACCCAGGATGATCTTATTTTGAGGTCCTTAACTTAATTGCATCTGTAAAGATCTTATTTCTGAAGGTCACATTTACAGATACCAGAGGTTAGGACTTGGACATATTTTCTGGGGGGACACAATTCAACCCACTATATGTTCCTCTTCTGAATCTATTCCTTTATAATAACAATCTTTCCTCCTGAAGGATTGCCATTTTAACTGGTCTAAATCCAACCCAGTTTGGGAACTAGCCAAAATCCCAACTTCTCCATGGGGTTTTCCCTGAGTCTTCCAGAATTATTGTCTTTTTCAAACTCCCGGAGTACATTGTACCTCTCCAGTAGAATTTCATATAAAGTCCTTTGAGGTAGAAGTATTTATAAACCTATCTATTTTTCTTCTCCAGGAGACTTAATTTCTGAGAGCAAGATGACCTTTGCAGCCCCACTGGAGATTTCCAAGTTGGAGTTATTTATACATTAGTTGTATTGAATGGACTACAAAGTCATGGGTCTACTATGACAGATTTCATGTCCATGGGTGGCAGTGAGAATTTCTATGGGTTGACAGGGGCCACGGTCTCTTTTGCCCTGTCCAGATAGGATTTAAAGATAGGGGTACAATTTAAACAAGATACAGCAGTTAAGCAGCCCCCATTGAATCTTGAAGACAAAGGTAAACTGTCAAAAGAAGGATCCTTTTGAAACATCTGCACTGAGTAACAAGCTTTTTTTTTTTTTTAAATAAAACAAAACTGAGTAGTCATATAATTTATAGGCTGCTAAACTCTAAAAGAGGGTCTAGTGGTATTTCGCTCCAATCATAAAGCTAAGTGAATGTATGATTTGCCCAAAGCCATATGCCATACAACTCGTCCATGGCAGAGCCAGGAACAGAGAGTCTAAGCCTTCTCATTCAAAACCTAAGGAGTAGTTTCTTCTAGTATTTTTCTGTTGAGCCATAGCCAATTTAATCTTCTTTTGAGAACTGTCTCCCCACCCCACTAATTAATAGCAAGGATGACAAAATTTACTTTGTTTTAAAGAAGTTTTGGATTCCTGAGTGTCTTTAGTATAAATATCCTAAATTGGAAAATAAACAAGTGCAAATAACACTGAGATGTATTTCTAACATATAAAATAGCCTGTTTGCAGTTATCTCTTCAACATGCTGATTTCATTTCCTTTGGATATATACCTTGTAGTGGGATTCCTGGATCATATGGTAGTTCTATTTTTAATTTTTGAAGCACCTCCACACTGTTTTCTATAATGGCTGTACTAGTTTACATGTCCATCAACTGTACAGATGGGTTTCCTTTTTTCCACATCTTTGCCAGCACTTGTTATCTTTTTGTCTTTTTGATAATAGCCTTTCCAACTGGGGTGAGGTGATACCTCATTGTGGTTTTGATTTGCATTTCCTTGATGATTAGCGATGTTAATTTTTTTTTAAATATATCTGTCGGCCATTTGTATGTCTTCTTTTGAGAATGTCTATTCAAATCTTTTGCCTATTTTCATATCAGTTTATTATTATTTTTTTGTTACTGAGTTGTTTGAGTTCTGTATGTATTTTGGATATTAACCCTTTATCAGATGTATAGTTTGCAAATATTTTCTCCCATTCAGTAGGTTGTCTCTTTATTGTTTCTCTTGCCGTGCAGAAGCTTTTTAGTTTGATGTAATTCTACATTTTTGTTTTTGTTGCTCATGATGTTTATTGCAGCCCTATTCACAATAGCCAAGATATGGAACCAACCTAAGAAGTGTCTATCAATAAATAAATTGATAAAGAAAATATATACACATCTACACAGTGGAATACTATGTGAGGTAATGCATTTGTTAATTAGCTGGATTGAATTATTCCCCAATGTATATATACTTAAAAACATCATGTTGCATGTGATAAAAACACATAATGTTATCTCTCATTTAAAAAACATATGTATAAACTAGCCTGTTCAGTTTTTAATCTCATCTTTTCACATCCTTACTAATAAGCAAAAGTCAGTAGATCATGTGTTCTTTGGGTCTTGTGGTCATTAGGGTGAATCAGAAAGGTTTTACTCTAATTGCTTACTCCCTGTGTAAAGCACTATGCTGACCAAGGTGCAAACAATTTTCCTTAGCGACAAAGTGAATCTCTAGGTCAAAAGTCCTCAACACATTTTATTTGTAATTCTTACATGTGTTGTTACCAACATGGGAATTATTAGAAGCTATTCTTTTAAAATTACATATACTGGTTATAATCATTTTTGGATGTAAAGTCAGGAGCAAAGATTTATGCTTGATTTGTAAAATTATGTATTTGGAAATCTTGTAGTGATATAAAGTTAAATCCAATTTAGGTATGCATTTAACAAATCAAGTTTTTTAATGCAAAAAGAATAAAATTGGGTTATCCAAGAAAATCTAGGACATGTGGTCACTGTGCCATGCTTTATCAGGGTTGCTAAAAGCCATATGTAAATAATATATATACACATACTCAAAAACATCCTAAAAATGGGTTAAATGATAGAATTAACAGAGTCATGGAGTAATTGATGAAATAGAGCTGAAAAAAATACTCAGAGTGCAGGAGTTAGACGGTTTCTTATGATGCCTCACATTCTTATGATATTAAACTGTTGTTAATAACAACACCAATAATAATAATAGCTAATATTACTGAGCTCTAACTGTATGCCCAATATATGCTTTTGCTTTAGTAGAACCTATTCTAAGAGCTTTGTGTCTGTTCACTTATTTAGTCCTCTAAATTAACCTATGAAATAGGTGCTAATAATAAAGTAGCCAGTAATATTATCCATTTACCATTTTACAGGTGAGGAAACTGGGGCACAGAAAAAATGGGGACGTGCCTAAAGTTACACAGCTAATAAATAGCACAGTGAGGATTGGACTGTGGAATTTAGGCTGCTCACAAACCTGTTTTCCTAATCTTTATGTTATCAAAATTTACTTAAATTTCACCATATATTTGGCTAAATATATTCATAATTTAATGAAATTTAAGGAAGGCTGGGAGGATTGGTTAAAATGGTTCTGAAATAGTGCACATGGTGATGGTAATGTTTGTTTTATCTTCTGGCTGGTGGTTATTGGGAAAGGTGCATGAAGAGGCAATTCTTTTCTTTCCTGCCATTAATTTGTTTCCAACCCTCTGGAATGATTAGGTCCATTTGACAGCCAAGCATGCAAACACAGCATGAAAAGTTCAGGAGTTACCCCAGCCGCAGGCACCATAAGGATGGAACATACTGATGGCCGAACTGTTCTCCCATGCAGCCAGGTGCTCTGGCTCCATGCAGGTGGAGTAAGACAGCAGGCCCTGGGATCTTGGCTCCACTCTGATCACTGTTCTTGCCTCTCCTCTTGTCTTCCTATATCCCTTTTACTTCTAGCACATGCCATGACTGGCTCTGTCATGGAGAGCAACAGGAGAAGCTAAGTGGGTTGGCATTTACATGTGAAATGGTGAGTGCTTTGGGACTGTCCTTTTAAAGGAAAGAATCTTCCACTTTTATCCACTTCTCTTACCTGGGATTCCGGAAACAAGAGTTATGTCATTTGCTCATTTTATGTATTCCTTTCTTAGTGTGTGCAGGTTGAATTTTTTTTACATGAGATAAACTTTGGTTAGGTTCAAAATCCAGTTGATCACAGACCTATCTCATCACAGTTTAGTTATCAGCAAACTCATCATTTAGAGTAGTGTGTAGTTCTACGATGAACCAAATCCATGTGACAGGCCAGGTATGCCTTTCTCATCCCTGTCATTCAGGAATTGTCTCCTTTTGTCTCCTCAGAAAGTAGACAAGCAAAAGGGGGATAGATATTTATTTTGGGGCTATCACGTGTCATGTGGTCCACATATATCATTTCCTTTATTTCATATAACAACTCTGAGACACACATTATCACCCCATTTTACAGCTGTCCAAATAGAGGCTTAGAGAGGCAAGTTCAAAGAGCTGAGTGGTAAAATTGGGATTTGATTCTCAGTTGGGTTGATTCCAGTGTTAGAGTACTTTCCATGGTGTCATCACCATGGGGGTTACGTGCACTTTAATTGAGAACCAGATGTTAAACAGAAGGGATCTAGCCTTTCAGTAGAGTTTTGGGCATCAATGCAATACTACTTTTGAGGACTCCTTATCCTGAAATTATGTCACAGATGTAGTGATTTAGTGTTCCTCTGTGGATGATCATCCCTTGTGGCACAGTACAATAACTAGTCTTATAGTACATAAAGGGAAGGGTACCCTCCCAGGAATTATGAGATTGGTGTATTTCACACAAGTTTTAACTCTTATGGGCAAGAATGACTTATCAATTAAGGGCATCTTTGTCCAGGCAATTGATTGCAATTGACGACTGAGAAATAAACAGGACTCTTGTTAATGAACTTGGTAATAGATACTTCCCGTTACTCACGTTGGTCCAGGTTCAGTTGTTGACAACCTTTTGAGTGACACGCAGGGGTACTGACAGAGAAGTACCATACCTGGGCATTACCCTAACTGGGGGTGGTTGTAGACTAGAGAGCTGCTCCTTCTCCTTTAGTCCTTATATGATCTCCAATGGAGAGCTCATTCAAATTAGATTGCTCCATTACCCACTACCCTCTCTATGCAAATAACTTCCAAATCAGCATCACCCATAATCTCTATTTCTACAATATCCCTTGCCTACCAGGGATTTTAATTGGACATGCCATAGTCACTACAAGCCCAAATTTCCCAAACCAAACTAACTGTTTCCCTTCAAAGCAAGCTCTTTCTCCCAAACAGTCCCTCTGCTGGTAACTCAATAATGTTAGTCATCCTTGCTTTGGAGTCTTTTATAATGTCTCTCTCTTCTTTATCCCTTTGCAAGTTCTGCCATTCTCTTTTTCCTAGGTAAAATTTCTGGGACCCATTTCCTCATCCCTATTTCCATGAACACCACTCTAGCCCTGCAATGGCCTGCCTGGCTCCTACTCTCACACACCCCAATTTTCCTGCACCTGCAAACTGGGTTCTATCTTCAAGTCTTGAAACTCATTCCATTTCTAGAGAAGGAAAAAATTAAAAAGCACTGATCTAATTGTTTTTCTCCCCTCAAAAACAAGCACCATAGTTTTAATCATGAATTTTAAAAAACTTTAATTTTTTATTAGTCAAGTAATATGTGAATATTCTCCTCATGAGAATTAAAACATTATTGTTAAGGCTAAAGTCCCTATTGCCCTCCCTACCTGCTCCCAGCGAATTATATTTGTTTACATCCTTCCAGATATTTTCTTAAGCCTTAACACACATATATGTATTTGTAGAAAATAGAAACTATTTTTTCTGTTTTAAATAACAATTATCACACATAAAAGTATCATTCTGTTATGTGTGACATGCATTTTACTCATCTTCCATTTATTGAACACATAATTTATTGGGTGGCTACTAGGTGCTAGGTACTGTTCCAAATTACAGAGAATACATTGGACAACCAAGAGAAAGAAAACCAAACCACCTGAGTTCATGGAGTTTACACGGGCAATCTATTCATATGGTACAAATAGATACATTTCATGCTTTTCAATGACTGTGTGACACTCCATAATATGGGTATGATAGAATTTATGTAGCTATTTCTGTATTGGTGGATATTTAGATCATTTCCAATGTTCTGCTATGACAAACAATACAAGCACCCTTGTAAGTGCCTCCTTGGGCACCTGTGTGTATCTCTCTAGGACAGATGCCAAGGGGCAGAACTGCTGAACCATGTGCCCTCCAAAGAAATTCCAGCACTTCCAGCAGCGTGTAAAAGAGGACTCACTTCTGCATATCCTTGGCAATGCTTGATGTCATCTCAATTTCATGCATTTCATCCATCTCATGAATAAAAATGATGTTTTGCTGTTATTTAATATAAATCAAATTTTTATAAAATGCCCATCTATTCGCTGTTTTGGGTAAAATGTATAGACTGAGTTAAATCACTATGACCCATTATTATTGGTAACATCATTATTTGTTCAACTCATCCAATGTTTATTGAATTGAGAACCATTTCAAATGTTATGGCACACCAAGACAGTCACTCACCCACATAGCCTGCTCCCTTTCTTGGCTCCCCCTTGAGAAGGAAGCCTGAAGCAGGCAGGACCTGTCCCAAACTCCAGTGGGTAGACAGGGAGACATGAGAGACTGCAGGGAGAGATGGTGAAGGGTAGGGAATAGGAAGGAAGCTGAGCTAGTGTGCAAAGCCAGATTCCTGAGATATGTACACGTGCACACACACACACACACACACCCTCACAGGGGCAAAGACCAGGGGCATCTATCTGTGCCCATGCCCCAGGGGCTGCAGGAATATCAATGAAAGACCAGGTGTCCAGGAGGCATTTCACTTCTTTCTGCCGAGACAGCTGAGCCAAGGTCACTGGACTTTGCCTTCAGGCCATGTTGGCCTTGAGCCAAGCCAGCTTTGATAGTGGCCACCAGCTTCAGAAACTTGCTCTTCCCATTCATGTGTCCATCACCTCTCTTCTTGTAGTGAACCAGCTACCGTAAATACCACCATCACTTCAAAGAACCTGGTGACCTGGGGATGCCCAGGCATCTAGGGAGCTCATCTTCTAACTTCTTGAGCTGAAAATACTTGGACTTTTAGCCTTAAGCATCACAATAAGTGACTTGGAACATAAGAGGTGTGATTGAGGGTCACAAGATCCCCTCCAGCACAGACATTGGGACCATACCTCCGCACACCAGATCTGCATGATCCTGGCCATTTTTACAAATTTGCTACTTCAAACATTGATAGTGACAAATACGAAGAACAATGCAGGCCAAAAGCTAACATCAGGTGACCATATCAAATAAAGAAGGTAGCTGTCTTTGGTCTCCTCTGCCTCATTTGTGGATAGGCTTCATGATCTGAAAGCTCCTGGGTAACCCAGAGATAAGCCTGCCTTGTTCTCTTCTCTGATCTTCCTGTGGTTTGGTCCTCTATAACTGAATCCCAGCTCTGATAATCTGCACATTAAAGAATGAGTATGTGTTACCTTGGTAAAGCCAGGGGAAGGCTGGTGAGGAAGAGAAAACAATACATGCAAGTTGCAGGAACTACTGTGTTGGGCTCATAGGTCATCCCATTCAGTGTTGAGTGAGTGAATGAAGCCATTTGCTGGAGCCAGTGGCTCAGTGCATCAAAGTCTAAAGTAGAAGGTAGAAAGTGGAGGAAGTGAGGCTGGAAGACAAAACAGAAGCCCAATCATGGAGGGCATAGTACGACATTCCAACAGATTTGGACCTGACCTTATTGACAATGAGAAACCCTTCCATGTTTGTTAGAACGTATATAAAACTGCCTGGGCCTTCATGTGAAAGTGAAAAAGGCCACAGCACTTTTCAGAGCATTCTCTTCCTGGCATTCAGGAGGAACTGAATGAGGAACTATAGTCATTTAATGAACAGAGAATTGGAGGAATTAGAATGGCTTTAAGGGAGTAGTCAACTGCATTCCCTTGTTCAACAAGTATTTATTGAGTGCTTGCTATGTGCCAGGCACTTAATAGTTGCTGAAGATATCGACTGAGCAAAAATGATAAAGTTCCTACTCTTACGGAGCTTATATTCCAGTGGGAGGGACAGACAATAAACAACCAACCATGTGCTATATCAGTGGGTAGGTGCTATGAGAAAATCTCAAGTAGAGAAAAGACATTTAGAATAATGGTAAGGAAGAGAGAGAGTGAGCCATGCAGATGGGAGTGGGAATATTGAATGAATGCAAATGTCCTGAGGCCAAGTGTGCTTGGCATGTTCAGAGAAAATATTTGTGGGGCACCTTTTCTGTGCCCATTTTTTTCTCTTCAACTTTTAAGTTCTGGGGCACATGTGTAGGATGTCCAAGTTTGTTACATAGGTAAACATATGCCATGGTGATTCCCATCACCTAGGTATTGAGCCCAGCGTCCATTAGCTATTCTTCCTGATGCTCCCCCTCCCCTCATCCCCACCATCAGGCCCCATTGTGTGTTGTTCTTCCCTATGTGTCAATGTGTTCTCGTCGTTCAGCTCCCACTTATAAGTGAGAACATGTGGTGCTTGGTTTTCTGTTCTTGCCTTATTTTGCTGAGATTAGTGGCTTCCAGCTCCATCCATGTCCCTGAAAAGGACATGATCTTTTTCCTTTTTATGGCGCATAGTATTCCATGGTGTATATGTACCACATTTTTTTAATCCAGTCTATCATTGATGGCCATTTGGGTTGACTTCACATCTTTGTTATTCTCTGCACTCATTCTTAGGTGCTAGAGTAAAATCGTTAACATGAGGGGCAAGATCACTGCTCTTATGGGGACATCCTCATGATATACTGACTTTCATTAGTTTCTCTCTTAGAGAATAATGTTATGTCTAAGTTAAGAACAGTAATTGAACCATCTGTCCATGGCACCCCCTTTTTCTTTTCAAACTCCCTATTTGTCTTTTAGGACTCAGCTTAGTCCTCACCTTCAGTTTCTAGTTCTTAACCCCAATCTGATTTGCTAATTCCCCAAACCCCCACCTGTGCCTGTGAAATCACATCTGGCTCTGTCATGGCCCTTATTTAGTATAATACTTTGTCTGTTGATCTCTCCTCCCAAGTTGTCTGAGCACTCCTTGCTATGGCAGGGATTGGGTCTTAGGTGTTTTTGATCCCTCCTACCATTGCCTTGTATATCACGGGTACTCGATATACAGCTTGGCTGAAGGAGTTTTGAAATAATCGGAATCCATACCAGAGTTGTCTTTAGAGGCTAGGAGGGTCATCCCACATAGCCCCTGATACGGTTTGGATATGTAATCCCTAGTATTGGAGGTGGGGCCTGGTGGGAGGTGACTGGGTCATGGAGGCAGAGTCTCATGAATGGTTTAGTACCATTCACCTTGGTACTGGATAGTGAGCGAGTTCTCCTGAAATCTGGTTGTTTAAAAGTATGTAGAACCTCTCCCTTCCTCCCGCTCCAGCCATGTAAGACAAGCCTGCTTCCACTTCACCTTCTGCCACAATTGTGGCAGAAGTTTCCTGAGGCCTCCTCAGAAGCGAAGCAGATGGCCAACATCATGCTTCCTGTGCAGCCTGTGGAACTGTGAGCCAATGAAACCTCTTTTCTGTATAAATTACCCAGTGACAGATATTTCTTGGTAGCAGTGAGAGAACAGACTAATACACCCTCTTCAAAGAAACCCCAAGAAAGTGTCGGAGCAACTGATGGAAGAATGTCAAGCGGGGAAGACTTCTGGTGGATAAGACTCTGGTCCTCTCTCCCATCCCAACATGATGAAGAGGTGAATGGGCTTCTCAACATTTCCTTCAACTCTCTCTCCATCTAATTCCTCACTAGGAAGATGGGTATGGGAGAAACTTGACTCTGAGAGAGCTGTCAACAACAAAGGCCTTGATGTATAATCTTCTCCCCCAGTTTCTCCATGGACAGGCAGGCATGGCTTTGGAATGGAAGGCCAGACACAACTGCTAATGACATTGGGTTGCATGTTCTCTTCCTGTGGTCACAGAAGGGCCCTTAGTGTTTCTTCTTCAGGAAGTGGCTACTTTACATCATTGTGAGAGCTGGAAGGACCCTCAGTCCTTCAAGTAGTTGCTTGTAATTTTAATAGGTTTCTGCCTGTGCTTAACTGTCTTTAGAAGCATGGCTGCTGGAAGTTTTATTTGAAAGAAAGAAAGAGAAAAAGAATAGCCTCACTCCAATGGATGACTGGCTCTCTTCTGAGAAGTAATCAGGGTATGAGGTCTGCATGCTTTTGATCGGTTCTCTTTTAAGGTAAGGTCATCTCTTGCTTACAGAGATGATTGCCATTTTTCTTGGCTTATCCCAAAGGGTCTGTGAGGTTGTGTTTTTTTCAGTTAACAACCTAGTAATTGAAAGTGTTCAGAGTGCGAGGAGCCAGTGACAAGAGAAAGGGATTAGCCATTGAGGGATAACTGGGAGTCAGGACCAGAAGATGAGGGAAGGTTATTAAAAATATAACAGAGGAGGTTTTTAAAGAAGCAGCTCCACTTTTGATGGTCCCGCAGCAAAGTTTAAATGGCCATAGTCAATCATCTAGCTGTCGGCCGTAAGATGCTTGAGCTCCAAGTGGGTCTCTTCCTGTGTGTAGATACATCAGTAGGTCTTGATGTGTGAATTCGTCTTTAATTATGTGGACTCTACAGGCAGTTCCTAATGATGAATGAAATGTGCTCCTAAATTTCTGTCTCAGGTTGGTTGGTGAGCTTAGTCAACTCAGGTTTCTCCACCAAGGGCTATACTCTAATGCATAAAAGGGGCACTGCAGAGAAAGATTCCCGGATTTCAAACTCTGCTTCCATCACTTAGTGCTTGTGGACCTTGGAATGAGTCATTTATTTAGTCTGAGCATCAGTTTCTTCATGGGTAAAATTGGAATAATAGTAGCAATTCTTACCTCGTGGGGTAAGTGAGATCCAGGAGAAATGCTTCCTGCCTGGCACTTAAGACAGCCCCCTTGGGTCAATCACTGCATCTGTCTGCTCCTGCCTTCCCCACTCACCCTTTCCTCCATCTCTGTTTGAATGGTCACTGTACTTGGAACCTTTGCATTCAGAGGACTAATTTCCTAATTTCCAGAATGCATCTTTCTCAGGAGACAAGACCATTGAGAATCTTGCCATAGGTTGTAAAACAGCAAACATCCTCGGTTGTCTTTTCATTTAGCAAGAATAGTTAGCTTGGTCTTTGATACAGCCCCCTGTGAGGCTGCTCATGACCTTGTATTTGACTAGACATGAGCCTTTAACTGAACCAGCTCTCAATGGGTCTACAGCAGCGGTTGATGTTACTGAGGCATGAGTTCCAGCAACTGGATGACCGTTTGATCATCTGCCCCATCTTCTTTATAGGGAATCCAGTGACATCAAGAGGGTATTTCTTTATCTCAGGGAGACCCATTAGAAAGAAAGTTAGCTACCTAGGAGTAAGCCATAGTGTGCAATTACACATTGGAAAGTGTTTCTCACCACAGAAAATTGGGTGGCTTGTGAGCTCAAAGGAATATCTATTGGGGCAGAGTTCTTCTCTCCTAACCATTTTTCCGATTCCTCACACCCAGGCCCATTTATTTTCTTTTCCTTTTTTTTCCTCTCCAAAGATACAGGCTAACAATGTCTATAAAATTATTGAACTTTGTTGTTTTAATTCATTTTTCAGAAATTACTGACCCAATAGAACTTAATGACACTTCAGAGTTGAGGCCCTTTGTGTAAATCCTTCACCCTTCGCAGAATAATAGCCAGACAAGACCTGGAAGGGCTCCAAAGTCCAAATGCTAAAATCTATACAAGATTTTCAGCTGAGAGAAAGTTACTGTTCCTGCATCATAGCTTGATTTTTTTTAATGGAACAACAGCAATAAGGACAACAATATCAAGATGCAATTGCTGTCCCTTTTCTTTCTTACAAAATTTTTTTTTAAAGCTGACAGACTCCGATTAATTGGGTGAAAATCAGGAGCACAAACTCACAGCTTTCTTTCAAATGCTCTTTGTTCATGGCCTGTAAAATCTGATTTTGAACAAGATCAGATTAATTAAGTATACAGAAGCAGCCATAGCCACAGCCACTAAAGCGGATTTCACTGTAAATTAATTCATGGAAAATAGGAAACAATATGCTTCTAGGTTCTATATAAAAAGTCATTCCTTCATTGCTGGATTCTGAAGTGGGATTTTAATTTGCATATTTCAGCAAGGACTCCGCACACCCACCCACCCCCGAAAAGGGACCATGACATGTGGCATTTTTTTACCCTTAGCCAGGTCCTGATGAAAGCATGAGATAACTAACTTCAATGCCTAGGTCCTCTGAGACTAGAAGGTATCTGGGAGGTGGAGAAAGGGGTGCAGTTCTACTGTGGGAACCCATTCCTCTTTAAAATGAGCCCAAATATTCAACTGACACACACGACTTGGGCTGGCGCTGTTATTACCCAATCAAGGCATCTGCCCATTTCTGATCCTTCAATGCAGAAGAGACAATTCCACCATCCTACATAATATGTACCAGCTGAATGGATCCCAATTTATCAGGAAAACTATAAATTGTAGAACACCAGCTGAAACTAAAGTAATAAACCCCGTGATCTCTGTGCCATACATTTTAGGCTGTTATTTAAGGTCTCCAAGGAGATTGGTGCCATAAAAGCCGTTTCTCAGCAATTCTGCCAGCTCTAGAAGCATGCTGCTGCAACTACTTGCGCTAATACATTACAACTTGTTTATCGCACTCCCGAAGCACCAGCAGCAGCCGCATTACCAAGGGAGGGGAAATGATGTGCATACCCTCTCAATAGGCAGCTAGATTTTTGTTTCCTATGTGTACATAAAAAAGTAGCATATTTTTCTTTTCCTTCTCCTGTGACGACTCTGTAACCCCTTCCTAGAAATAACTTGCCACCTCGAAGGGCACTGAATAGGGCTCCTCTTAATCTTCATATTGCCTTTGGACTCCTTACCACTTTCAGCACAAAGATGCAGCTGTCTGGAAAACATTGTGGAAAATTTGGGGGGAATGGCATGAACCTGTGAGCCCCATAGACCCGGATATAAATTCCACAAAGTATCTATGCTTGGGCAAGTTATTTAACTGCTTTGAGACTTCATTATTTTATTTGTGTTTTTTTGTTTTTCGTTTGTTTTGTTTTGTTTTTAAGAAACAACAATATCTCTTGTGAATATTAAATGAGATAACAGACCTAAACAGCTTATTGCAGTGTCTTGTGTATAGCAAGGACTTGAAAAATGTTAGTTGTATTCACCTAATTAGTTGATGCAATGAACAAAATATAAGATATTGATTTGCTGCTTTTATAAAAGAGTTGACTATAATGGAAACAAGGTCTTAGTGGATTAATTCTGGCTATTTGCATAGTAGAGAAATCTTTAGAGCAACTTCTAGAGTGCTGATAAAGATAGCCTCCTGTATTAGTTAGCTAGAGCTGCCATAACGAATTACCAGATGCTCAGTGGCTTAAACAGCAGAAATTTATTATCTCACAAGTTTGGAGGTTAGAGACCTGAGATCAATGTTTGGGCGGGGTTGGTTTCTTCTGAGGGCTCTCTCCTTGGCTTTAAATGACAGTCTTCTCACCGTGCCCTCACATGGTCCTCCCTTTCTCTGTGTCTTAATGGCCTGATTTCCTCTTCCTATTAGGATACCAGTCATATTGGATCAGAGCCCACAGCAATGAGCTCATTTAATCTTAATTACCTCTTTAAAGACCCTGTCTCCAAGTACAGTCACATTCTAAAATACTGGGGGTTAGGACTTCAACAAATGAATTTTGTGGTGAGGACACAATTCAGCCCATAACACCCCCCCCAACCTGACACACCTGTTTCAGCAATGGAAGGAGGATAAGGATAAGAAGGGCCTGATTCTACTTCTCGAGCGATTATGTGCTTATTATAATCTTTTAAAACATGAAGTAAATTTGGAAACTCACCCATTATATTGTTGAACACAAGAAACAATTTTAGTGGACATAGAAATTGCAATAAAAGTAGTAGTATCTGATGATGTCCTCTGCCTAGTCCTCTGCCTAATTGGCTACCTGGTGAAGAATTAAAGAAAAAATGTCAACTCTTCCCAGTAATGGACTAGTAATCTGATGACTGTGAAATCCTTTAGGTTGCCGAGAAGTCATTTCCCAGCTTAATAGAGCTGGTAGTTATCTACTGCACTGTCATGGTTGGTTTGGCCCGTGATGGATAATGGCTGGATCACAGGGTTGGACAGCTGTGCCGTGAAGGGGCTCTGCACATCAGAATTGGGACTTGCTTCTCAGCTCTAGGGACTAAGGCTTGTAAGCCCAGAGTGGCATCTTATCTATGTGTGGCAAGTGTGGCAAGCCAAGGCAAGGAAGAGACCAGCAGCTACACCCCTGGGGCTGGTTCTGGGGAGGTGTATTAGTTTCTGATTGCTGCTGTAATGAATTACCATATACACAGTGGCTTAAAATAGTGCCCATTTACTATC